>NC_000005.10:101359807-101984807 GCF_000001405.40 Homo sapiens | reverse complement strand
TCACAGTATTAGTAACAGAGGCTGGGAAATTTTATTAATAACAAGCTTACATACTTCACTGTGCTTATTAAATTATCATTGTTCTCTAGTGGTAGTAAGTAGATTCAGTTATATCTGAATATATAATGTTAACCATTCTAACGATGGTAAATTTGAGTTAAGAAATCTCCGGAAAGAGTATGGCATGGTCTCCTGAGTTTTCTGCTTATTTACACAGAACAGCAGGGATTTTCAAATTTTTTATTTAGCAATTATAAAAAAGGGATTTGTATGCCTTCACCAAATTTTTAAGTTTAATAAGAATTTCTTTTAGCGTGATCAGATTGTCATGCTTTCCACAGAGATATAAGAATTCTCATTAATATCACCAATATTGGGATTCCTAAATCCTACTTTGACAGCGATGGTATCTCTATGAACTCATTTATGTGAGAGTCAGCCAACACAACTCGTATTCAACAAGGCATGCTATCTAATGAATTCTGGCCCAATACTTTAATTGAACTTTGGGAACATAGTATAATTAACAAACTCTTTAATTATCCAGACTTTCTTTCTTATTCATGCATTTGCTTTTATTTCCAACACATATTAAGTACTCAACATATTCAATTGGATCACATAGAATTTTATGTAGACAGAGTAAGAATGCGATAGTTAAGAATCCTTTCTGAAAGTCTTAGAATGATGAAAATATATAGTGGTGTCACCATGGTAGAATGAAATACACACTGTATTTTATCTAACAGTTACTCATATATTTTGTGCAATTGGACATTTTCTTTTATGGAATAAATACATCATTTTACCACAACACGATAAAATTAATATAACTTTTCATGGGAAATAAGTGCTATAGTTTGATTTTTAATTTTCGTAAACATTTCTACATCACTCTTCAAAATTTACATTCAAAGTTAAATCAGCAATTTCAGTATAAGAAGTATTAAATTATAATGCAATAATAAGACCATTTACTTGGACATAACTGGGTCATATCTTTGAATATGGCTTTTGGTACAACTATTTTCCAATTATATATCTATCTAAGAATCTAATTTTGTCAAGTGGAATTTTTCCATTTGATAGGATAGGTGATAAAAACAGTAACATTCAATGACCTTATCATTTAAGAAACTGTGTAACAGCATTTCCTGATTACATGGGTAATAGCAAAATATTATTTGTGATAGTTAGATATAATTCATATTGTTACACTCAGAAAATAAGCTCTAAATAGTTATCTCACTTTTAAAGCATTAGCGCAGGCATAATGTGCTTTCGACATATTCACATATCTTCCACAAATACCTTTCACATACATTAAAAACAATAAAGGAAACACATCCATATGTAAAAGAACAGCTCGTTTACTCTTTTTCCAGATACAAATTCGTACTGCCAAGAGAGGGAGAAGAATATGTTTGTTCCTACTGGGGATGAGAAAGGGTGAGTGTCTATACACGTTGCCATAGGCTGGAGTGAGAAGTCACTCTCCAAAAGCCTTCAGTCCCTGACATACTGTAGTGCCAAGATGGAATGGAATTTCAGCAGCTCCATGGTATATCATTCTTTGGTGGAAAATTACTCAAACCCTAAATGTGCTCAAGAAGAGAGGAAAGGCACTCCTATCCTATTTCTGGTTTCCCCTTTTCTCATACACCCGTACACATTTTCTTTTACTGTCGTTGATTTTTAAGGGTAAACTGCTAATACCACTAAAATATACAGGAATATTAAAAGTTGTAGAGTCCAATAAATAATTACATTTGCTAAGTAACAGTTTAAGTGTTTTCTCCTCAACTTAACCTATGAAAATATAAGGATAATCAAGTAACAAACCTGGATTAATAAACAAAAATAAACTTACCATCTTAGCTTAGAACAGTACTTTCCAAGTGCTGATTGTGCATATGAACCCTTTGTAGAAATTCAGTATTTTTTACACAGTTGGGCACGTGTGGCAGCCCACCTAGCTCTCCTCTTCCCTGGTTCAGCTTCTGAGTATGCACACAGAACCCAAGGGCTCTGCTATGTATTTTGAAAAGCAGTGGAGTATAATGTTAAATTTTCATTAAATATTAGTTTTGATGATTATGATGATGATTAAACCCTTCTAACACAAGTAACTATTGTGTTTACAATTCAAAAAATGTTATTGTGTCTTTGCTATGCATCAGGCATGTTGCTGAGGACATAAGATGATCCTTCTGTTCTTTTGGTTTTGTTGTATTTTTACAAAAATGCTACCCTTCATAAAAGTTTCCAGCTATGGAAGCATTTGAATATGCTTCTTGTTTTAGCCCTTGAGAATTCTGAATTATCATTATTATTATTTTTGTGTATGCGTGTAGGTAAAATGTGTGTAGACTTGTTAATGACATTAGAATTCAGAAAAAATATTTTGTGTACTTTGAATAATTTTAATGACTAGCTGGATGCAGACAGAAGAAGAAAAAAGGCATAAACAATATGAATAAAAAAGTTATGTAAAAATTGAACAAAATATCATCTCTTCAGTGACCCTTTTTCTGGTAGTTGGAACCCTGGCATAAGAAGATAGGCGTTCAAGTCACAGCTCTAGAGTGCACTTCCAATCCCTAAGCCCACCCTCTTTCTGATCCTTACAGATCAGTAGCAAACCTTTCTCCTCAGTTTCTCAGGCCAGCGTTTCCAGCACTATCTTTACTTACTCTTCTTTGCCTCTCAGTTCGTATCTCATCCATCCGCAGTCTTAATGATTCTGAATCCAAAGCATAACTTTAATCTGACTACACCTGCTCATCTCCATCTCTACCGTTCTGGTCCTAAACTTAATCACACTTCTCTTAGTCTACTGCAATAGTGTTTAAATTGCTCTCTATATTTGCACCCTTGCTTCTGTATAATGTAAATTAAAAAAAATTAATCATATATTATGTCCACTCAATACTACCCCTTTCAACCTTTGCAATTAGAATAAAGTTCAGCCCTTTGAAGGTTATTACAAATCCCTGATTGATCAGTCTCTGTCTACTTCTCTGTCCTCTTCTTCTTTCTCTTTCCCCTTTATCCCGTGTAGCCATGCTGGTCTTTCTCCTCTTCTTCAAAGATGCCACACTCAGTCCTTTTTCACAGCCTTCTCACACCCTTTTCTCCCCCAGAATGCTCTTTCGCCTCATCTTTACAGGTTTTATATTTTCTAGACAGTCACATCTTAGTTTAAAAGCCACTTTCTCAAAGAGGTCTTCCTCTCTGATCAATCGGTTACTAATTATTAATTACACAGTTTGGTTATATAGTACTTGTTTCTATTATTTTTTTCTTGGCTTGCATGTTTATATCTTCAGCCTTCCCCTACTGAAAAATAAGCTCCATGGAAGAAATAAGTGCAACTTAACTACTGCAAAATCTTTAGCCCTTGAAAAGTTCTGATACATAGCAGCCTCTCAATAATTATTTACTATGGGAAGAATGAAATTCCTCATCTATAAAAAGGCTAACAAAATGTACCTACACTTTCAGAAATTTTATTAGTATTGTACGATGACCGCGTAGAACTTAGCACAACATGGTAAATATTAAGAGCTCAGGTAATGTTGGCATTATTATTGTAACACTATTACTAAATGTAAAATTATTATGAACATTCCTATGGATGACTGGCTAATCATGGGAGCTGTTTTTATCTATGTTAGTTTTTTTCTAAAATGGTTACATAGAATGTTAATATATCATTCTAATGCTCTGAAAAACCAGGTTCAATAAATCAATAAAAGTCTCAAGAAACATCTTCATCTTCAATGGTCTTTCAAATTTCAGTGGAAATTTCGTAGCATTTTATAAGTTTTACAAAAGGCTTTTACTTCTTTCTCTTCACTTGATCTTTATTCCCATGCTCTCAATTCTATTTCTTTAGTAAATGAAAGGATAGAATGGCCATAATTTTAAAGTCATTTGCTTGAAGATACTACTTTCTTCCAAATCTTTTCAAGTTGGGGCTAATTTTCCACGATTCCGTATCTTGAAGCCAATGCCTTTTCAGCACTATCACTCTGTATATTAGTATAAATAACTATTTTGATTATATTTTTGAATTAGTGATTTCAGGAGAAAGTCACTGAACAGTCAATGACGTATGCCTGTTAATCATTCTACAAATGTTTTGAACACAGTTCTTAATGTTAGTTACTTTAAGGGTGTGGAGGTTAGTGGTGGATGTGGTCATATTTTATCAAATAAATATAAAACACAGACCTTGTTCTAAAGAAGCTGAAAATATATTAGGAGGGTAAACAAGTTGGGTAACCACAAGTTGACACTATGAAGTATTAAAAAGAGTTAGTATTAATATCTTTTTTGATAAAAGAAGATTTGATAAGATAGAAACAGATTTAATATAGTTCAGGAAAATTCTCACTTTAAAAAGAAATATAAAAATATTGTTAACCTGATTGCACTGAGCCTCAGCAGTAGGATAATTTAGTTATGCCCATGTAAATATCAAGTGACCAAGCATCTTAGTAACATGAGGAAGTTTCAGATTTCAGGTTCATGTTCCCTTTTAATAAAGTGTTATTAAAAATGTCTCATTCTGAACACTTTGTTCCTTATGTTTGGTGCCCCACGTGCTGGTGCTAGGTAGAAGGGGATGGCTGTTGGACCTATAGTTCTCATTTAGTTATTTTTTTTTCTCTGTCTCTTAAGGCCTTATGATGAAAGAACTGAGAAACCAGGTACCTAATCAGGTGCCAGGCATCCCTTAGCACAAATTAATACTAGGTGGGGTAAAGTGGCAGCTTAACATCTTAATGTCATTCCCTTCTTTGTATATGGTGTTTAAATGTGTAAGAAATTACTCCCCAATTCTTGTTTTTTATTCAGCTTTCACCAATATTTTCAGCCTTTATCTCAGCTAACCAGCATCACTTTCAGGATTCCTGAGCTTATATCTCTTTCCACATTTTTCTAACAGCACCCTTATATTAGTCTGTTTTCACGCTGCTGATAAAGACATACCCGAGACTGGGCAATTTACAAAGGAAAGGTTTAATGGAGAACTCACAGTTCCACGTGTCTGGGGAAGCCTCACAGTCATGGCGGAAGGCAAGGAGGAGAAAGTCACATCTTACGTGGGTGGCGGCAGGGAAAGAGAGAGCTTGCACAGGCAAAGTCTTATTTGTAAAGCCATCAGATGTCCTGAGACTTATTCACGATCACAAGAACAGCACAGGAAAGACAAACTCCCATGATTCAATTATCTCTCACAGGGTCCCTCCGACAACATGTGGGAATTATCGGAGCTACAGGATGAGATTTGGGTGGGGACACAGAGCCAAACCACATCAACCCTATACTAGACTGTCTCAATCCCAGGGTTCAGGATTCCAAAATATTTATCTCCTATATTAACCTAAGGTCCTCTCAGGATTGTTACATTATATTAATACTATTCATATTTACTGAGTATCTAATATATACCAACAATCTTTAAGGGCTAAAGGTAAAAATGCCAAATAAGATAATTCTTCTTCCCTGAAAAGGTTTACAATTAAGTGGACACAGACAAACACATAAACTCATGATTGCAATGTAACGTGAAAGGGGTAATATAAAGCAGGTATTTACAATTTTGTCCAAGCTTTGGGGTCTCTGGAGAAATTTTAAAAATACCAATATCTAGGCTTAATCCTGACCAACTCAATACAAATCTCTAGTAATTTCCAAAGTTTCTCAGAAGATAGGATTGGGGATCCTTGAGAAACAAAGGCATTCATAATCACTAATGGGAACATGGAAAAAATTATGGACGGCTGGAAGTTTTTTTTTTTTTTTTTGCAAGTGACTCTAAGTCTTGTGGGATGAAAAAGACTTCTCTTGGACAAGGATGGTGAAATGAACATTACAAGGAGAGAAAATATCCTGGAAAATTGACAAAAGCTTATTACTTTATTTGAAATCTTGATGTTTATATAAATCATCTTTGCATACCTCTTTTCTTCCAGCTCTTAGTCTTTCTCCACCTGGCTCCTACATACGTGATATAAAAAAATTATCAAAATATTAAAATTTAATATAAAATCTGAAAATCTTCACCCCAAAGCTTTAGAGAGTTTTAAGATTTAAGAGATTTAAGGGAGTTTTACAATATTGGAATATACATAACTTATATAAGCTTCAAAAACAAGGTATTATTATGCTTGAATGAAATGTGTAAAATGAATAATCTTGGTTAAGTTTTTGTTGTGAGTATATCTTTGGAATACAATAAGTTTTACTTTGAGTATAGTTTTTCATTTATACCTATGTTTGGGTAGCTAATACCCAAAGCAGGCTTAGTATGGTTGGTATTAAGAGAAAAGTATTTATAAAATTGAACCTCCATCTCCCTTGCAAATGCACCAAATTTCTCCAAAATAAGGGGTCTTTCTCTGTCTTTCTTCTTTCTCTCCCTCCCTCCCTGTTTAGCTCTGTAATATAATCAATGCAAATTAATCAAAATGGGTACTTTATTTGAATAGAGCTCTGAGTGTGTCATACACTTATACTTTTATATATTTGACATAATAAACTTGTAATTTTAGATATTATGCACATATTATTCAAGTTTTAAGCAAATCTCATATGATTGGTCTTTTGTGATAAATAGTATTTTCTAAAAGACCCTTCAGTAAATTATAATCACAAATCTTCCAAGTCTTCATTTTGCACATGCACACAAAACAATTTCTGTCTCTGTCACTGAGTCTCTATGTGTGTATTTCAGAACTGGTGGGTTGCATCTTACTAAAACAACAACAAAAACCAACAAACAAAAGTACCACATTTTAGTTTTGTTTGAAATTGAGCCTGAAAGTGTGGATTGTTTGAATTTGAAATATCACCACTAGATGGTGCTCGGTATCCTGTCAGAAATGTGAGGCTTTTTAAAAGAACAAAACCCTTGAAACTGGTGTTACCAAGGCAACCTGCTTAGCTTGGTCTGGTTGCTTTTCCTTGTGCCCATTTTTCTGTCTCTGCCTCCTTTTTATTCTTTTTCCAATTAATTTATTTTTCTGTTAATGCACATGGGTTTATACTGTGGGTTTCTATATGGGTTGCTATTAAAAAAAATTGAGAAAAAAGAATGTGGTGTATATCATTTTGGAGTAACCACTGTGTGCCAGTCACTTCTGAGGGGAATACAGGGGAAGTTTTGGCCATGGTCTGCAGCAGTTTACAAACTGATTCTTAAATCAGTTTTATGTCATAAAAAGAAAAAAAAGCAAAAACATGAAATACCTTGTTCGTACTAAATATGATCTCTTATTAGTAAATATGGCTTGCTCAAGAGAGCATCATTTCATGAATTAGAAGATAATCTAGATGGGCCACTAATTAAATGGGTTACATGAAGCAATTTATTTAATCTCCCCTGTTCTTAGAAATGTTTGAATAAACTAAATGATCTTTAAGGCACCATCCAATTCTAATATAATTTAACTTATTTTTTTTTTTATCTTTTAGAGTTATAGGAATTGCATGAAATGTACTTTAGGCCACAGTAGTCAGAAAAATCTCATTTATTAATAGGAATTAATAATGTATATTTGAGAAGGCAAAGTCTAAAGAAGAGAAATAAGTGAGGAATCTGATATTGTCTAATACTCAGACATGCCCAGACCTGGAGTGTGTTTGTTAAGCTAAGAGGGTTTCAGGTGCTCATGTAGGAAATGTGCTCTGTAAATTTGTATGTTTGTACTCCCTCCAAGTACTTGGGAATGAGGCATGGCCTTAATAGTTATGGTAATAAAATAAAACCATAAAGGTTTAGAGGAACATTTTTTTTAAAAAAAAGCCCAGTAAAATGTTATTATCTTTCAGATCATATAGTTTTTTAAAAATCTCTACATATTCTCATGATACTTTCCAAACTAGATCTTGATTTAAATCTGACTCATCAGTAGACCCTAGAGGAGAAGCTACATAGGATCCAGATTCAAATTCAGCCACATCTTTTTTTAGTTCTCTAGTTGTGCTTTCTTGCAACTCTTGCTGTATCTTCAACAAGTAGTTCTTTATTCTGTTATTTGAAGTCTGTGGGCCTGAGGTAGGGATCATTAAGTTTTCTCTTGGAATATGTTTTCTGTAGAGCCCTAAACTATTATTAAGATTTCCAACACAAGGTGAGTCTAGGACTGGCCTTGTAGTATGATTAGTAAATAAAGATCTGGTCTGCTCTTTCTCCACAAGAAGTTTGGTACTGACCTCTGCTAGTCTCTCATTAGTTCTGTAAAAACAGATTGACTTCATTTAATTTTTCTACTATTACCTGTCTTGCTCTTTCTTTAGTCTCTGATTGATACTGTTCTAATTGTCCACATTCTGCCATATTCATTTCTGTGTGGCTTTCAAGGTTTATTACTTCTTATTCCAATTTCTTTGTATTCTTCTGTAGTTCTTCACATTTCTTTTGTATTGTTTTCATAGATAATAACTCTTTTTTACTTGCTGTGCCTTCTGCCAAACGTGCAATCTTGTTAGATGTCCCTTCTGCCAACCATTATCCTTCTCTTTACCTTGGAAAGGTCTACATACAGAGTTACTTTCTATAGAAGTCTTTAAACTGTTGGTATCTTTACCCAGGTGACAGGTGCAGTAAAATTTCAGACTTCACCAGTATACAATTCATCCATGTAACCAAAAACCACTTGTACCCCTAAAGCTATTGAAATAATTTTTTTTTTTGACGAACAAATTGTTCCTTGTAGATTCTGGATATTAGTCCTTTGTCAGATGTATAGTTTGCAAATATTTTATCCCACTCTGTGGGTTGTCTGTTTACAGTGCTTATTATTTCTTTTGCCTAAAGCCATAATTTAAAAAAAATAGATGTTGGCATGGATGTGGTGAAAAGGCAACACTTTTATACTGCTGGTGGAAATATAAACTAGTACAATCACTATGGAAAACAGTGTGGAAATTCCTTACAGAACTAAAAGTAGAACTACCATTTGATTCAACAATTCCACAAGAAAATCCACAAAGGAAAAGAAGTCTTTGTATGAAAAAGACACTTGCACACCCATGTTTACAGTAGCACAATTTGCAGTTGCAAAATTATGGAACCAGCCTAAATGCCCATCAAACAAACACTGGAAAAAGAAAATGTGGTATATACACACCATGGAATACTACCCAACCATAAAAAAGGAATAAAATAATGGCACTTGCAGCAACTTGGAAGGAGTTGGAGACCATTATTCTAAGTGGAGTAACTCAGAAATGGAAAACCAAATATCGCATGTGCTCACTTATACGTGGGAGCTAAGTTATGAGGATGTAAAGCCATGAGAATGATATAATGGACTTTTGGGATGCAGGGGGAAAGATGGGAGTGGGGGTGAGGGATAAAAGACTACAATTGGGTACACTGTACACTGCTCAGGTGACAGGTGCACCAAAATCTCAGAAATCAACACTAAGGAACATATCCATGTTTCTCCCAAACTATTGAAATATAATAATAAACAAATAAGTAAATAAATTGTTGGTGTCTGCCATGCCAAAACAGCAAGAGAGTAATTATGACATAATCATGTGAAAAATGGCATAACCCATTTTTATCAATGCATTTTGAGTACCCTCTACATTGAAATCACCTCTGGTGGTTGTTAAAACTAGATTTTCTTGATGCACTAGAAATCTATTGTATTAGAATTTTTGTGGGGTAAGTTTTGAAAATTTTCTTTCTTAAGGAGAATCTTAGAAGATTCTGAGAGAGATCATAAATTGAGAGCACCCACTATTACCTACAAAAGTGCACTGATGATTTAAAGCAATAATATGTTAATGAAGAGAAGTCTGAAAAGAGGATATCAGTGGACAGGAAATCAGGTGTATGTTTCGCTCAGGCAACAGGGTACCCCATCTGTTGTTTGTTTCTCAATAGGAGATGGAATATTGACAAGACTAGCAATTGAGACAGTGATATAAATGGCTTGTGGCTCACATGTTACACAATGTCAATAATTTATTTTTAAAAAGTAACATTTAACATTTGGTTAAATTTTTATCTTCTGTTATGCATCTTGAACTAGTATTCTGTATAAAGCACTATTTAGCAAATGTTTAGATAAATGAGTGAAGAGAGGAAATTTCCTGAAGACAAATTTACAATAAATCAAAAGGAAGGAGACCTCATGAAAAGGCACTGGAGTAGCTAACTTTTTGTTTTGGCTCAAATGTCATATTCGCAGATATCAACTTTCTTTACCACTGTCTTAAATTAGCACATTCCAGCTTTCTAATTATCCCATAGCTCTGTTTATTTCATTATAGTATTCATCACATTATGGATATATTGGATTTTATGTGTTTACTTATTTATTATCTATCTCTACTCATTCATTTTAGGCTCCTGGGAAAGTTAATTTCATTATTTTCTTACTGATGAAGAAGTAAATGGTATCACCGGAGTCTACATAGTGGCATTCAATTGTTGAATAATTGGCATAGATGGTCGACACTGTAAACATTAAATTGTTGAATAAAGGAAAAAGTAAATAAGTTAAGTTAGCTTATAAGTAAATATAAGTAAATCACATAATTTCATTAGATTTAGAAAGATATGAATGCTCCAAATATCTCCTGTCTATTGCTGATGTAACACTATCTATTTGTAGAAGCTCACGAAGTTTTTTTTGGGTAGAAAAAGCTTACCTGTTGTATTAGTTTGTTCTCACGCTGCTATAAAGAATTGCCTGAGAGGAGTTCGAGACTAGCCTGGCCAACACAGTGAAACCCCTTCACCACTAAAGATACAAAAATTAGCTGGGCATGGTGGCCCAGGCCTGTAATCCCTACTAGTTGGGAGACCGAGGCAGGAGAATCCCTTGAACCCAGGAGATGGAAGCTGAAGTGAGCCAAGATCACACCACTGCACTTCAGTCTGGGTGACAGAGTGAGACTCTGTCTCAAAACAAAACAAAACAAAACAAAAGAACTGCCTAATACTGGGTAATTTATAAAGGAAAGAAGTTTAATTGACTCACAGTTAGGCATGGCTGGGGAAGCCTCAGGAAACTTACAATCATGGTGTAAGGGTAAGCAAACACATCCTTCTTCACATGGTGGCAGGAGAGAAGAGTGCTGAGCAAAGAAAGGGGAAAAGCCACTTATAAAACCATCAGATCTCGTGAGAGCTCACTCATTGTTATGAGAACAGCATGAGGGTAACTGCCCCCATGATTCAATTAAATCCCATTGAGTCCCTCCCATGACACACGGGGATTATGGGAACTACAACTGAAGATGAGATTTGAGTGGGGACACAACCAAACCATATTACCTGTTAACAAGTATTATTAACTTACAGTGAAATTTAAGTTCCTTTTAAAAACAGTATCTAGTGGAGAAAATATTTGTATGTAGAAGGTATAAAGAGAGGAAGTACAGAGTATAAAACATTCTATGGGAAGACTAATTAGAATAGGAGGCATGTTCTTGGGCACATGGATTAGGGAGAGGGCAACAGAATAAAATGTGTACATTCCTCAACAAACCTTTTAACAAGTGTTTCTAGCAGGACATCAGTACCGTTCGAACCCACGTGTATTTAGCACAACCTTCTTTCAAGACATTTTGCAGGATATTTTTAGAGATTCACATGAGGAGATGTTTTTTCTCTCCTATTGGAAGTTGAAGTTTAATGCATTGAATGAAAAATTAACAGAAGAAAAAATAATTAACTTCAGAGTTTTTCTTTGGCTCATATCTGGGTTTTTTGCAACACTCAAAATAGAGCTCACCTTGGATTCACCAGTAATGGGGCCCTGCACTTTAAATGCCTAGGAATGTTATATAAACCTCTCTAATTGTATAACAGTGTGATGCTACACTTACCGGTTTGTATGTAATTGGTTAACAAAAATAAAGCATAATTATTGCATTAAAAAGTTAAATTACTTGATAAATGTTATAATATTGTAATGTAGTGATATAACTGACAGAATATTTCCTTGGATTTTAACCTTCTACTGAAGATAATTGGAAATGTTTTTCTTCTTGAATAGATGTATTTGTGATTGTATGGTTTTAACATTCTGATGGGATTTGTTGCTTTAGCCCTTCTTAAACTCTTACCTCAAGAGAGATAGTTCTCAGATCATTCCATTACGGCAGCATTACCCTGATACCAAAACCTGATAAAGACATTACAGGAAAAGAAAACTACAGACTAATATTTACCATGAACATAGATGCAAAAATTCTAATACAATTTTAAAAAATCAAGTTCAACAAAATATAAAAACAAATAATCCATGGTAGCTAATGAGATTTATCTTGGGAAAGAAAGGCTGATTTAATATAATAGGATGCTTAATGACATTAATCAATAGGGACATGCAGTGACATACACACCGATAAGAATGGCTACATTTAGGCCTGGCGCGGTGGCTCGCGCCTGTAATCCCAGCACTTTGGGAAGCCGAGGCCGGCGGATCACGAGGTCAGGAGATCGAGACCATCCTGGCTAACACGGTGAAACCCCGTCTCTACTAAAAATATAAAAAAATTAGCTGTGCGTGGTGGCAGGTGCCTGTAGTCCCAGCTTGCTCGGGAGGCTGAGGCAGGAGAATGGTGTGAACCCGGGAGGCGGAGCCTGCAGTGAGCCGAGATATCGCGCCACTGCACTCCAGCCTGGGCGACAGAGCAAGACTCCATCTCAAAAAAAAAAAAAAAAAAAAAAAAGAATGGCTGCAATTAAATATACTGACCATATTAAGTGTGGAGAAGACTGTGGAGCAGCTGAAACACTCATGCAGTGCTGGTGGGAATGTAAATGCTACAAACAATTTGGAAATCAGTTTGGCAGTTTCTTAATAAGTTAAACATACACTTAACATACAACACAGCAATTATAGGTATTTTACCAAGAGAAATAAAATAAACTTGTTAGTTTCCCTGATGTGATTAGAGAGACAAACAATGCAGCAAAACACAAGGCTAAAATTCCCAGGACGACTTCAAGGATGAGAGAAGGGTAGATATACCGGAAAGTTATACTAGTATTACATTGCACAACTCATAAAAGACCCAGGGAAAGATGAAGGCATTCAGTGGCTTGTCTGAGGTTATGCATCTAGTGAGTGATGAAGCTGAGCTTGACCAGCATTAAGTTCTATAATCACTGAAACATGGCGAAGGATGAGGTAAAATTTCTGAAAAACTAATAGCCATCAATAACTTAGCAGGTTTTAGTATATCTATGGTGTGATAGTGAATAGTATTTGTCCCTGAGGGATTCTAATTTTCTATGTTTATGCATCAAATAAACTTAGTGTGTTTGCTTCATTCTTTTTTGTAATGTCAGTTTAATTACAATAAACTTGTATTTTAGAATAGTTTTAGAATTATATAAAGGTTCAGAAGATAGTACCAAGTTCACATATATCCCACTTTCAGATTTTCCTCTCATTAACATGATATGTTAGTATAATACTAACATATATAATACTAACATACCATGTTATCATACTGGTGCTTGTTGGTGGGGTGGTTTGATATGGGTGAGGTTGAACATTCTATACTATTATAATTTAGTGGGCCTGTGTTTTGGTATTATAGGCTTCACTAGTGTTTCTGTTAGTCCTCTGGTTTTTGTTTTCCTGTGCTATTCCAAATCTATTTCTTTTGAGTCCCTGTTCTCAATTTGCTACATGTTATTTTTCCCCCATTGTAAGACAAGAAGGCTGGAGGAAGTTGAAGTAGGAAGGTATTCCCTTTCCCTAGTTGGGATATGGTTTCAGAATTGTGTTCTGGTGAAGTCCTTTTGCTATAGATAAGTCTCTTCCTGTGTTTCAAAATGGTTATTCTTTTTCTACCATGTTTGGGTCCAGCAGGGCTCTTTCTTAGGCTTTCACTGTGAAAACCTGATGGAGTCCTGGGAGGAATGTGAGTGTGAGCACCATCACCCTCTCTCCATAAGAATTTAGCTATCAGAAATTTTTTATTCTCATGAAAGTCTTCATTAAGCTTACAAAAACTTGTCAAACTTGTCAAATTAAATATTCCTACCAGTTTATGGCTTCAGTGGCTTCTATTCAGCAGGTGTTTGTTGGATGTGCATCTTTTGGATATGCATGTCTCTCCAGAGTGGAGTGGCAATTTGCTTTATGATCTCAGTTTTTGATGGGCCCACAAAGTCACTGACTTTCAGTTTCTATACTTTCTTGTTGTAAGGATGGCAATTATGTTTCTAAGTTCTTTACAACTGGAGTTAACACCAGAATTTCTCATTTCATTCATTTTTCAACAAATATTTGTTGAGAACCTATTTTATGCAGGTAATTCTTAATCATTAAAGATAAAAAGGTAAACAAAACAAGCATGAATTGGGCCCTTATGGACTATAATGTGGAAAAGAGTCATTAAATAAGTAATTATAAATATATCTAATCCATCTTTATGCATACTGTATAAAATAAAGATAACAAAAATGATAAATATAACAAAAATAAGGATTGCTGTAAGAATGCATAATAAAGTGACGTGCACAATCCATATGCTGAAATGCCAAAAAGTTCCATCAAATTAAGCCATTAACTTGTTACAAATTTATTAGGTGCCTTCATGTTTCTCCAGAGTTTTTTAGCAGCAATCATCTAGGTAAGAGAGTAGAAAGCATGATTTCTGAATCTGATCAAGACATTTTTTAATCTGAGTGTTGGATTTATTGTAATCTTTAGAATATGAGCAGAAAGGAAAGCACTCAGTTAAAACATTTGATTTACTGTAGAGTATCACATCAGCTTAATTCTGTTCAGGGAATCAAATGAACATATTTGGGTTAAGAGCCACTAACAGAGACCAAGTGGGATATATTTGCTTCTAGTTAAACATCAGCTTTTCCTGGGAACAAAGCAGTATAATGTAAACAATATTTGGCAGTAGTTTTTAAAAAGCCTATTATGCATTGGAAAAGTAAATTGCTTTATTTGAAAATGTTAAGTATTTCCCAGAATAACGGAGCACAAAGCCATTTATCTACAACTTCATCTATAATTATTTATAAAACATAGATTTTTTAATACATAGCAGGATTCTTGGGTAGGTGTTCTACTTAAAGATGAAATTAGAATTTTTAAAGTAGTATTTGGTCCTTGATCGATAAGATATTAATAATGAAGTCACCATTCTTCACTCACTTTAAAGCTATCAAATTAACAGGAATTTACTGAGTTCTTACTATGTGACTAGAATTGTGGTAGTCACTTTATATTGGAAAACAAAATATGGTTCCTGTATTCCAATAAAACACAGTATTTTGAAGAAAAAAGTACAATTCAGAAAATTTAGTAATACATTATCAAATTGCTTGAGATAAACATGAAGTTCAAAATGAGTTTAGAGAATGAATAATAAAAAGAGGCTTTCATGACTAGAATTGTCAAAAAAGGTTTGCTTGAGGAAAGAGGTCTTTATTTCAAAATGGTTATTCTCCCTCTACTCTGCCTGGGTCGAGTGGAGCTCTTTCTTAGACTTTCACGTGAAAACTTGATGGGGTCATGGGAAGAATGTAAGTGTGAGAACTACCACCCTCTCTCCATAAGAATTTAGTCATCAGAAATTTTTTATTCTCATGAAAGTCCTCAGTAAGCTTCCAGAAACTTGCTAGGTCTGACTTAAAGCATGCCTTGAATCACCAGAAGAGAAAAAACGATATTATTCAGGGCAAGGATCAATTTGTGTGGAGGTTGGAATAAGATAAATAATCTTTGATTCCATTATACCAGGGCCTGGAAGGGCCTGAATGAATGGTCTGTGTTAAAGAAAAAAGACTTTTTTTTTTTTTTTCCAAGATTTTGTTTTCCTTTCTAGGCTGGAAACTACTCAGAAGAGGACATGTGTGACATGCGTGGACTTGTTAACCATTTATGACAAGTAGTGCATCAATCTAATTCAAGAGATTACTGAAAACAACAACCTTGCATATGCTTGGGGTGGTTTGGGTTTACATGTTCAAGTAAAACATAACATTTCAATGAATAAAATGTTGCAATCCCAGAGGCAAAATATCTTTACCTCATCTTTAATCCTATCAGATATCCTTAAACATTTTTTGGCAGTCCTTAAAATTGGACTGTCAGTAACCAAAACAGCATGGTACTGGTACTAAAACAGATATATAGACCAATGAAAGAGAACAGAAGCCTCAGAAATAGGGCCACAAATCTACAAGCATCTGATCTTTGACAAACCCGACACAAACAAGCAATGGGGAAAGGATTCCCTATTTAATAAATGGTGTTGGGAAAACTGGCTAGCCATATGCAGAAAACTTAAACTGGACCCCTTCCTTACACCTTATACAAAAATTAACTCAAGATGGATTAAAGACTTAGACATAAGACCTAAAACCATAAAAACCCTAGAAGAAAACCTAGGCAATACCATTCAGGACATAGGCATAGGCAAAGACTTCATGACGAAAACACTAAAAGCAATGACAACAAAAGCCAAAATTGACAAATGGGATCTAATTAAACTAAAGAGCTTCTGCTTAGGAAAAGAAATTATCATCAGAGTGAACAGGCAACCTACAGAATGGGAGAAAAATTTTGAAATCTATCCATCTGACAAAGGGGTAACATCCAGAATCTACAAAGAACTTAAACACATTTACAAGAAAAAACAAATGAGCCCCTCAAAAAATGAGAGAAGGAGATTGACAGACACTTCTCGAAAGAAGACATCTATGCGGCCAACAAACATATAAAAAAAAATGCTCATCATCACTGGTCATTAGAGAAATGCAAATCAAAACAACAATGAGATATCATCTCATGCCAGTTAGAATGGCTATCATTAAAAACTCAGGAAACAACAGATGCTGGAGAGAATGTGGAGAAATAGGAACACTTTTACACTGTTGGTGGGAGTGTAAATTAGTTCAACCATTGTGGAAGACAGTGTGGCGATTACTCATGGATCTAGAATAAGAAATACCATTTGACCAGCAATCTCATTACTGTGTACATACCCAAAGGATTATAAATCACTCTACTATAAAGTCACATGCACACGTATGTTTATTGCAGCACTGTTCACAATAGCAAAGACTTGGAACCAACCCAAATGCCCATCCATGATAGATTGGATAAAGAAAATGTGGCACATGTACACCATGGAATACTATGCAGCCATAAAAATGATGAGTTCATGTCCTTTGCAGGGACATGGATGATGCTGGAAACCATCATTCTCAGCAAACTAACACAGGAAGAGAAAACCAAACACCACATGTTCTCACTCATAAGTGGGAACTAAACAATGAGAACATATGGACACAGGGAGGGGAACATCATACACTGGGGCTTGTCGGGGGCTGGGGGGCTAGGGGAGGGAGAACATTAGGAAAAATACCTAATGTAGATGACGGGCTAAAGGGTGCAGCATACCAACATGGCACGTGTATACCTATGTAACAAATCTGCACATTCTGCACATGTATCCCAGAACTTAATGTATAATAATAATAAAAAAAACCAAACAAACAAAGGAAAGGACTATCAAAACAAGTTGTTAATTTTAATGACATATCAGTGTACAAATTATAAGAACATATACCCGTTTTCAAAAATCCTAGAGGCTAATTTTGGTGAAGAATTTGTAAAATGTTTAGTATATTCCTTGGGAGAGAATTTTGTTGCTCCCGTGGATTATGTGAAGTAAGAAAGTCTTTGTTTTTTATTTTCTCCAGAGTGCAACAGACATTTGTTAACCATGAGTGTTTGGGAACACCGTATACATTAACCATAATTTGGCAAATATACTGACAGAAATACAATTTAGGTTTTAAAAATAACACAGATATCTAGTTCATATTCTCAAATTGACTTCTTTTCTCTTTTTTGATATTGAATTTACGGGTAGGGAACAGAACAGAAAGCCACACTGAGAGAGAGAAGAGAAGATCGATATGCCGAAAGAAACACACTTGGGTGCTTCATGAAAGAGAAGATTAAAACTCTAGCTTTCTCATGGGTATTGAAGAATGAAGATTACTGCATCACCCATTGCTCAGTGTTGTATGGGGTCTGATAAAAAGGCTGAATAAAGCCACTGTGGAGGCTTTTCTCTGTGAGGCTCATAGAACCAAGCATGACTAAAGAGCACTGTGAGCTGGAAACAAAACTGGGCTGCTTGGAACTTGTTTCTTTTTGTTAGTTTTCTATAAATCTGAGTTGTCAGCTGAGCAAACCTTTGTATAAAGTACATTGTTCATGCAGGAATCAGGATGGAAGAGTGGGCTTAATTTTAACTGCATCTTGCATATTTATCAGGGGAAACATAAAAATATGCTACAAGTTCTTTTAGAGGCCTCATGTTTATTAGCAGACTTGAGATTATTCATTACCCACATTTTTCCAGTATTAACACTTGGTTCTTTGCAAAACCAAGTATGGAATTCAATTTTAAAACTACAATTCATATGTAAAATCCATATAATTGATATAATATTTTGCAGACATTCAAATGAGGTCTCTTCATATTGGCATATAATTTTTTTGACATATATTAAGTAATAAAAGGTACAGAACAGAGTCCATAGTATGGAATATCTGCATAGCAAAGTGATATATACATACGTTTTGCCTATCTGTGAAAGGATAATAAAAAGGATTATACTCCACAATGTCACTGGCCAGGTAGACAGAGGAATAAAAGTGTAAGATGGAAGGTTTTAATTGACAGAGCCCTATATGATCTCCTACTTTGCACAATGGTTTACTGTTCTTTACATATAAATTTCTCAGATGATCAAAATTATTTTCAAATATAATACATGCATATGGAAAAACTTTAAAGAATATTAAAAGGGATAAATTACAAATAATAATGGTTAGCTATTATTTAAATTGAAGTTGCAAATTCAGAGGCTTCTTTCTCCTATCTTTAAAATAGTACTGTATTTTATCTTCTCTCCCATATTCTACCTTATAAGATTATCATAATCTTCATGAAATTTCAGAATAACCAAGAAGTGTGTTCTCAAAATTCTACATGTTATATGAGTTTGCATTATTTGTGTAGTAGACTGACTCAAATATTTGCAAAAATAATACATATTTCAAGAACCAATATGTATTGATATGTAGAGATTCACAGCTGTAGTTTTATTTTTTGTTTTATTTCTATCATCTTTAATCTCTTCTTGCACTCTCATCTGCTCTTCAACTCTTCCTCCGTTACCTCGCAATAAGCACAGAAAGGATGAGCCTGCTAATATTTAATCACTAATATGTCTTTGCTTGCTGCTGATGGTGAATATGAAAGTCATATTTAATAATAGATTATTATTTGATCATTGACTAACAGTTGATGTTGTTAAATATCTCTTTCTTCAGGTCTTTACTCAGGTTTCTCCTTCATAGAAAATATTCCATGAACATTGTGTTAAAATTGTAACCTCACCAGGATTCCTAACCATTACGCATTGATTATGTTCTTCTGCTTTCTCCCTAACTTAATATATGCGTGTTGAATAATAGGAAAATTTGAACTCTGTGGCCTAGGCCACTCTTAGATTTCAAGAACTTTTACTGTATAAAAGAAGTAATGCATTACATTGATTCTTTCCTCCTGTCTTAGTCCAGTCAAACCACTATAAGAGAATACCATATATTGAGTGGCTTATGGACAACAAAAATTTAAGCATTACTGTTCTAGAGTCTGGAAAACCCTAGATCAAGGCACTGGACACATCTACTGTTTGGTGAGAGCACTCTTCCTGGTTCTTCTCCTTGTGTCTTCTCATGGAGAATGGGCGGAGGGAGTTCTCCAAGTTCTCTTTTTTAAGGGCACTAGTCCCATTCATGAAGTCTCCCACCTCATGGCTAATCACCTCCTAAAGACCCCACCTCCTAAATCCATCTCATTGAGGGTTAGGATTTCAACCCATGAATTTTGAGAAGACACATGCATTCATTCTATAGCAATTCTCTTCCTTTTCTAATAATATCTTTCTTCGGGATGCCAAGGTTTTATTTCTCTGGATACTCACGTTCCTCCTGCTCTTCATTTATTATTTACTCTCTCAATGTCATTTTCTTCTTTTATTCATGTTTATTAATTGTAAAAACTTTATGAAGCTCTTTTCTTTTTGCAAACAAGCTAATCCAAGCCTTGAGTTAACTTTTCTGTTGTTTATATATATTTTGTTAATATTTAAAAATAGTATAAAATGAATACTTACTCTTGCTTAAATTGAAAAGTAGGATTAGCTGAGAATATAAACAGAAGAACAACCTTGAACAACCCTGTTTCAAAACTGCTTAAAAGGCACAAACAACATATTAATATTTTAAATTCAATATTGAACACTTACTATGTGATGGACACTATTTTAGCTCTCATAGATAGTGCTTCTGGAAGGAGTGAGGCAGGAATTGTTGTCAGAAATTATTATAAATACACATGCTTAGTGTCTGTCTCCAGAGGTTATAACAGGATTGCTGGTAGACTAGGAGGAAACTATGTGTATTTTGACAAAATTTTCCTCATGATTTGCATATACTATACTCTTTCTTTACCTTTCCATCCCAATGTCCGTATATTTTATTTTATTTTTCTAAAGAGATAGAGTTAGTGATGTGACCATGGCTTACTGCAGCCTCAATCCCCTAGCCTTCCAAATAGTTTGATTACAAGCACATGCCACCAAGCCCAGCTTACTAAAAAAAAATGTTTTTCTAGAGAAGGGGTCTGGACTTTGTTGCCCAGACCGGTCTTCAACACCTGCTCAAGTGATCCTCCCACTTCAGCCTCCAAAAGTGCTGAGATTATAGGCATGAGCCACCATGCCCAGCCTAATCTCCCCATCGTTGACACAGTCTTCATTATAGGTGTCCTCGTCTGATTTATGCTCATCTCCTTATGGTACTCGATAGTACACTTTGGCTGGGACATCATAATAAATAATTGCTGAGTGACTGAATAACTAAATGAACATCCAAGAGACAATAAAAATTGAATGGCTGGTCAAACATGCATGCTTCTGAGTATTCTGAATTTTCTAAATTTGATTTTGTGATTCATTGTTAATTATTACAGCCTCGGATGGCTTTCAGCCTTGATAGTAATACCTGTGACAGCCTTAGGCTGCTTTGCCTGTCTCTATTTATGGCCCTTAAGAGTGGCATAAATTCTCAGTCTCTTTGGCTTTATTTTCTGTTTAAGGTGTGATGTTCACTCTAAAAAATATGTAGACAATTTCTTGGGATTTCCATGAATAAAAATGAAAAATTTGGAATGTTATGTGGAATACACATTCTAAGAAAGAAATGAGAGAAATTCCTATAGTCCAGTTTCACTACACTAGAAAAGGTACAGAGTATGAATAAGGTCTCAGTTTCTTACAGGACAAATTGAAATTTCTGATGTATTCCAATAAAATCAGTATAATAAAACAATATCTTGATTCCTCAGAAAGACAATAAATGTCATTTTAGCAGCATACCTGAATTTCAGTAATACAGATTTAATCTATAATGTGAATATTCTGTTTATAATAAGGTTCATTAACATTCAAAGAGCTCCTTATGAATGGATGATTGGAACATAGCTGTTGGTAAATCAGGACAGCATGTATTTATTTGCAAGCGCCTGCAAAGATTCCAAGTGTGTTATCAAAAAATTTGTATCAGACATTTTTAATGTAAATTAGCAACCTTTGTAATAAAAGCTTTGTAAATGAAATGCGCTTATCGGCAATATGCTTCTATTCCATAATCATCAATATTCAGTTTTTTTGAGATTATGGCATATACATATGTGAGAGGTGACAGCATGCTGGCAGTCCTCAGAGCCCTCGCTTGCTCTCGGCACTTCCCCTGCTTGGGCTCCCACTTTGGTGGCATTTGAGGAGCCCTTCAGCCCCCCCCACTGCACTGTGGGAGCCCTTTTCTGGGCTGGCCAAGGCTGGAGCCCACTCCCTCAGCTTGCAGGGAGGTGTGGAGGGAGAGGCGTGAGCGGGAACCGGGGCTGCCTGCGGCGCTTGCGGGCCAGCTGGAGTTCCGGGTGGGCGTGGGCTTGGCGGGCCCCGCACTGGGAGCAGCCGGCCAGCCCTGCTGGCCCCGGGCAATGAGGGACTTAGCACCCGGGCCAGTGGCTGCGGAGGGTGTACTGGGTCCCCCAGCAGTGCCAGCCCACTAGCGCTGCGCTCGATTTCTCACCCAGCCTTAGCTGCCTTCCCGCGGGGCAGGGCTCCGGACCTGCAGCCCGCCATGCCTGAGCCTCCCACCCACTCCATGGGCTCCTGTGCGGCCCGAGCCTCCCCAGCGAGCACCACCCCCTGCTCCACAGCGCCCAGTCCCATCGACCACCCAAGGGCTGAGGAATGCGAGCGCACGACACAGGACTGGCAGGCAGCTGCACCTGCAGCCCCTGTGCGGGATCCACTAGGTGAAGCCAGCTGGGCTCCTGAGTCTGGTGGGGACTTGGAGAATCTTCATATCTAGCTCAGGGATTATAAATACACCAATCAGCACCCTGTGTTTAGCTCAAGGTTTGTGAGTGCACCAATGGACACTCTGTATCTAGCTGCTCTGGTGGGGCCTTGGAGAACTTTTATGTCTAGCTCAGGGATTGTAAATACACCAATCAGCACCCTGTGTTTAGCTCAAGGTTTGTGAGTGCACCAATCGACACTCAGCATCTAGCTGCTCTGGTGGGGACGTGGAGAACCTTTATGTCTAGCTCAGGGATTGTAAATACACCAATCGGCAATTTGTATCTAGCTCAAGGTTTGTAAACACACCAATCAGCACCCTGTGTTTAGCTCAAGGTTTGTGAATGCACCAATCGACACTCTGTGTCTAGCTGCTCTGGTGGGGCCTTGGAGAATCTGTGTGTCGAAACTCTGTATCTAACTAATCTGATGGGGACGTGGAGAACCTTTGTATCTAGCTCAGGGATTGTAAATGCACCAATCAGCGCCCTGACAAAACAGGCCACTGGGCTCTACCAATCAGCAGGATGTGGGTGGGGCCAGATAAGAGAATAAAAGCAGGCTGCCCGAGCCAGCACTGGCAACCCGCTTGGGTCCCCTTCCACACTGTGGAAGCTTTGTTCTTTCGCTCTTTGCAATAAATCTTGCTACTGCTCACTCTTTGGGTCCACACTGCTTTTATGAGCTGTACCACTCACCGGGAAGATCTGCAGCTTCACTCCTGAGCCCAGCGAGACCACGAGCCCACTGGGAGGAATGAACAACTCCAGACGTGCTGCCTTAAGAGCTGTAACACTCCCCGCGAAGGTCTGCAGCTTCACTCCTGAGCCAGCGAGACCACGAACCCACCAGAAGGAAGAAACTCCGAACACATCTGAACATCAGAAGGGACAGACCCCCGACGCGCCACCTTAAGCGCTATAACACTCATCGCGAGGGTCCGCGGCTTCATTCTTGAAGTCAGTGAGACCAAGAACCCACCAATTCCGGACACATATGTATTTGTCTTGAAAAAAGGTGTGCTAGAACCCAGTTTGATTAATGAGTTGCTGTGTTAGCCAATCAACTATGTAAAAATCTATATGCTTTCTTCATTGCAAATGAAACAGTAAAACAATAAAAAAGCATTATATGCCACCCCTGATTTTAGAGTAGTATTGTGAGAAAAATATGAACAAAGAAGAAGTGGGGTCTCGTAATCTATAGTTTCTCTCTATTCTTTGCGCTTAAAGCTAACTTTTAAAAACTATGTATTGAATTTCTAAAATTATTTGTATTTGAATGTTGCTTAAGTCATGTCATAAGATATAGTCAAGAGCTTATTAATTGACAAAAGTCTTATCATGGGAAAGTTTTTTGTTGCTACTTTGTAAATAATGAAATAAATAAAAGGACAGTGTAACTTACTTGGAAATTCTTGTTCTACTTGTTTTCTTTCACTCTTTGCCTCATTGTTAAAAATTACATTAAAAAGTACTGAATTTGTACTTGTTATTCCTATTTTTATCTCCAATCACATATCACTTATGTCAATCCACATATGTAAAACATTTAAGAGAAGACAGACGTTAGCTTTAATGAGCCTACATATATTGCATATATTAAAATAACAAATACAATGTATAATTATAAATTTAATTTATTTAAGAACATTGGTGGTTTTGGCTATTCCCTTCTGGATTCACATGTTAATAAAATCTGCTTGCATTGATAGTTCTTTTCTCTATATAATTATTAAGTCTGTTTTAGGGCTTTAAGTGCACAAAAAACTGATTAAAACAAACGAATACAACAATTGAGCTTAAGACCAGAGACTAAGTTGCAGAAACCAGAAGCTATCCTAAATATTTTAAAAAGAAATGAATTTAATATAGACAGAATTAGTGTCTTATATAAGCAATGAAGGTGCTGGTAGAGTGGCCCTGGACCATGAAGAAAATCGTTTTGAAAAAGATCACTTAACAGGTGTTCACGGTGAAATGCTGCTTCCGCTAAGATGGAGAATCAGAAGGTTGCCATGGAATTTGTTAGATCAAAGGATACATTGTCCTAGTTTTTCATCCATCATAGGAAATTACGGCTTCAAATCCTGCCTCCTCTATTGCATCTGCCTCTTGAAATCCATGATGCCAACACATGCACACCTATGTGCCATTGCAAACAACCTTACTACCTCTGCAAAGCAGCTTGTGAGGTACAATAGCTAAAAAGCAGAGAAAGACGGCCACTGCTTAAACATAGATACCTCTAATTATTGGAACCTAATTTCCCTCTACAAACATAGCTGCAAGGCAATGTGAACAATATAGTTTTTAGCCTTACAGATTCTGTAGTTCACAAAGACGCACTAAAGGCAATTGAAACAGATGTTGGATGCCTTACCATATCTACAATATTCATGTTTGTCAGTCTCTACTAACCTTGTAATAAATATGTTATGACTTCAAAGAAAGAACATATTAATCAGATTAAACTATTACTTGGTTGTAATGTGAATTTCTTAAGGGCAGTGATTACATATTAATTTTTGTGGAGCTTCAGAGCATCCAGCAGGACTTGGCACCTTAAGGGCAAATACACATTAAAAATAAGAGCCTTAGTTTGCTCTGTTGAAAATAAGGGAGGATATTTTTTCCTTGCCCCTTTTTTCTGAGAGCATTTATTTTAAAAACATGTAAGCATAAGTTCTCTTTCTGTCTCTTTGAACTGTGTGAAAATCTTTTAAAAATTTAAATGTACCACTTGTCAGTTTAATGTCTCGGGAATGACTTTCTGCAGGACCTGAGAACCATCTCACTGGAATATAAACATACAGAGAAGATAGGGCCCCCTATTCATTAGTCTCTGTGGAAGGTTAGGAGCCTAACTTCCCTAGTGGGTCTTGCATTAAATTGCAAAACTATTTTTTATTGTTGTAAAAGTATGAGTATTTTTTCCTTTGGATAAAGCCAAGTAGGCAACAAAAACTGTCACCAAAATTATGAGGTAAACTTAAGACAAACTGCATGTGACTGATGCTGATGTCAAGTCCTCTTACTTGAGGACGAGTTGTTTATCCTCAAAACGTGTGTAATGGGTTGTATCTATTTAGTTATAAAAGGGGTGAGGTGTTTTTGCTTGTTTATTTATTTATTTTTGTTTTCAATTTCTTAGCCAGATTGCCTTTAATAAGCATTACATTTTGGTTTGATGCTTATTCGATAATAATAATAAGTTTGTCTTTTTTTTTTCTCTTTTCTTTCATGGAGATGTTTTCTGGGTTGGGAGAAGCTTTTGTTTTTAACTATATTTCTCCAACAGCACATAGGAAATATTTGCTATAAGATATTGTTATTTGCACAGGCACAAATTTCTTTCTTCTTATAGTACATTCTTATGGGATGTAGAAGTCTCCACTCTGCTTCATTCCTTAATGTATTTTTAGGCAAAAATAAATGAAACATTATATATATATATAATTATAGTTATTTGTAATATGTTATATATATAATGTATTATATATATATAATGTGATTTTTAAGATACAGTTCTGAGAAATAACTAAAACATGTTTGGTATTTAGGGACCAAGGGAGAACTTTCCCTCTGGACCTCTGGAGGTTTGCTGAAAAATCAACTTTCAAAAGGGAAGTTAACTGCAGAAAAGGCATACAAATTTATATAACATGTATACATGAGACACTACGGAATACAAACCTAAAGATACAGGGAATATTGCCCATTTTTATGCTTAGGTTTAATAAAGTATGGGCAGCCATCTAGAAATACGACTGAACAAAAAGGGATGTGATAGAATGCTAACAGACTGAGTGGGAAAACTCAGCCAGGGCTTTCTGTCCAGAATCGTCTTGGCCTCTCTGAGCAAGCATTTCTTCCTTCTGGGTATGAGGTATGAGGCAGGACCCTCTCTGGAATGGGGGTCTTATGACCTACATTCAAACAAGGAAGTTCAGATAATTTCTTTATGGCCAATTTTTACAAAGATAAGGTAGAAAGAGTAACATTTTTAGGTTTTATGACTAGCTTTGGGGAAAAGAGGTTCTGGTTTCTACCGCCCACCTTGGGGAAAAGGAATTCTAGTTTTTATGGTTAGCTTTGGGGGAGAATGGGGCTGAGAGATAGAAGGTCAGGAGAAGGTCAGATAAAAAAATTGCTTCTGGGGCTGATGCTGAGGTCTTCATTTTGGGATATTGTTTTCTGAGTCCTGGTAATTATTATAGAAGGCTACTCTGCCATTCTTACCAAATCAATCAGTCCAGCCAGAAACACAATTTTGTTTTGCTGAAATAGATAATACACAAAGATGAAAGATAAACAGACTTCAAAAAAATAATGTAAGCTTTATAACAGCTGATATTTAAATAATCTCCAATCATATCTTTTACTTTTAAAATAAAAGATCTCAGTGCTTTATATTCTCAAAAACATTAATGTCAACTTGTGTTCTAATATGTTTTTCCTCTTAAGTGCTTACTAAAGTAATCTTTTATTTGTAAATTCTACTTGCCTGAACAAATTTTAAAATATAAAAAAAAATCTTTAAAAAATATGGAAATTGTTGTCTGAAAAAATATAAAATGCATTTTGTGATAGCAAGCAATGATTATTAATCAGCATAGTATCTGTATCATTACATGTAGTCAGTTAAATGATTTTATTATATTTTAACAATTTTAACTTTTAATAATTTGACTTTAAAAATTTTATTTTACTCTGAATAACTATTGAGACCTATAGCCCTTTGCTAACCTCTTTGCAAAAATGTTTATATATTTTTCTTTATTTCTTTGTTTATTCTTATTCTACATATACTTTTATTGCCTTACAAATTATGTTTACTCCATGAATATTTATTTAAATACTAATCACTGAGCTCTGGGCAAATTTGTTTTAACTATATCATTCTATTTTACTTTATGTTTATCTTACTTTTACTGATGTATCACTGCCCTGCAGTTACACATTTTGCGATTTTATGCCACATCTCTCATCCCAGGTATTAAAGTTAAGTTGTCTAGAACCAAATCCCCATATGGATAACAATTCTCTATTCAGGTTAGGTCAATTTCACTGCCTAAAATCTCTTGCCATCCAGTATACCTATGATTGTTCTCAATGCTCATTACAAATGATCATATTTCATGACCCCATAGGTTAGTCTTTGGTATTTTGTACTCTATTGAAAATGGTCTCAAATCTAAGGCTATTATGTCCACAGATTTTTCTTACTAACTCTGTGTTCTGTCTAAAAAAAATTGTCCCATTTCCTAGGCACTTTCCCTGCTTTTATGATTTCTCTGTGTGACTGACATATTTAATCAACCTTTTATTCTTATTTAGGTCTCTGAAAATGTGGCTTTAGTAGAAAACTTTAGAATTATCTTCTTTTAAAATTTAAAATTTCTTTAGAACTTTCAGGGATAAATGTGTTGCACTATAATGGCTTCCAGTGTCCACTTTTCCAGTGTGGAAATGTTGGTTTTGATTAAGCTGGCAATATTGCAAAAAACAAGTAAACTAACCAGAAATCAAGGTGAGAAATGCAGTTTGTTCAGCAGAAATTAGAGTTAGCATTCTGAGAAAACTTTTTGTTGTTGTTGTTGTTGTTTTTCCTTTTGAGATGGACTCTCACTCTGTCACCCAGGCTGGAATGCAGTGGAGTGATCTCGGCTCACTGCAACCTCTGCCTCCCGGGTTCAAGCAATTCTCTTGTCTCAACCTCCTGAGTAGCAGGGACTAGAGGTGCTCACCACCATGCTTGGCTAATTTTTTTGTATTTTTAGTAGAGTTGGTGTTTCACCGTAATGATCAGACTGGTCTTGAACTCCTGACATCATGTGATCCACCTGCATTGACCTCCCAAACTACTGGGATTACAGTCATGAGCCACTGCACCCCGCCTGGAAAAAGTATTGATGAAACAAATCAGCTTCTCAGGGCACTATGAGAGCTAATAGAGGGTTTAAGCTGTGTCCCAGGAGGTGCTGGAACTTGGAGAATTAGCCAATATTACTGTTAAATCAAACTAAAATTTGGCCTGAGAAAGCTTCTGTACTTGCAGACTTGAGTTTTTATGCAGGAACCACAACCTAACTCTATACATAAACAAGCTTAAAAATCTAACTTAGGAGTACGCTTCTGTAACAATAGCCAAGTCTCAGCTAGTCACAGCACATCCTTCACTCACAGTTGGCTAACTGTTCAAACCATGTTCAAATAAGGCAAATCTTGAGCTGTGACCAATCCAGATGTTTCTGTAACTCACTTCTGTTTTCTGTACATCAATTTCCTTTTCCTGTTCATAAATCTTAGTTGGCCATGTGACAGCTCTAAAGTCTCTCTGAATCTCTTGTATTTATGGGACTTGCCAGATTCTCAAATTGTTTTTTCTTTTATTTTTTTCTTGCTAGAGGTCTTAGTCCCAGAGGGAGGAATGCTGCCACCAAGAGACACAACAACGATTCCATTAAACTGGAAGTTAAGATTGCCACCTGGACACTTCGTGCTCCTCCTACCTTCAAGTCAACAGGCTAAGAAAGGAGTTACAGTGTTGGCTGTGGTGATTGACTTGGACTATCAAGATGAAATCAGTCTACTACTGCACAACAGAGGTAAGGAAGGGTATGCGTGGAATACAGGCGATCCATTAGGGCATCTCTTGGTATTACCATGCCCTATGATTAAGGTCAATGGGAAACTACAACAGTCCAATTTAGGCAGGGCTACAAATGGCCTAAACCCTTCAGGAGTGAAGGTTTGGGTCACTCCACCAGGAAAAAAACCACGACCTGCTGAGGTGCTTGCTGAAGGTGAAGGGAAATCAGAATGGGCAGTAGAAGAAGGTAGTCATCAATACTAGCTATGGCCACGTGACCAGCTGCAGAAATGAGGACTGTAATGGTCATTAATATTTCCTCCTTCTTTTGTTGAAAACATGTTTGTGCATGTATACACTTGTACTAAGAAAATGTCTTCATTTCTCATTCCTTTTTCCTTTATCATGTGACATAAGATTTACTGACTTCACATCAGCATTTAAGTATTGTTAACTTTATGTAATATTATTTGGGTTGGGGACTGGTGCGTTTTCAGTTGTATGAAGGATAGTTATGTTAGGAATAATTATGACCTTATTATTGTCTTTATTTGAAGATTATGTATGATCTCAGGAGAGTGTGTGGTTCAGGTGTATGGGTTCAAGTTGAGAAGGCGTGGACTTGTGATGGTTAATAATGAGTGTCCACTTGATGGGATTGAAAGATACAGAGTATTGATCCTGGGTGTGTCTGTGAGGGTGTTGCCAAAGGTGATTAACATTTGAGTCAGAGGGCTGGGAAAGGCAGACCCATCCTTAATCTGGGTGGGCACCACCTAATCAGCTTCCAGCACAGCTAAAATGTAAAGCAGAAAGAAAAAACATGAAAAGATGAGAATAGCCTAACCTCCCAGCCTACATCTTTCTCCCATGTTGGATGCTTCCTGCCCTTGAACATTGGATGCCACGTTCTTCAGTTTGGGACTTGGACTGGCTCTCCTTGCTCCTCAGCTTGTAAATGGCCTACTGTGGGAACTTGTGATCATGTGAGTTAATACTTAATAAACTCTTATCTATCTATCTATCTATCTATCTATCTATCTATCTGTCTATATCTATCTATCATCTATCTATCTATTGGAGTTATATAAACCTGTTTATATAAATATTATATATATATTTATATATAAATAAAATATTTATATTTATATGTTCAAACCATTTCAAAAAAGGCAAACCTTGGGCTGATATATATATATATCTCTGTCCTATTAGTTCTGTCCCTCTAGAGAACCCTGACTAACACAATACTTTATCACGAGAGAACCCTGAAGTATGGTTACAGGGCAAAGTAAGAAGGGCTGTCATAGCAGAACTTGTAAAGATACCGTTAAAACCAAACATCCCAACACCAAGGGTGAAACAGTTTCCCCTAAAACCTGAAGCACTACAGGAATATAGCCCATGTTAGAAAGCTTCTTACACCAGGGGCAGATCAGGTCTTGCCCGTCCCCATATAACACCCCTATCCTGCCTCTTCAGAAATCAGGAGCAGGAGAGTATAGGTTTGTGCAGGACCTTTAAGCAGTCAACAGTGTTGTTCAGGACATTCTCCCAGCAGTGCCCAATTCCTATACATTTCTAGCCATTCTCCCAGGGGACAAAAACCTTTATTGTGCTACATCTCAAATATGCCCTCTTTTGTGTCCCTCTAAGCACTGACTCTCAGAAATTATTTGCCTTTGAATGGAAATATTCTAAGATGCATCAGGGGCAGCAGTATTGCGGGATAGTCCTTCTCCAGGGTTTCAAGAACTCCCCAACGATTTTGGGGGGAATCTTGAGTTGGTATCTGTGGGACTTGCACATAGGAGCAGGGCATGGCTCTACCAATAAGTAGATTATATCCTTATGGCCAGACTCACTAAGGAAGATTCTGATAAAATTACAATTCTAATCCTGAATTTTCTAGCAGCAAGGGGCTGTAAGGTGTTAAGGAAAAAGGCTCAGATTTCAAAGATGGTCCAGTACTTGGGGTATGTCATCTCTCAGGGGCAGCAAGTCTTCCCTAAGACCAGAAATTGGCTCTCTGCTGCTTGGCCTCTCACAGAAATTGCAAGCAACTGTGCAGATTTTTGGGCATGGTGGGATTCTGCTGCATCTGGATCCCAGATTTTAAGCTCATAGCAAAGCTGCTTTATAAGAAACTTCAGAGCACCAACACTAACGCTTTTGAATGAGATGGTCAATGTGATCAGACCTGTTGGAAGCTAACAAAACCTGTTATTAGAGGCTCTGGCCCTAGGACTGCTAGCTGAACTTAGCCTTTTGTTCTCTGCATCCATGAAGAGCAAGAAACAGCTTTCAGACTGACCCAAATGCTAAGACGTGTGAAAATTATAGTGACCTACTTCTCTAGAAAACTTGATGTTGTGACAAGGGGCTCAGCCCCTGCCTTAAGTCAGTGGCGCCACTTGTATGCTTATCCAGAAGCCAAGAAGCGCACAATGGGCCAGGATTCAACTCTTCAGGTCCCCCACCAAATGACAAATGTATTAGAGGCCAAAAGGCGTCATTAGTTGACAAGCAGCAGAGTGTGGCAGTATCAGGCCCTATTGTTAGACACCCCAACATCTGTGAGTGTACATGCTAAACCCTTAACCCTGCTACCCTAATTCCCAGTACCCAAGATCCCCTAATCCTAGCCTAATCCACAACTGCTCTGCCACCCTAGAGGAAATACTCCTGCAGAAAGGATTTGCAGAATGTCTTCTTCCTGGTTTGGAAGACATATGGTTTGTAGATGACAGTAGCTGCATGGGAAGAGGCCATAGAAGGGCAGGATATGTGGTTATCTTCCTACAAGAAGCCATTAAGGCCAAGAGCTTCTCCTTAGGGGCTTCAGCCCAAAAGGCTGAGATAATAGCCTTAATAGCTCTTAATAGTTGCAGGTAAAAGGGAACATTTCTCATACAAGAAACACGACATCAGGGAAAGCATAGGTGTGATATAGAATGAAAATCTGTCTCAGTCTTCTTGAGCACAGATGCCTCAGAGTGTTTTTATTTTTAATACAAGGAGAATTCCTTAATGATGAAATATGCAATAGTATCCCCTAGTTTGAGGCCAGCAAGAAAGGAAAAGAGGAATCCAGTCCAGTAGCTTTTGAGGGACTGACGTCTTTGAGCGCAGTATTTGACTCTGTCAAGATTGCTAATGATAGAATAGTCTTTATAGTATGTGACAAACTGGGCATGGAAGGTGCAGAAAGACAGTTTTAAAGCAAATTATTATTTGTTTGTTTAATGATTCTGTTGTCCATGCTTAATTTTTAAGCCATCTAGTATGTCACATTACTATGAAGGGAATCATGAAAAGATATTTTGGGAACAAATTGGGTTGGAATATGAGAGTTTGGAAAAATGGATCCTAGGATTCACCGCTTGGAACAAAGTGTTTAACAATGTATACAATTTCCCAAGGTTAAAGTAAGACTTATGAAATAATAAAGGAAATAACTGGGGTCACTTTGACATAAGGAACATTTTGCCATCTGAAAATTTTCCTGCAATAATTAATATTTACATATCCTGAGCTGCATTTCCCAAGGAAGATGATTTCTTTTACAGGCTTATAGATTCTTTTTGCATCCTTTCCAAAAGGGAAGTTTAAAATGAACAGATATATCCTCCAAGGACATTCTGAACCCAATTACTGGGGTTGTGAACCCTATGAGCAGAGTGTGGATGAATTCTTTAGAAAGCTTGGCTTCATTTTGTAGATATTTCATAGGGGCATGCTTCTGAGGGTATGCCCAGTAACTGGGGACCTAACAGGGTTTTCATTCGTCCATTAGGAATCTTTACCTGAAGTAGACACAGCCCATGGACAACTCTCAGTGCTAAGGTACATGGTCCTACATGTAGGCTGGATTTTACCTTTACATACCCATTTTTTTCCAGATAGTTTTTGTAGAGTATACATCCTACAAAGCTCAGTGAATCATCCCAGCTGATAATTTCAATTTACTTAATTTCAGGCCAAATAGAAAAAAATGGCAATATAATCTCATAGAATAGGAACACAGACAAACTCTCCTTTTCGTTTTCTCTCACAATCTTACCTTGATTAAGACATATGCCTGGTTTTCAAAAAGAAAAATAATTCATAGGACAGTTACATATTTTGTAGTAATCTTCATATATTCAAAAGCAATATAGAAAAAGCCATTATGAGACAGAACAAGTGGAAGCTTTAAGCTCAGAAGTATTTATTCTTCTACATTTTTTACATACTTACTTTATAGTCATTATTAAGTTGAATTAGAACTGTGTGTATATTTTCTTGCTTACTCCCAAAAGATGCTCCTTAAGGGCGAGGAGACTGCATTTCATGTTTGAATTCCAAGAAAAGAGCATGGTGCCTGGCACATAGTTGGCATTTAATGAATGCATGGTATTTCTTATTTCTCACTCTCTTACTTTCTTAAGGAACATTAGAATTTTTTTTTTGGAGTAACGAAGAATATTTCTGATGACACATAGCCGTGTTTTTTCTCTGTACTTTATTTCTTTTTAAGATACTTTTATAAAGACTATGCCTTAAAATACTATTATAGCTAGCCAACAGTAAAATTTTTATGCTGAGCCTCTTTTATTTTACTTTTTTTTTCTTCTATTTTGAGGCTGCACTTTGAGTGATAAAATTGGGGATCTATGTCCTCTGTCAATCTTTACTAATTATACATTTTAAGTGACTATTTAATGACCCTAAGCTCAGCACAGTCTGTGGTAAAATATAATAATTTGACAAATTGTAGCTTGGTTATAAAATAGAATTATTGATTTGAAATTGCCTAAAATAGGATTAAACATTAGAAGAAACAACAGACTGTATTCAAAGTATGATTGTATTCAGCCTCTGATTGAACAAATCTTGTTTTCAGCCAGTATTTAATGTCTCTGTAATGTATACAGAGCTGTCTTGTTTTCCTTTTTATTTTATTAAAACTTCTATGACATGAAGGATCTTACAGAATTTATTAGTATGTCAAAAGTACATTTTAAAACATTTAAGCATGATCTTATTCTGTCCTAATAATTCAATAAAATAAAACCCTCTCCTGCCCAGGTTTAGTGCCTGCAGTATGAAAACAACTTTTGAAATATTCTATTGGAAGTTGCCATGTTTAAATCCTTTCCATTTTTTGCAAAACTTCATTTGTTTTTAATAAGGAATCAAGTAGAAAATTGGAGGCCTGAATATGAAACACTTTCTGGTGATTATTTAACACAAGTAAACATTTTTGTTTTGGAACTGAAATAAATTCCTTATATCAATTTTTAAGAAATGTTTGTAGGGTAAATTTGTCATTCATGATTCTTCAAACATGGGCTTTGCAAAATGATCTTGAAAATAATCTGTATTTAAATCTTAAAAAAAGCTTATGAGGAGAATAATACTAACTCTAGAGTTTACAATGGTTTATGTCATTTAGAGGGAATAATATAAAGCTGTCCCTGACTTCCTATGGTAATTAGTGCCTCTTTTATGGCACCATAAAATGCTCTAATGGTAATGTTGTGGGAAGTCATTTTTTTTTTTTTTTATCAACTGCTGAAATTACTTTGGATGTTGTCACTGAAAATAGAGAGATATATAAGTATGTCAGCACTCAGGATGCAGTAGTGCAGCACATGCCTGCCTGAACCCAGCTTTTATTTTTTGGAGGCTCAGATTAAAGGCCTGATTTTGTTGTCTCCTCCCTCACAGTAAGTGAAGTCACTCACTGACATTCACTCAGTTGTTCTTATGGAAGTAAGGAAAGGAGGTCAGGGTTAAGGAATGAGAGGGAAAGAAATAATTAGGGAGATACTTGAAATTTTTTAATTGTTTGGCATTTTAACCACTTACTAAATATTAATCTATAAAGTTCTACATATGATGACTAATCTCACTTTCAAAGTTTGTTTTAAAGAAGATAATTTTTAAATAATATTTCTGTACAGTTTCTAATAAGACAAATATGAGAGAAGAGAGAAAAAAAACAAACAGAACAAGACCAAACGCAGGAAGAAATTAAAAAAGAGAAAGCCTGAAAAGTCTTTGTCAAGCTGCCACATTGTTAGAGATGGTCAAAGTTTCTCAGCTCTTTTGCAGTTCAGTTCGTCTTGCTGACTTTTTTCTCATGCTATCACTGTTCATTTTTGTCTCTCTTTGCTTATACCTATTTTCTTATTTTTCTTTCTAAATGTTCATCTTTACATGATCTGTCATGTGACATCTTTCAGTTAGCCTAATAGTATCTGCTATAACCTTGACACTTATTACTATTTCTATTACATGCGTGAGGCTAATGCATCTGTGAACATCATAACCTACCCAACTCTGAAAATGGCAGCTCTCCACCAGGGGAGTGTTTCTCAAAATTTTTGTCTGAGAGCAAATATCAGAGTGGGGCTAAATGCTCTCGAGTTATATAAAGATGGCTGTGGAGGGCAAAGCAACTCTATCTTGGAAGCTAATCTGCCATGTTGGCTTCTGATTAACCCCTGTTCCTGGAAGACCTCTAAGATTTCAGTCTATCTATTGCTTGTTGTGTAAGAGCAGGTACAGCAGGTACTTACCATAAATCCTGCCCTTAGGTCAATAACCTTAATGTTATTGTATTTCAATTGTCCTACACATCTCTTCTAAACTATCCCTCTCCTATGGTCTGCAGGATAATGGCATGGGGATCTACCATCTTGTCTCACTGCCGCCTGAGACACAGACAGGTCTTCTGTTTGTAAGTCCCTATTAAATGTTTCTTTGTAGGAAACTGGATTTGTCAGCCTCTTTCTTTGGCCTAAGATTCCTCAGACTTTGGGGTCAGGTTTACATAGATTTATCCACTGCAGAACTATGGCCAATTAGCTAATCTGTTTCTAGAAATATATTTTAAAATTTTCTCAACAATCCTATGATTATAAATATGCTGACAGGTACAAAATTGCAGACCTGAGTTTGGAAGAAGTCTGGGATTGCATGCAATTAATAATCATGAGAATAAATTCATAGAAATATGAATATATTTAAAAGGATAGCATATTTCATCATTTAGTGAAGACAGTTCTAATTGTTCAACTGATGATTTTCGCTTTATGGACTGACAGTATGACAACATTCAGAAGTCAAAATCAAAGTTAGTGCAGGACCATATGACTGTTCTGGAATGGGAATGTGAGTTAAAATGATGTGTTTCCTTTAGTCAGAGGCATGTATAAGTTAGTATGTTTCTTTTTCTCTTCCATCTCTCTTTCTCTGCCTTGACAATCCTAGAAATCATGGAAAGCAGCCATCAGAAGGTGGAGGGAAACCCCTACCTGGCTGCACTGACTTTTCACAAATGAGAAATAAATTTTTATAGTACTCAGTCACTGATAATTTATGCTTTATTTGTTACCACAAAAGAATGTAGCTGATTCTAACACCTATGTTTAGTGCAAAGTCCTAGAACATACTTTCTATTAAATGATAATTATCATGTTATGATAGTATTCTGTGGGTCTACTGGAAGATGAAGTACATTTATTCTACCTTCATGGATAATGATCTTTATGAAAATAAAATCAGGCAAATATGATAGAAGGTACTTTAGATATTTATTAATTTCCTTTGGCTCACTGTGTAGTATATTGTAACATGACAGCAAGTAGGTCATTTTCATTTAGATATACTATGTCTTTTAATTTATGTTATCTTTTACATAACCAGTAATGTCTTTGGCCTAATTTTCAGAGCTCTCCATCATTTAAATAATTAATAACATAGAAAGAATTTTAGAAGATAAGATAAGGTAGAGAACTGGAACAGAAAAAAACTACAAAAAATGGAGAAAACAGGAAAACTTGTCTTCGGAGTTATTTTATGTTACTTCCCTCAACAGACTGCTCTAGCACTAGTATAGGTTTTTAAGACTTCTACATAGAGGAGCTGAAATCACTTAATATATTAAATGACTCAAATAACCAAGAAGCTAGATAGTGAATAAAGCATGTCAACATGTCAAAACTGTAGTCATGAAGTATGGCTTGACTGCTTATCCTGCTGGAAGTTTTAGGAGAAGATCCAAGAAAAATAACTGTATACAGGTCCCATGATTAAAGAGGTCATTTACAGAGATAAAGAGCCTTGAATTTGTTAGTCAGCAGGTCTAACTGGTGTTTATAGGTGGACTTTTAAAGCGCATATAATGGTTGTTATAACCTCAACTCTCCAATTGTACACATTGTGAGAATAGCACATGTATTTGATGTACTCAAAGCATGCTCTTCTTAAAGAAGTGCAGCAGGATATTTTAGCAGTGAAAGTAAACTCAAGTTTACTTAAATGTTCATGATAACTTAAATGTTCATGATAACTTAAAATGTTCATGATAAATTTGACATCTAAAAAAACTAGTCTTTAATGTGAACAGAGTAATTTTTATTCTTTTATATAAGGTATCTATTTATATCTTTTTTATACTTTTTAATTTGTTTTTCTTATACATGTCATCCTGATAGAAAATGCCTCTCTCTATGAAGAAAAAGTAAAATGAATTCCATTTCTCTGTTAATCATTTTGCTGTGACAATATTTTTTAGCCATGAATTGGATAATCAATTTGTGGCTTGGGTGCAATACGCTAGGTTTGGATTCAAGGTTGTTCTGCGTATCTCTGATTCTAAAACAGAGGTAAAATAAATAGCAGTCATTGGGGGTATGCTCTTTTTGTAGCAGATAGCAGAAGGCAAGAGGGCAAATAGAAGTATGTAGCACCTTTCAAAGTCCCTGCCTGGTGTGGCACCATTTCATGTGGGTGAGAGTTTCCTTGGTTAAAGCAAGTCGTGTGACCAAGATCAAAGTTAATGGGGTATAGATGTATAGTCTACTCTCCTGAGAGTTCCTACAGAATTCTTGATATATAATTATAATATTTATATTCCATTAGATAATCACATGTATTTTTTGTTTATATCTTGACAATAAATTAACCCTATAAGTGAATATTTTATTTAAAAATGTTAGAGAATGGTGTGTTCCTTTTCTTTATTATATGAACATTCAAAATCATTATTTAAAAGTGCTCATTTGCAAATTAAGTCAAATTAACTGCATTCATAAAGCTACATTTATGTACAATAATTCTGACCATTATGAATGTTAAGATTGAGTTATAGTTATACAAATACCATTTCAATTTACTTTTATGTGTTACTTAAATTATAACTTCTTATAGTCATAGTAAAGTTATTTAGAATATATTATCTTTTAAAAATGTAATCATGTTATACAGAGTATATATGGGCATTTGTATACATTGAAGTATTGTCTTAACTAAAATTTAATAATGTCTCTAATAACAAGTAAGTAACTACTATTAATAATATTTCCCAGGCCAGGTGTGGTGACTCATGCCTGTAATCCCAGCACTTTGGGAGGCTGAGGCAGGTGAATTATTTGAGGTCAGGAGTTCGAGACTAGCCTGGCCAACATGGTGAAACCCCGTCTCTACTAAATACAAAAAAAATTAGCTGGGCATGGTGGAGCATGCCTGTAAGCCCAGCTACTTGGGAGGCTGAGGCAGGAGAATCACTAGAATCTGGGAGTGGAGGTTGCAGTGAGCTGAGATTGCACTACTGCACTCCAGCCTGGGCAACAGAGCAAAACTCCATCTCAAAAAATAAAAATAAATTATAAATAATATTTTCCAAGAGAGTAATGAGTGCTTGAGTTTCATGATGCTTGTATGCATTTTATGCATGATGTAATATAAAATAAGACAAGACTATGTGCACCATTTATTTAGTATATACCTTGTACCAGATTCAGTGGTCACTACCTTACTTGGATTATTTCTCTATAATTTCCCAAGAGCTCCATGAATCTGCAACTATTATTGTCCTCCTTTTACAAATGAACAAATTTTATTTAGAGATTGATTGGCTCAAATTTATGCAATTAATAAGGGCTAAACAGATGTATTATGAGACAACAGAATGTCAAATGTAATCATTATTTTGTGATCACATCTTCCATCACAATTAAATTCTAAAAAAACCTAGGAAACCTAGCAATAAATTATGTGGAATGGATAACTCATGGTGATTAACTGTACCAGTAAGACTTTTTTCATATTATAGGAGCATTTTTTAAGACAATAGGTTACCTGAGGGGAATTTAAACATGTTGTACTTTATAAAAAAATCAGTTGGCAGGTTTCAAGTGCACATTTATTGGGTTATTTTAGATAAACATGATTCATGAAGGAGCCGTGAAGATGGTCTGAATTGCAGCAAGCAGACTGTACTGGATTGGAGAATTAATATTGTTAAAATGTCTATACTACCAAAAAAGATCTACAGATTAAATGCCATCTCTATCAAAATTCCAATGACTTTTTTTACAGAAATAGAAAAACCTATTCTAAAATTGGTATGGAACCACAAAAATCCCCAAATAGCCAATACAATCTTGACAAAAAAAGAGCAAGTTTGGAGACACACTTCTTGATTTCAAATTATGCTATAAGACTATAGTAACCAAAGAAGTATGGTCCTGGCATGAAAACAGACACATAGACTGATGGGGCAGAATAGAGAGCCCAGAAATAACCCATGCATATAAGGTCAACTAATTTTGACATGGACGCCAAGAATATACAATGAGAAAAGGGTAGCCTCTTCAATAAATTGTGTTGGAAATACTGGATATCTACATGCAAAAGAATGCAATAGGACTCATCTTACACCACACACAAAGATCAACCCAAAGTGGATTAAATACTTAAGGATAGAAACTGTAAACCTCCTATAAGAAAAAATAGGGAAGACTCTTCTTAACATTGGTTTTGGCACTGATTTTTTTGAACATGACACCAAACGCACAGGTAACAAAAGCAAAAATAAGTAAGTGGCACTACATCAAACTTAAAAGCTTCTGCACACCAAAGGAAACAATCAATAAAATGAAACAAATCAAACTTAAACAAATCAACAATAAAAGACAAATTACCCCATTAAAAAGTGAGCAAGGAGCATGAACAGACAATTCTTAAAAGAAGACATACATGTGGCCAAAAAAAGATGAAAAAATGCTTGACATCTCTAATCATTAGAGAGATAAACATCAAAACCACAATAAGATAACGTCTCACACCAGTCAGAATGGCTATTATTAAAAATATAACCATCAAAAAATAACATCATCAAAAAATAACATACATAGGCGAGGTTGCAGGGAAAAGGGAATATACACTTTATACACTGTTGATAGGAATGTAAACTATTTCAGCCTCTGTGTGAAGCCATTTGGAGATGCTATAAAGCAGTGGTCCCTAACCTTTTTGGCACAATTTTTCCATGAACAGGGCAGAGTTGCGGAGATAGTTTTGGGATGAAACTGTTCCACCTCAGATCATCAGGCATTAGTTAGACTGTCATAAAGAACATAACCTAGATACTTTGCATGTGTAGCTCACAGTAGAGTTCACAGTCCTATGAGAATCTAAGGCTGCCCCTGATCTGACAGGAGGCGGAGCTCAGGGGTAATGCTTGCTGGTTACTCACCTCCTGCTCTGTGGCAGGGTCCCTAACAGGCCACAAATCTGTACTGGTCTATGGCCCAGGGGTTGGGGACCCCTGCTATAAAAGAATACCTGAGACTAGGCAATTTGTAAAGAAAAGAGTTTTATTTTGGCTCATGGTTCTGTAGACTGTAAAGGAAGCTTGGTGCTGGCATCTGCCTCAGGGAGCTTACAATCATAGCATAAGGGGAAGGGGAAATGAGTCAGCATGTTACATGGCAAAGGAGGAAGCAAGATTGATGGGGAAGTGTTACACTCTTTTAAACAACCAGATCTCCTTTGAACTCAGCAAGAACTCACTCATTACCTCCAGGAGGGCTCCAAGCTGTTCCTGAGGGATCCAACCTCATTACCCAAATATCTCTCAGTAGGCCCCACCTCCAAAATTGAGGATCACGTTTCAACATGAGATTTGGAGAGGATACATATCCAAACTATATCAGAAGATTTCTCGAAGAGCTAAAAATAGAATTATCATTTGACTGAACAACCCTATTACTGATTACATACCCCAAAGGAAATAAATTTTCCATAAAAAAGATACCTTTACTTATATGTTTATCTCAGTACTATTCATAATAGTAAAGACATGGAATTAACCCAAGTGTACATCAATGGTCAACTGGATAAAGAAAATGTGGTTATGTGTTTAAGATAAGTAACTAGATGCAACTGGGAAGCGCCACTCTCACAGAGAGAAACCAGGATTTTGGCCATACCAACATAATTTGTACAGACCTTTGGGGAGAAAATGCCAAATGTGGATGGTGAAGACACAGTCACTGATGCTGATGAGAGAGGAGACTAGGAACCCTATGTGGTTATCTAAATGCTACGTCTGGTTCACTGCTCCAAAAGATGCCTGGGTATGGATGAGTGAAGGGACTGGGGGACTGTTCACTCTTGCTGCAAACCTTTGGAATCCTAGCTGCAGTGACCCCACAGCCCATGAATGTGTGAGCCGGCAGGGGATTCTCCCTGGAGATTAGATGGAGATGGAGCTGCAGCAAGCACAAAGCTGGGGACCTTTGAGTGGATCAGCTCTGGCAAAGCTCAGCTGTAAGCACCCATCCCCTAGGGCTGCCCATCTACCTTTGAGAGGCTGTGGCCCCAGCTTATGGCTATGGGGAAAGCCAGGCCAGTTTCTCCCTGGGACTGGGACTTATCTTTCCTGCAGGCCCACCTATCCGCCAGCCTCTCCTAGGGCCACTGCCTGGCTACTCCATACAAGTGTGTATATAATGCAGCCTCTGCTTCCCAGCTCAGTTGCTTTGCTCCACCTACATACTTTCCAGCAACGTAGATGTCCTTTAGATGTCAGGCTGCACCCAAAACCCAACTCCAAGCGACCGGAGGAGGGAGCTGTGAGAGGGTCCTAGTACCTTAGAGCTATGGCCTGTGGCTCAGAAGTACTGAGCTGCGAGCTGTGCTCTGCATTTGAAAGGGGCAGGAGTCACACTCTCAGAAAACTGGAAGAGCTGGGTTGCACAGTTTGATGGGCTGATGTGGGACCTGGCTGTGCCTCCTTCCACTCGGTTGGGGTGTGGCCTGATTCTCTAAGGGACTTCTCCCCAAGGGAGCCCTGTGGCCTGAAAGACCTAACAGCAACAGGAAAGAAAATCATGAGAAGATTGCTGGTGATCAGGGGTAGCTCCCCGGGGGCCTTTGAGCAGATCTGGTGAGGGTGTCACCTCTATCCCCATCGCACTGCAGAACACAACTGCAAATGTGAAGATATACAAAGGAACTGTGTGGCTAGGAACTGCCTATGGCTCTCAAGTGCCATCTATTGGATCGCAGCCCAAACTACATCAAAAATTCTCTCTCATTGGAAACAGCAAGAACGCTACAACAAAGAATCTGTACAAAGCATTAGTCTTCTGAAATTCCAAAAATGAAGGCAATAGGCAATTCTCAGTTTACACCACAACTAAGGAAATACCAGCCCTGCCAGGTGGGAAAGGATCAGTGAAATAACTCTGGCAATTCAAAAAGCCAGAGTGTTCCCTTACCTCCAAATGAGCCCACTAGCTCCCCAGTGATGGTTCTTAACTTGTCTGAATTGTCTGAAATAACAGACATGGAACTCTGAATCTGGATGGCAAGGAAGCTCATTGAAATCAAGAAGAAACTTGAAACAATCTAACATAGTGAAACAATACAGTAAAACTATTCAAGAGCTGAAAGATGAAACTCCCATTTTAAGAAAAATCCAAACTGAGCTTCTTGAGCTGAAAAATTCAGTATGATAATTTCATAATACATTTGAAAGTATTAACTGCAGCATAGCCAAGCTGAGGAAAGAGTCTTCAGGCTAATGCTTCAAATCAACTAAATCAGACAAAAATAGAGACAGAAGAATTAAGAAAAATGAGCAAAACCTCTGAGAAATACAGGATCATGTAAAGAGACAAACCTGTGACTCAGTGGCATTCCTGAGAGAGAAGAAGGGAGAATAAGCAACTTGAGCATTATATTTGAGGATATATTCCACAGCAATTTCCTTAATCTTGCTAGAGAGGTTGACATGAAAATCTAAGAAATACAGAGAACTCCAGCCAGATACTATACAAGGCAACCATCCCCAAGACACATAGTCATCAGATTCACTAAGGCCAGTGAAAAAGAAAATATCTTAAAAGTAGCTAGAGAGGAAGGTTCAGGTAACCTAAAGAAGGAACCCCATCAGGCTAGCAGAAGACCTCTCAGCAGAAACTTTTATCAGCCAGAAGACATTGAGGGCCTATTTTCGGTGTCCTTTAAGAAAAGAAAACCCAACCAAGAATTTAATATTCTGCCTTACTAAGTTTCATAAGTGAGGGAGAAATAAAATCCTTTTCAGACAGGCAAATATTGCGGGAATATGTTTCAACTAGACCAGTCTTACAAGAAGTTTTTAAGGGACTGTTAAATATGGATTCTAAAGAAGGACACTTGCTATCACAAAAGCACATCTAAGCATACGGCCCACAGGCACTATAAAATGCAACTACGCATCAAGTCTACATAACAACCAGCTAGCAACACTATGACAGGATAAAAATCACACATATCAATGCTAACCTTGAGTATAAATAGTCTAAATGTCTAACTTAAAAGACACAGTGTCAGACTGGATACAAAGACAAGACGCAAACATCTGTTGTCTCTAAGAGACCCACCTCGCATATAATGATATCCAAGGGCTAAATAAAAGAGTGGACTAATATGTAGCATGCAAATGGAAAACCAAAAAGAGCAGGAGTCTATTCCTGTATCAGATAAAACAAACTTTAAACCAATCAAAATTAAGAAGGACAATGAAGGGCATTACATAACGATAAAGGGTACAATCCAACAAGAAGCCTTAACTATTCTAAATATATACACCCCCAACATTGGAGCACCCAGATTCATAAAATGGGTTCCTGGCCAACAAAAAGACTTAGACAATCACAGAATAATAGTGGGAGACATTAACACCCCACTGACAGTGTTAGACAGATCTCGGAGGCAAAAAACTCACAAAGAAACTCTGGACTTCAACTTGACACTTGACCAACTGTACCTAATGACACCTACAGAATACTTTACCCTACAACTACAGAATATACATTCCTCTCATCTGCACATGGAACATATTCTAAGATCAACCACATGCTTGGTGGTGAAGCAAGCCTTGATAAATCCAAAAAAATTAAAATCATACCAAACCAAACACACTCTTGGACCACAGTGCAATAAAAAATAGAAATCAATACCAAGAGTATCTCTCAAAATGATACAAATACATGGAAATTAAACAACTTACTCCTGAATAACTCCTGGGTAAACATAATTAAGGCAAACATTTTTTAAAACTTGAAATTAATGTAAATAGGTACACAACTTACCAAAATCTCTGGGATGCAGCAAAAGCAGTGTTACAAGGAAAGTTTATAGCTCGTAACTCCTTCATCAAGAAATTAGAAAGTCTCAAGTTAACAATCTATTGTTACACCTAAAGGAACTGGAATAAAAAATAACAAACCAAACCCAAAACTAGCAGAAGAAAATAGATAACTAAAATTAGAGAATAACTTGTTGAAATTGAAATGCAAATTCCATACAAAAGATCAATGAAATGCAGATGGTTTTTTTGAAAAAAATAAATAAGACTGATGGGCCCCTAGCTAAACTAACCAAAATAAAACAGAAAGAGAAGATCGAAATAAGGACAATCAGAAATGACAAAGGTGATATTACAACATACAAAAGATATCAGAGACTACTATGAACAACTGTATGCACACAAATTAGAAAATCTAGAGGAAATGGACAAATTCCTGGAAGTACACTATCTTCCAAGATTAAATGAGGTACAGATTGAAACCCTGAATAGACCAATATCAACTTCTGAAATTGAAACAGTAATAAGGAGCACCCCCTCAAAAAAAAAAGCCCCGACCAGATAAATTCACAGCCAAATTCTACCAGACACACAAAGAAATGCCAATATACCAACAATATTAAAACTATTCCAAAAAATTGAGGAGGAGGGGCTCCTCCCTAACACATTCTATGAAGCCACCATCAGCCTGATATCAAAATCTGACAAAGACACAACGAAAAAAGGAAACTTCAGACCAATATCCCTCACAAACATACACATAAAGGTCCTCAACAAAATACTAGCAAATTGAATCCAGCAGCACATAAAAAAACTTAATACATGTCTTTTTTGGGAACATGAATGGAGCTAGAGGCTATTATCCTTAGCAAACTAACGTAGAGACAGAAAATCAAATACAACATGTTCTCATTTATAAGTGAGAGCTAAATGATGAAAAGAAAAGATAATTATTGGGTACTGGGCCTAATACGTGGGTGATGAAATAATCTGCACAACAAATCCCTGTGACACGAGTTCACCTATGATGTTAAAAACCTTCACATGTACTTCTGAACCTAAAATAAAAGTTTTTTTTTTAAAGTTAATATACACTATGACCAAGTAGGTTTTATTTCTGAGATATAAAGCTGGTTCAATGTACACAAACCAATAAATGTGATTTACCACGTATACAAAATCAAAAGCAAAAACCATATGATCATCTTCGTAGATGTAGAGAAAGCATTAAATAAGAAACAACATCCCTTCGAAGTAGAAACTCTCAACAGACTAGGCATTAAAAGAAGATCCCTCAAAATAATAACAGCCATCTATCACAAACCCACAGCCAACATTACACTGAGTGGGCAAAAGTTTGAACTATTTCCCTTGAGGCCTGGAACAAGGCAAGGATGTCCATTCCCATCACTCCTATTCAACATAGTACTGGAAGTCCTAGCCAGAGCAATCAAGCAAGGGAAAGAAATAAAAGGCATTCAAGTAGGAAAAGAAGGAGTCAAACTATCTCTCTTCACTAATGTTATGATTTTGTACCCAGAAAATCCTAAAAGCTCTGACAAAAGGCTCTAGAATGGATAAACAGTCTTAGTAAGGTTTTGGGATACAAAATCAATGTACACAAACAGTAGCATATCTGTACAACAACACCATCTAGGCTGAAAGTGAAATCAAGAACACAATCCCACTCACAAGACCCACAAAGAACATGAAATACCTGGGAATACAGCTAACCAAAGAGGTAAAATATCTCTACGAGGAGAAGCACAAAACGCTGTTGAAAGAAGTCAGAGATGACACAAATAACTGGAAAAAAAACAGTCCATGCTCATAGATTAGAAGAATCAATATCATAAAAATGACTATACTGCCCAAAGCAATTTAGAGATTCAATGCTATTCCTACAAAACTACCAACATCATTCTTCACAGAATTAGAGAAAACTATTCTAAAATTCATATGGAACCAAAAAAGAGCCCAAATAGCCAAAGCAATCCTAATAAAAAAGAACAAAGCTGGAAGCATCACACTGCCCGACTTCAAACTATACTATAAAGCCACAGTAAACAAAACAGTTTTGTACTGGAAAAAAAAAAAAACCCAGACACATAGACCAATGGAACACAATAGAAAACTCAGAAATATAGCTACACAATGACAACCATTTGATCTCAAACAAGGGTGACAAAAACAAGCAATGAGGAAAGAACTCCCCATTCAAAAAAATGGTGCTGGAATAACTGGCAAGCCATATGCAGAGTTATTGAAGCTGGACACTTTTTACCACATACAACAATTAACTCAAAATGGATTAAAGATTTAAATGTAAGACCTCAAACTATAAAAATCCTAGAAGACGACCTAGAAAATATCCTCTCAATATCGGCCTTGGCAAAAACTTTTAGGTAACTCCCCCAAAGCAATTGCAATAAACCAAAAATTGACAAGTGGGAACTAATTAAACTAAAGAGCTTCTGCACAGCAAAATAAGCTATCAACAGAGTAAACAGACAACCTACAGAATGGAAGAAAATATTTGCAAATTAAGTATCCAGCAAGGGTCTAATATCCAGAATCTATAGAGAACTCGAAGAAATCAACAAGCGAAAAACAAATAACCCTTTTAAAAAGGGGGCAAAGGACATAAATAGACACTTTTCAAAAGAAGACATAGAAGTAGCCAAGAAACATATTTTTTAAATGCTCAGCATCACTAATCAGAAAAATGTAAATCAAAAGCATGATGAGATACCATCCCACACCAGTCAGAATGCCTGTTATTAAAAAGTCAAAAAACCAAAACAAAACAAAAAACAGATGCTGGTAATGCTTGGTAGAAAAAAGAGAATGCTTATATGCTGTTGGTAGAAATGTAAATTAGTCCAGTCACTATGGAAAGCAGTTTGGATATATTTTACAGAACTTTAAACAGAGCTACCATTTGACCCAGCAATCCCATTATTGGGTATATACCCCAAATAAAATAAATCAGTCTACCAAAAAGATGCATGCACTTCCGTGTTCACTGATGTACTATTCACAACAGCAAAAACATGGAATCAACCCAGGTGCCCATCAATGGTAGACTGGATAAAGAAAATGTGGTACATATACGCAATGGAATAATATGCAGCCATGAAAAGAATGAAATCATGTCCTTTGCATCAACATAGTTAGAGCTGGAGGCCACAATGCTAAACAAATGTATGCAGGAACAGAACACCAAATACTATATGTTCTCACTTATAAGTAGAAGCTAAACATTTAACACACATGGACATAAATATGGGAAGAATAGACACTGAGGATTACTAGAGGGCGGAGGGAGGTGTAGGTGGGTTCTGAAACTACCCATCGGGTACCATGCTCCCTACCAGGATGATGGGATCCATATTCTAAACCTCTGAATTATGCATTACTCCCAATCTGCACATTTATCCCCTGTATCTAAAATAAAAGTTGAAATAAAAAAAATTAAAAGTCTCTACCTCCCAAAATAAAATGTGGTACATATACACCAGGGAATCCTATGCAGCCATATTAAAGAATGAGATCATGTCCCCCTCAGCAACATGTCTGAAGCTGGAGGTAATTAATCTAAATTAATTAATGTAGAAACTGAAAATCAAAAACCACATGTTCTCACTTATAAGTGGGCATATGCAGGTACAAAGATTGGAACAACAGACACTGGGAACTCCAAATAGGGTGAGGGAGGGAGCCAAGGGTTAAAAAACTACCTACTGAGTACTATGGTCATTATTTGGGTGATGGGAACAAGAAAAGCCCAAACCTCAGCATCCCACCATATACTATGTACCTTGGGGATGTCTACATCCAGAGCATGTGTCCCCTGAAGCTAAAATAAAAAAACACAAACAATCATGTTGTACACCTTAATATATACAATAGGTTGAATGTGGTGTCTCTCACCTGTAACCCCAGCACTTTAGGAGGCAAGGTGGGTGGATTGCTTGAGCCCAGAAGTTTGAGACCAGCCTGGGCAATGTGGTGAAACACTGTCTCTACCAAAAAAAAACTAATAATAAATAAACAAAATAAAATAAATTAGTTGGTCTTGGGTGGTGTAGTCCCAGCTACTTGGGAGGTTGAGGTGGGAGATCACCTGAGCCCAGGAAGTTGAGGCTTCAGTGAGCCATGATTGCGCCACTGCACTCCAGACTGGGTAACAGAGTGAGATCCTGTCTCGGAAAAAAAAATAATAATAATAAATAAACATATATGATAAAAAAAATGAGATATATCCTCATACTTGTTAGGATGACTTATCAAAAAATAATATATATGTATCTTTTAAGATATATATATATACATATTTTTTTCAAAGAAAATGGAATCACTATCTTGAAGATGTCTGCACTCTCATGTTCATTATAGCATTACTCACAATAGCCAAGATACAGAAACAGCCTGTGTCTGTCAATAGATGAATGGATAGGAAAATGTGGTGTGTGTGTGTGTGTGTGTGTGTGTGTGTATAAAATGAAATATTATTCAACCTTTAAAAAAATTCTGCCATCTGTGACAACATGGATAAACCTGGAGCATATTATGCTAAGAGAAATAAGCCAGAACAGGAAGAAAAATACTGCATGATTTTCATTATATGCAAAATTTAAAAAAAGTCAGATTCACAGAAGCAGAGAGTAGAATGGTAGTTCTAATAGCAGGGGCAGGGGGAAATGGGGAGATGTTAGTCAAAGGGTACAAAGTTTAAGTTACATAGGATGAATAAGTTTTGGAGATCTCATATACAGTATAGAGACTATGTTAATATTGTAATGTACACTTGGAATTTGTTAGATAGAAGATCTTATGTGTTCTCACCACAGAAAAAACAGTAAAACAATATCATTGTGATATGATTCCTAGTTATCTGAAGTCAGTGAGTGGTATAAGTTCTGTAATACACAGAAGCTGAAATGCAGTTGAGAATGTCTCATATTACCAATGGCAAGAAGAAAAAGATAAACTGGCTTACATACTTGATCTATATTATCTATACTCAATAAATGCTGAGTCAAACTATTGGCTTATTTTTTTCCTTATTACAAATATGCTTAAGTATTGGATGGTTCCATTTTATGGAATTGAGAATTTTACTCTTATTGAAATTCACCATCATGGCTTTTCATATGGAAATTACTATTCCTCAAGTATACCAGAATAAAAGTATAGTTTTTAATACTTCAGACTCTAAAGAGGGTCTAGATCTTGCTGTTAATGAATGTGTAATTGTCTGTAAAGCATTTCAGATTAAAAGAAAATTTATTTACCATAAATATTTCGATGGTTCCTTTGAAAACAAACACCTTTTAAACAGTTGAACCATAATGGATCTAAATATTTCTAAAATATATCTTAAGTAAAATATTGAGTCCGTATACAATAATTGCACATAAATATGTATTTGGGAAATCATTTTTGTACTTTATGGATTTAGTAACCTCTTGCTAATCTTCATTTCTCTCCTGACACATAGGCACACGTTAGCCAAAGCGTCCTTTATTCTGGATAGTGCATTTTTGCCATACTGTCTCAAAACTTTATTAACTATTTTAATTAAATTATAGCAATAAAATTAAGTTATTATTGATCATTAGACACAATGGCAATTCTACCTTTTACATTTTTTTCTTAACTTTATATTTTTATATTGCACATTGAATCATAGACACTTAAAGTTGTACCATAAAATTCTTGGGATGGAAAAGCATTTAGAAGTCATCCAGCCCAGTGAGTTATAACTTTACTTTGCCAGCACAACTCTTTTATTTTCAGATACAATTGTATATGGAATCCCAATAATAAAGCAGATAGAAAGTGCAGCAGCTCTGATTCAAGAGAAAGAAGCAAGCTTGGCTTCATCCCCCACAATAGGACTCTGAGGTTCCCCCGAGCACAGTTTGATGATCATTGACCTGGCTAATTTGTTCAAATCTGCTCAGAATCTTTTTCTAAAATATTTCTTTTGAAAAATGATCATATCGTATCATTGATAATATGTCTAGGCACAGGGATATGATTCCTTACAAGAAAGGCCATTTTGTTGGGCGGGGGGGGGGAATGTATTAACTATTATCAAATAAAAAGTATTTTCTATATTAAACCTGCAAGGAACACTTCCTTATTTATTTTATTGTTGTTTTCTTTGGTGATTAAGTCAGGGCAACAATTTTCCAGATATTTGAAGACAGTAAAGCGCTATGACTTACATTACTCTGGCCAGAAATAAACTTGGCTAAAAGCTAAAGGTGTTCAAATTTTCCTTCTAGAGAAGTGAAATACTTTCTGTCCCTTGCTTTGATCTTCCTGGATGATACTATGTTCAGGAGACATAGTGACTCTGTCCTTTTGTTATGTCCATGGAGCAAAACAGAATCTTATAGCAGAAGCCAGATGAAAATTGAATTCTGAGTGTGGCAGTCACAGGAATATATAAAGAGTATCAGTTTTGAAGTCCCAGGGATTCGATAGAGAAGAAAAACCATACTCAAAGCAAGAGGGACTAAAAAGGTAAATATGTAAGATAAAAATAATTTGGGAGACAGAAAATAGAGAGATCCAAAGTGAAATAAAACTTTATGTAGAAGGAAGGAACATTTTATGGAGGACTTTTTCCTACAAAGAGAATGTGATAAATACATTAATACATGTATGTGTTCCGTCTTACCTGGTACACTTGTTACAATGAATGAACAAATATAATACATCATTATTAATTAACATTGACAGTTAATTCATATTTTTCTATTTTTTATCTAATGTCCTTTATGAGTTCCAGGAACGCACCGAAAATAGCACATTACATTTAGTCATTATGTCTCTCTAGGCTCCTCCTGACTGAAAGCTTCTCCAGTTTTCTTTGTTTTATATGACCTTGATGGTTTTGAGGAACGTTGGCCAGGTATTTTGTAGCATGCTCCTTCATTGAAATTTGTCAAATGTTTTTCTCATATTTAGACTGTGGTTATGGATTTTAGAGGATATACCACAGAGGTAAATTGCCATATTCATTACATCGTATGTAGGGTACTAGCAATGTGATTTATCATTCTTGGTGTTGTTGATGTTGACCTTAATGATGTGTCTGAGGAAAGATTTGCCAGGTTTTTTCATTGTAAGTTTACTTTTCTTCCCCATGGCCTCTTTTCATACTTCCATCTTTGGAAGGAAGTCCACTCTTAGGAAATAAAGAGTTAAGTTCCCCTCCTGAGGGCAGGGTATTTATATAAGTTCTTTGGATTTTTTCTCCATGAGAGATTGGTCTTCCATCTCACGTTTACTTATTAATTAATTAATTTATTTGTATCAATATGGATATATAAATATTTATTTTATACTGAAGATTATTGTATAGTACTACTTATTTGTTTTCTTGTTCTGATTCTTTCAGCTTTGGCCATTGAGAGATTTTTCAGTTGGCTCCTGTGTCCTTTTGACATACCCCTATCAATGTGTTTTAGTGCGTATTTACTTTTTGGCTATACAAGACACTCCAGGCTCAGTTTGTACCTTTCCACAATGACACTGAGTCATTCTTCCAGGAAACCCTGGTTCCTTTTATTCAGCACACAACTATTATCTATGTTAAGGTAAATATTACTTCATATTAACGTCTCTAGCTCTAATCCATTACCAAATTTATCATTCTATACTACTCGTTTGGGTTATTTGTAAATTCCCACACCAATGGTGAGAAACCTGACTCCCACCATTTACAATGTATTTACTTAATTACTGAATTTTGCTATGTATGTATAGCAGTATCACCATTTTAATCCGCACCTTGCAAGAAACAGCCTTATCAGCAATGCAGTGCATTATGTTCAATTCCATTTGCCTCTAAACTTACAGAAGCCATTCATTTCTAAACTTCCTAAGGTCAGCAGGTTTACTGTCCTGTCTCCTAACTATTTTCAGCAATGCCATTCCATGTTTGTAATACAGATAGATTCTTTTCTTACAGTTTGCATTCTATTTCAGATCTTTTCTCCTAAATGACTTTTTCTTTAAGTTTGCATACATTAAGTTTCAGTCTTTGTCCAGTGAAGTTTTATGGGGTTGACAAATGTGTAGTATCATATATCCACCATTGCAGCATCATACAGAATAATTTGCCACTGTCAAAAATGCCCTGTGTTTCATCAAACTCTGAATATTTAATTGTCTCTATAGTTTTCTTTTCCAGAATGTCAAATAATTGGAATTACACAGTGTCTATAATTCTTTCAAACTGGCTTCTCTCATTCAGAAATGTGCATTTACGGTTCCTGTAAGTCCTTTCATGGCTTGAAAGCCCTTTTCTTTTTATTATTAAATAGTATTCCATTTTATGGATGTAACGGATTTTTAATACATTCACCTACTGAAGAAAATCTTGATTGCTTCAGTTGTGATGATTGTGAATAAAACTGATATGAATATTTGTGTGCGGGCTTTTGCCTGGGCTTGAATTTTCATAGTACTGCCAAGGAGTGTAATTGCTGGATTATATGGTAAAACAAGTTTTAGGTTTGTAAGAAACTGCCAAATCATTTTCGAAAATGGCTGGCCCACTTTGTATTTTCACTATCAGTTAATTATAATTTCTATTGTACCATATAATTGCAAGCATTTAGTATTATCAATTTTTTAAAGTATTAGTCATTCTTCAAGATTCTTCAAGTCAATGCAGTGCTCTCAGTGATGTTTTAATTTGCAGTTTTTCAATCCCAAATGATATTAAGCATCTTATATGCTTAATTGCAATATGTGTATCTTCTTTCATTGGATATCTGTTCCGGTCTTTTGCCCAATACTTGAGTTATTTTTAATCTTATTTTTGAGTTTCAAGAGTTATTTGTATGTATTGGGTACAAGCTCTTTATCAGATATGTGTTTTCCACATATTTGTTTTCTAGGCTTATATTTATCTTTGATCCCTTAAAAGTTTTTTTCAGAGAAGAAGGTTGTAATGTTTTAAAAGTTCATCTTGTCAATGCTCTTTCATAGATAGTTCTTTTTGTGTTGCTAATACTATCATTTGATTGCTGAGATCTGTCCCTTCCAGAAAAGTATATGTCCTATTAAAATTGTATATTTCCATTTGTCTGAAGGCTAACAAAATATTTCATTAATTATATGCTTATTTGCTTTTAAATTTTTTTTTCGAGACTGGATCTCACTCTGTCGTCCAGGTGGCTCTCAAACTCTCAAGCTCATATGAGCTTCACCTCAGCCTCCCAAGTAGCTGGGACTGTAGGCATATGCCTAGCTTCTGACCTGCTTATATTCTATATTGTACAACTAAGAGAGAGGTGGCAAAGATTGTGTAAATACAATGTGTATTATAAAGTTCTATAGCTATTTTAAATTTTCTATATAAATATATATAGGTTATGTTAGAAATAACCTATATATATGTATTTATATATATGACTACACTTAATCTGTACCTAAAAATATATAAAGAAACAATGTCAAGATAAAAGTTACATATGTTTAATGAGTTTTAAAAGGTATTTCATAAATAAAATTTGGAGTGGGAAATTTATACTACCAGCTAATCAAATTATTTGAGCTATGTTCTTATTTGAAAATTTAAATTTAAATGTAGACAGTTTGAGTGAATGAGGCCAGAGAACATGTTGTCTGATATAGCTAGTTAATCGAGGCACCTGTTTAACTCAAATTATCCTAATAAACAATTCACTTAATCACCTATGTGCATTTAAACATCTTGTAAATTAGTAACTAAAAAATGTACATTAGGGATTATATACTCAAAATATGTTTTTGTGCTTTGAAGTACACTACTTCATGGATTAGTGTTATGTCCAATTTAGAAAAAACCTCCCTCAGAATTATAATTTTCCATTTTTTTGAACATAGTGAAAAAAAATCACAAATTGGGATGTCAAGATGTAAGCAAGATTGAACTTGCAATACTTGTTTCAATTTTGATTTTATCATTGTTCTCTCTTTGATAGTACTAAGCAACAAGTATAATTTGATTTAGCATACATTTTTAAATAAACTTCCAAAGTATATTCTTACAATGTGAATTATTTATATTACATAGACCTGATACTGAAGCGTTAATGCTCTTGATCATATAACTAAGATTATTATTATGAGTCATATGCTTAGGAGGTTTATTGAAAGTTATAAAATGTAATCCTGTCAATCTGGGAATGTGAAAATGGGAAGATTGGCAGTGAGTAGACAACCAATTTTCTTTTACTCATTCGTTTAAAGTTTCCAAATATTGTTGCTAGAAAAAAGAGGAGCTATTACCTACAAAAATGTTGAAGTCTGCATTTTAAAAATGACAGACAGTACTGGCTTTAAATTATTGTATTTTTTTCATTCCTCAAGGCATTATAAATCACAATGTCAGTGAAACCAGAGGCTTCTTTATTCTCTCAACATAAATCATAATGAGTTCCAGATGAGTAGACTAGTAGATATTTGTATGACTATTTAAATGCTTTGATTTAGAGTAGTAATGATCTCATAAAAGCACAGAAGACAAGTGAAGGTAAACAGCATGAAACAGATATGATAATTTAACACTGGGTTTTTCACTAAATGCTTGAAGGATATACACAGTTTATGGGCTAATAAACACTGACTTTTATTTTCAACAAAATGTGTTTGAGAAGAAATCAAGCACTGTTTCATAGTGACTAAGAACAGAACTTGAGCTTTTTAACTCTTTGGAAGGTATTAATATGTATAATTATCAGTGATGTTGAATGTCCCTGTGCTGGTCCTTCTTCAAATTCTTTGGAAAAATTTGCAAATGTTCTTTCTCAATTCATGACAAATAGAATATGGACCCAGGCATACAGAGATTAGCTCTATGGTCTAGTGAATCACCATTTATTTTTTTTTCCATTTCTTTTTATTTTTTTTATTTATTTAATTTTTTATGTTTAATTTTTGTGGGTACATAGTAGGTGTATATATTTATGGGGTCCATGAGATATTTTGGTACAAGCCTGCAATGAGTAATAACCACATCATGGTAAATTGGGCATCCACCCCCTCCAGCCTTTATCTTTTGTGTTACAAACAATCCAATTAGACTCTTTTAGTTATTTTTAAATGTACCATTTATTTTTGCAGTAAATATTGGAATACTACTTTTTGATAAGTAATATCCAACTTTATTAACCAAGAAGCATAAATTAAACAATACATTTTTTCCCATCAAATAAGACTTTTAAAATGGGCAGAAACCCTCTCACACACCATTGATAAAAATATAACACAATGTTTCTGCAAAACAATTTGGAAAATACATTTAAAAACCTCAAAATTCCCTTTCACTCACTCATCACTTCTAGAGCTGGATGGAGTCACTAACACCTGTTATGGGGATAGGATAAGGCCAATAAAGGCTCTGCCCTCCAGGAACTATTCTAGAGTACCTTAAAACTGTAGATTGAGTGGCTTTTTACAATTAGTCAGATGTTGACCTCAGACAAGGTGCCTGTCTTTGAAGCCAGGAAATTGCATGAACGATCTTGGTACCTACAAGTCATGTCAGGAACAAAAGGGGTATGGCAAAAATTTATAGGAATAACATTGTATTAGTATCCTTGACATGTATGACCACGATTCCTTCTACTTGACAAGATTAATTTATACATAGACAAAATATAATAAGGCCCATAGAGAAACTAGTCTTAGCTGTTAAAATAGGCCAATATTTATTTAGAGTCAAATAATTTTCACAAGAGAGAGAAAACAGCAATAAGTCTCTTAGCTTCCTATGCCATATTGGACTCTGCTGATAGTGAGGTTCTGTGGGGACACATAATTCACTAAAATGCCATGCAATAATGAAATGATCAGCCTCTCTTTTTTTAATTGAGGAATAAGTTTATTATGTAGAGTTCTTATTATTATTATTTTTGTACTTTAAGTTTTAAGGTACATGTGCACAATGTGCAGGTTAGTTACATATGTATACATGTGCCATGCTGGTGTGCTGCACCCATTAACTTGTCATTTAGCATTAGGTATATCTCCTAATGCTATCCCTCCCCCCTCCCCCCACCCCACAACAGTCCCCAGAGTGTGATGTTCCCCTTGCTGTGTCCATGTGTTCTCATTGTTCAGTTCCCACCTATCAGTGAGAACATGCGGTGTTTGGTTTTTTGTCCTTGCCATAGTTTACTGAGAATGATGATTTCCAGTTTCATCCATGTCCCTACAAAGGACATGAACTCATCATTTTTTATGGCTGCATAGTATTCCATGGTGTATATGTGCCACATTTTCTTAATCCAGTCTATCGTTGTTGGACATTTGGGTTGGTTCCAAGTCTTTGCTATTGTGAATAGTGCCGCAATAAACATACGTGTGCATGTGTCTTTATAGCAGCATGATTTATAGTCCTTTGGGTATATACCCAGTAATGGGATGGCTGGGTCAAATGGTATTTCTAGTTCCAGATCCCTGAGGAATCGCCACACTGACTTCCACAATGGTTGAACTAGTTTACAGTCCCACCAACAGTGTAAAAGTGTTGCTATTTCTCCACATCCTCTCCAGTACCTGTTGTTTCCTGACTTTTTAATGATTGCCATTCTAAGTGGTGTGAGATGGTATCTCATTGTGGTTTTGATTTGCATTTCTCTGATGGCCAGTGATGGTGAGCATTTTTTCATGTGTTTTTTGGCTACATAAATGTCTTCTTTTGAGAAGTGTCTGTTCATATCCTTTGCCCACTTTTTGATGGGGTTGTTTGTTTTTTTCTTGTAAATTTGTTTGAGTTCTTTGTAGATTCTGGATATTAGCCCTTTGTCAGAGGAGTAGGTTGCAAAAATTTTCTCCCATTTTGTAGGTTGCCTGTTCACTCTGATGGTAGTTTCTTTTGCTGTGCAGAAGCTCTTTAGTTTAATTAGATCCCATTTGTCAGCCTCTCTTTTTGTAAAATTACTCAGAAGGAATCAGAAGTCTAGAAGTGTATTGACTAACAATGTGGAAAACACATTCCTTATGTATGATTAATGAAACAAAAAACTTGAATTAAGAAGTGAAAAGTAGCAGGAGAAAGAAAAACACAATAAAACTATAAATGAAGAAGATTAAATTATTAGTTTTGATTTCTTCCTGGTTTTCAATTAAGGGGCAAGTTCCTAGTCATAATATGATACTGAGGTATTAATTTACAATAAGTATTATCTGAAGATATTGTTTAGTTTCCTATTGCTGTTATAAGAAATTATTACAAACTTAGTGGCTTAAAATAACACAAATTTATTCTCTTATAGTTCCAGAAGTGAGAAGTCCAAAATGGGTCACACTAAGCTAAAATTAAAGTATCAGCTGGGATGTGTTTCTTCTGGAAACTCTGTGGGAGAATCCGTTTCCTGCATTTTCCAATGTCTAGAAGTTATCTGCATTCCTCGGCTTGTGGCCCCATGTCACTCAGATCTCTGCTTTTATTGTCATATCTTCTCTGACTCTGACTCTCCCAACTCCTGCTTTCCTTATAAGGAAACCCTTATAAGGTGATTACAATGGGTTTATTCATATAAATCAGGATAATCTTCCTATTTTAAGACTCTGAAGTCAATGACATCTTCAAAGTCTCTTTTACCATGGAAGAATACATGTTCAAAGATTCTAAAGAGGAGAAGTGGATACCTTTGGAGGGCCATTCTCCCCACCACAAGCTTATGACACTGCTTTTTATGCAAAGCAAGGTGCTGTTCCTAGGAAGAGTATTGTACATGGAGAAAAAAGAATGTTGGTTCCAATTTATGACTCTACTATCACAGTCACATGTTCTGTAAGCCAGTAATTCTGAGCATCATTTTCCTAAACTGTCTAGAGTCAGAGATGCCTCCCTTGATTACTTCCCAGCTGTGCTGTAAAAATTCAATGACATAATCTAGGTAAATGTTTTCTGCAAGGTGTACATAACTTATAATAGGTGAGATTTTATTAATAATACTGAGCAAATTAAGGACCCCAGCAAAATAAATAAAGATTCTAAATTCCATGGCCTGTCAAATTCCATGGAGGAAAGGGAACCCAGAAATGACACTTTCACAAATTTATTAAATAAAATTTGTGCAAGTAATCTCTTTGCAGCATTGCTCAAAAGTTTCATAGACGACACTATTGAAACTGCAAATGGAGATAAATAAAAATGTGTGAGGAAGGAGTACAGTGTGATGAACAGCACTTGTGAGATTGCGTTTTAGACACGTGGCTTGTGGGGATGAAACTGTTTTATGTGTACTCAGGAAAGTGGTTTGAAAACTGTTCATTCCATTCTGCTAAATGGGAAAATAGCAAGCCAAATGTGTTGCCTGTTGCATCTAGTCATTAATGTAGAACTGTGAGATATTTTTATTTGGCTTTGGGAAGTGATCAACATATTCCTTGGAAACCTAAGGATTAATAACCATTTCTGACTCCTACAAAATCTCTTAGAAGCACTCAACATATCATCAGAACCTTAGACAAATTGATGCAAGAGTTTAAAAAGATATCCTAGAGCATCAAAGTGTGCTGAGGTGGGAGAGTGAATCATTAAACTTATAGCCCTTTAAACAATCTTCTCATCTTACTTTTTTTGCCTTTCACCTTTCTCTTTATAATTTAATTGTATCAATCGTTTTTGAGTACATCACCTGAAGTAATGTTTTCTTTTTGCAGGTTTGTATTTATATTGGCAATTTGTAAACATGTTTAAATCAATTTCTCACATCTCCACATGTTAACATTTAGAATTAAGCTCCTTTTGTTGATGTTGTCATAGGTGCCTGTCCTTTTATTGTATCAGCCTTTAGATTTCTTTTCTCTGAAATTTACCTCTGTCTGTAAGCTTTGTGAGAAAATTTCCAACAGTGCATGCACACAGCTTATCTCCGGAGAGTAGAGTGTGGGGCAGAAGAGAGAGGAGAAGAAGGAAGAGAAGAAGAGGAAGAGAAAGAGAATAATGTACATTACTTATTTTATGTGCATTATAGTTTTCTACTATATGATATGCAATATTTTATTTATATTAATTTTTCACCTTTAAAGACAATTGTTTACATCTGTCATGTGCAAGAGCATACCTACGTTACAGATGTAAATATTAAGTTGTACATTGTAGGATGCATATATCTTTAAATGTACCAAAAACTATGCAACAAAATTACTTTGTAGCCCTGCTTTTTTTTTTAAAGGTGTGAAAAATAAAGGATGAAGAAAATAAACTTTTTATTTGAGACATGTGAGCCACTTTAAATTACCAGGACCAGAGAGGCATTGGAATGAAATGGCAGTCTCGTCACATCCCTTTGAGCTAAAATAATTACCTCTTGAAACCACTTACTATGTGGACTCTGGACTAACTGATGCCAAGTAGCAATAAAATGCCATACAGTCTATAGTTCAATAATATATAACCTATCATTAACCAATGTTATTTCTATAAACCAATGAGAATTCCTGACAAACAACTTTTTTTTTTCAATATACTGTATATGAAATTCTTTTTATTATTATTATACTTTAAGTTTTAGGGTACATGTGCACAATGTGCAGGTTGGTTACATATGTATACATGTGCCATGCTGGTGTGCTGCACCCATTAACTCGTCATTTAGCATTAGGTATATCTCCTAATGCTATCCCTCCCCGCTCCCCCCACCCCACAACAGTCCCCAGAGTGTGATGTTCCCCTTCCTGTGTCCACGTGTTCTCATCGTTCAATTCCCACCTATGAGTGAGAACATGTGGTGTTTGGTTTTTTGTCCTTGCCATAGTTTACTGAGAATGATGATTTCCAATTTCGTCCATGTCCCTACAAAGGACATGAACTCATCATTTTTTATGGCTGCATAGTATTCCATGGTGTATATGTGCCACATTTTCTTAATCCAGTCTATCATTGTTGGACATTTGGGTTGGTTCCAAGTCTTTGCTATTGTGAATAGTGCCGCAATAAACATACGTGTGCATGTGTCTTTATAGCAGCATGATTTATGGTCCTTTGGGTATATACCCAGTAATGGGATGGCTAGGTCAAATGGTATTTCTAGTTCTAGATCCCTGAGGAATCGCCACACTGACTTCCACAATGGTTGAACTAGTTTACAGTCCCACCAACAGTGTAAAAGTGTTCCTATTTGTCCACATCCTCTCCAGCATCTGTTGTTTCCTGACTTTTGAATGATTGCCATTCTAACTGGTGTGAGATGGTATCTCATTGTGGTTTTGATTTGCATTTCTCTGATGGCCAGTGATAATGAGCATTTTTTCATGTGTGTGTTGGCTGCATAAATGTCTTCTTTTGAGAAGTGTCTGTTCCTATCCTTTGCCCACTTTTTGATGGGGTTGTTTGTTTTTTTCTTGTAAATTTGTTTGAATTCATTGTAGATTCTGGATATTAGCCCTTTGTCAGATGAGTAGGTTGCGAAAGTTTTCTCCCATTTTGTAGGTTGCCTGTTCACTCTGATGGTAGTTTCTTTTGGTGTGCAGAAGCTCTTTAGTTTAATTAGATCCCATTTGTCAATTTTGTCTTTTGTTGCCGTTGCTTTTGGTGTTTTAGACATGAAGTCCTTGCCCATGCCTATGTCCTGAATGGTAATGCCTAGGTTTTCTTCTAGGGTTTTTATGGTTTTAGGTCTAACATTTAAGTCTTTAATCCATCTTGAATTGATTTTTGTATAAGGTGTAAGGAAGGGATCCGGTTTCAGCTTTCTATATATGGCTAGCCAGTTTTCCCAGCACCATTTATTAAATAGGGAATCCTTTCCCCATTGCTTGTTTTTGTCAGGTTTGTCAAAGATCAGATAGTTGTAGATATGCGGCATTATTTCTGAGGGCTCTGTTCTGTTCCATTGATCTATATCTCTCTTTGGTACCAGTACCATGCTGTTTTGGTTACTGTAGCCTTGTAGTATAGTTTGAAGTCAGGTAGCGTGATGCCTCCAGCTTTGTTCTTTTGGCTTAGGATTGATTTGGCGATGCGGGCTCTTTTTTGGTTCCATATGAACTTTAAAGTAGTTTTTTCCAATTCTGTGAAGAAAGTCATTGGTAGCTTGATGGGGATGGCATTGAATCTATAAATTACCTTGGGCAGTATGGCCATTTTCACGATATTCATTCTTCCTATTCATGAGCATGGAATGTTCTTCCATTTGTTCATATCCTCTTTTATTTCATTGAGCAGTGGTTTGTAGTTCTCCTTGAAGAGGTCCTTCACGTCCCTTGTAAGGTGGATTCCTAGGTATTTTATTCTCTTTGAAGCAATTGTGAATGGGAGTTCACTCATGATTTGGCTCTCTGTTTGTCTGTTGTTGGTGTATAAGAATGCTTGTGATTTTCGTGCATTGATTTTGTATCCTGAGACTTTGCTGAAGTTGCTTATCAGCTTAAGGAGATTTTGGGCTGAGACGATGGGGTTTTCTAGATATACAATCATGTTGTCTGCAAACAGGGACAATTTGACTTCCTCTTTTCCTAATTGACTACCTTTATTTCCTTGTCCTGTCTAATTGCCCTGGCCAGAACTTCCAACACTATGTTGAATAGGAGTGGTGAGAAAGGGCATCCCTGTCTTGTGCCGGTTTTCAAAGGGAATGCTTCCAGTTTTTGCCCATTCAGTATGATATTGACTGTGGGTTTGTCATAGATAGCTCTTATTATTTTGAGATATGTCCCATCAATACCTAATTTATTGAGAGTTTTTAGCGTGAAACGTTGTTGAATTTTGTCAAAGGCCTTTTCTGCGTCTATTGAGATAATCATGTGGTTTTTGTCTTTGGCTCTGTTTATATGCTGGATTACATTTATTGATTTGCCTATATTGAACCAGCCTTGCATCCCAGGGATGAAGCCCACTTGATCATGGTGGATAAGCTTTTTGATGTGCTGCTGGATTCGGTTTGCCAGTATTTTATTGAGGATTTTTGCATCGATGTTCATCAGGGATATTGGTCTAAAATTCTCTTTTTTTTTGTGTCTCTGCCAGGCTTTGGTATCAGGATGACGCTGGCCTCATAAAATGAGTTAGGGAGGATTCCCTCTTTTTCTATTGATTGGAATAGTTTCAGAAGGAATGGTACCAGTTCCTCCTTGTACCTCTGGTAGAATTCGGCTGTGAATCCATCTGGTCCTGGACTCTTTTTGGTTGGGAAGCCATTGATTATTGCCACAATTTCAGATCCTGTTATTGGTCTATTCAGAGATTCAACTTCTTCCTGGTTTAGTCTTGGGAGAGTGTATGTGTCTAGGAATTTATCCATTTCTTCTAGATTTTCTAGTTTGTTTGCGTAGAGGTGTTTGTAGTATTCTCTGATTGTGGTTTGTATTTCTGTGGGATCGGTGGTGATATCCCCTTTATCATTTTTTATTGCGTCTCTTTGATTCTTCTCTCTTTTTTTCTTTATTAGTCTTGCTAGCGGTCTATCAATTTTGTTGATCCTTTCAAAAAACCAGCTCCTGGATTCATTAATTTTTGAAGGGTTTTTTGTGTCTCTATTTCCTTCAGTTCTGCTCTGATTTTATTTATTTCTTGCCTTCTGCTAGCTTTTGAATGTGTTTGCTGTTGCTTCTCTAGTTCTTTTAATTGTGATGTTAGGGTGTCAATTTTGCATCTTTCCTGCTTTCTCTTGTAGGCATTTAGTGCTATAAATTTCCCTCTACACACTGCTTTGAGTGTGTCCCAGAGCTTCTGGTATGTTGTGCCTTTGTTCTCGTTGGTTTCAAAGAACATCTTTATTTCTGCCTTCATTTCGTTATGTACCCAGTAGTCATTCAGGAGCAGGTTGTTCAGTTTCCATGTATTTGAGCGGTTTTGAGTGAGTTTCTTAATCCTCAGTTCTAGTTTGATTGCACTGTGGTCTGAGAGACAGTTTGTTATAATTTCTGTTCTTTTACATTTGCTGAGGAGAGCTTTACTTCCAACTATGTGGTCAATTTTGGAATAGGTGTGGTGTGGTGCTGAAAAAAATGTATATTCTGTTGATTTGGGGTGGAGAGTTCTGTAGATGTCTATTAGGTCTGCTTGGTGCAGAGCTGAATTCAATTCCTGGGTATCCTTGTTAACTTTCTGTCTCGTTGATCTGTCTAATGTTGGCAGTGGGGTGTTAAAGTCTCCGATTATTATTGTGTGAGAGTCTAAATCTCTTTGTAGGTCACTCAGGACTTGCTTTATGAATCTGAGTGCTCCTGTATTGGGTGCATATATTTGAAATTGCCCCCATCACTTCTGATTCATCCCTTTATCTTTAAAAATCTGAACCTCTCTTTTGTTCTCTGGTGCACTCCCTGAGGCATCTTGGAAGTGTGTCCTGGGCCGCAGTGCTCAACCTTGACCCAAATAAACTCTTTATGTTAATTTTGCCTCAGCTTCTTCCTTTTAGGTTGCTGACACATGGTAAAATGAAAAAAAATCTTACGTCCTCTTTTCATATACTATGCCATTCTGGGCAAGTCATTTGCCATTCCTGTGCCTCACTTCTTCTCAGCTATATGGAATAATTAGTACAAACCTCAGAAGGTTGCTGTGAATGAAAATTAAAAGAAGTTGTGTGTAAGAATTCAAGTAACAGTGCCTGTGAGGGGAGGCAATTAATAGTGAATTTAAAAAAAGCGGAAGGAAATATGAAAAATGTTAACAACCATTCATTACATTTACAACTTCTTGCTTTCTTCTTTTTTTGTTTTGGAACTGAACAGTTATATATGCAATGGAGACTTAATGTTGGCTAATATTCAGGGAGAAAAGGACTAGTAACAAGGTCTGGTTTCAGAATACCTGGCTTCTATTCTGAGCTGCAACACTAACATCTGGGCTTCTTTTGTTTGCATTTTCAAATGTAGTTTGGGGCTAGATTTATTAGATAATTATTTAGTCATTAAGACGTAAAGTCTTCCATTTTCAAAATATATCAATTAGGAAGTACATTTTTATACAATCTGCATGTCTAAAGCAATTTATACTTTTTCCAGTTAAAATTTATATAACTGCTATGATTGAACACATCCAAGAAAAGAGCGTACTATCTTCAAAAGAGAGCTCACTTCATCTTCAAACATTTTTGAATGGTAGAACACGTATTTTATATTGAATGGTCATCTGCCTTCCTGTAAAAGCCTCATGGATGTGTTGATATGCGAATTTTTTAAAAAAATTATCGTGGAAACTCATTGTACAATTGTTTTCCTAGGCACTTTATAGACATCCTGAAAAAAGAAACATTTTATAGACATCCTGAGAAAAGAAACTTTTGCTCAAGGTGACATGTCTTAATAATTGTAAGAGAGGCAGAATTCTAACTAATTAATATCTTAATTACTTTTCTGTTGCAACTGGATTTTTATCCATTTTATTTACATGCACAACTAGTTTAATAGCTTTTACTGAATACATTATTTGAACTAATTGACTGGAGAGTTAAATAATCAAACCAGTGCTGCATGGAGATGTGAAGTAAATTTCTACTTTTATAGAATTTAGCTGGTCATTAGCCTGCTTTATGAAAGTCTTAACTAATTCTTACTGACCTCTTCACCCTGTACTGTTCCTTTTAGGTCATTCTGCTGAGATGAAAAAGCTTACTGTAGCAAATGAGATTATTGAATAGATAGTAACATAATTTATCCTCCAATAGTTGCTTGTTTATTAAATAGGTCATTATTTGAGAAATTTGTTTTATTCTACTATGTCTCATGGCCACTATGTTCATATCGCCCTTGGTTCTTATTTGAAGGATTTCCAGTTATTTTTGTGACAAGCATTCACTTTTAGAATATTTCAAAACTAATTTTGACTTTCTATTTTGTGATAATTCCCAAAGGTGAATGTGAGAGTTACATGAAGTTGTAAGAAATGATTCAGAAAGGTCCCTTATACTATTCCCCTAGTATTCTCCAGTGACAACATATTGTACAACTATAATCAAATATCACAACCAGAATACTGACACTGATACAATCTACTTAATCTATTCAGATTTCATCAGTTTTAAATGAACTCATGTGTGTAGGCTAGTGTATGGGCATATCTAGTTCTATGCAATTTTATCACCACATGTACCTTTGTGTGACCACTGTCACAATCAAGATACAGAACAGGTTCATCTCTATTGGAATCCCCATAAATATACCCACCGGCATCTTGACGTTGTTGTTATTGTCCTCATTCTCCTCCTTCTTTTCCTCTTTCTCCTTGACAAAGTTGCCACTGGGGAAAGAAAAATCTTTTCAATAAATGGCGTTAGAACAAGTGGATAGACAAATATTTATTTTGTATTATTTTAAAAAAGAAACTACACTCTTCCCTCACACAAAATACAAAAATTCACTTCACTCACTTTAGTCCAAATGGATCATAGATAAAAATATATTAAGCTTCTGGAAGAAAACATAGGAGAAAATTCATAGTAATCTTGAGTTAGACAAACAAATGGTTAAAAATTGATAAATTGAATATTGTCAAAACAGTCATATTAGACATTGAAGGTTGCAGAGTTTGATAAGATCTTTCTTATAAAATTAAAAATGTACTTATTGTAGCCCAACAATCCCACTGCTATTTACCCAAGTGAAATAAAAATCAACAGACAAAAACTTCTATTCTAATATTTAGACACTTTATTCATAATTGCCCCAAACTGGAAATTACCCAATTGTCTGTCAACTGGAGAATGGATACATAAACTCTGGTTCATCAATAAAATGAAATGGTTCTCGGCCGGGCGCAGTGGCTCACCCCTGTAATCCCAGCATTTTGGGAGGCCGAGGCTGGTGGATCACGAGGTCAGGAGATTGAGAGCATCCTGGCTAACACGGTGAAACACCATCTCTACTAAAAATATAAAAAATTAGCCGAGCCTGGTGGCGGGCGCCTGTAGTCCCAGCTACTTGGGAGGCTGAGGCAGGAGAATGGCCTGAACCCAGGAGGCAGAGGTTGCAGTGAGCCAAGATGGCGCCACTGCACTCCAGCCTGGGCAACAGAGTGAGACTCTGACTCAAAAATAAAAAATAAATAAAAATAAATAAAAATAAAATGAAATGGTACTCAGTAAGAAAAATAAATATATTATTAACACACATGACAACATGATGACATGGACAATCCTCAGATATATTATGGTAGGTTAAAGAAGCCAGATTCAAAGGCTGCATACCACCATTTGATTTTATTTGTATGCTATGTTGGAAAAGGAAAAATTTAAGAATAGCAAAAAGATTAGGAATTTTCAAAGACTGAGTGTTTGACAAGTGTTGGACTACAAAAGGCCAGTTAGGAATTTCTGGTGTGACTGAATTGTTCTGTATTTTGATTATAGTGGTCACTACGGAACTTCAGGTGTTTGTAAAAACTCACAGAACTATATACTGAAAAGAGTATACTTTACCATATATAAATTGGCATTAAATATAAAATATGCACTAAGTCAGAAAATGATATGATAAAACTTGGATATTAACCTTGAAAAATGGGTTGGAAACCTGTATTTAGTCACATAACACATAAATTTCAGACACTGAAATATAAAACACAAAACTTTAAAAATACTGGAAGAAAATATAATATGTTTATAATTTTAGGATAAGGAAGATCCACTTAAGTCAAAAGATGAAGAAATTATAAAGAAACAGATGCCTTTGTTTACATAACATTAAACATTTTTATGTTACAAAATATGTCAGAAACAAATTTTAAATACTAATAACAGGCTGGAAAATATTTAAAGCATATATCAGAAACAAAGAATGTGTAGGAAAATAATGGAAAGAAGAAAACCAGATAAAGCTTAACCAAACAACTTGAAAAGTTTGTGGACAAGAAAATCACACAGCAGAATATCAAAATTACTTTTAAACATCTGAAAATATTTAACCTCACATGCCATCTGGAAAATAAAAGCAAAGATAATTATATACTTTTCTCCAACAGACGGCAAAATATAAAGGAAGAAAAATAGATACATCTGACATATTGGATAAAGTCCAGAATTGGCCAAGTCGTGAGAAAACCCTCATGAATATTTCAAAGGACTATTAATTGGTTCAGTGCTCTTGGAAAGCAATATCACAGTATGTATTATGTTTAAAATTTGCATAATTTTAAATTCAGAAATGCTTTCTCAAAATATCTTGAAAAATATTTGTACAAAGAGAAATACATTGCATTTTTGTACTATTTTTTAAAAACTTGGAGATAGACTAAATGTCTATTAGTATCAAAATTGTTCCTTATGTCATGGTGCAAAATTATTATGGCACACTTAAAAATGGAATGTAGTGAAATAGATTTATATCTACAAGGAAAATCCTCTTATTTAAAATAACATAATTTATAAAAATTTATATGGCCTTATTCCAGTTATAAAGAAAGCCAGACTGAACACGAAACTACAAGTTCTTCCATCAATACCTGTTTACAGTACCGTTAAAATTATATATAGCTATATCTATTAAAATTTGACCAAGTTTATAATATAGATAGGTAGATATAGATTCACCGTCCTGCAACACTAACGTTTTGTGAAGTAAAATGATAGTGCCAAAGGGCAAATATTTTTCATGTAAATCATTGTCTACCATTATAACAATTTTTGAATTGATTTTTTTAGGAATCTACGAGTTTAAAAGGGAGTCTAATCTTAGGAGATAAAGAAAACCACACATACTGCATTAATATTTACTCATTGCAAAATCTTAAGAATCTATCAACATATTTAGTAACATACTGCAAAAATACCTAATAAACAATAAGGAAAGCATGTTTAAAATACAATAAATTGTTTCATTTGAATATCACAAATTAGAATTTAAAGGAATACAAATTTAAAATCCACTGTGATGTTTAGTTCAGGAGAATCGTGGGTGATGAAGCAGTTTCAAACACGTTGGGTTTTAATGTATGACAATATTTTGATTTTACTGTTCATCTTGCTATATAATATCTCTGCCTGAGGCTACAAAAAGCATCCCATTTTAGATTCTTGAATAAAAATGATAAACTCAAGATATTAAAACTCTAAGAGATAAAAAGTTTCTATATAATTTACTCCAGTCAAAAGGAAAATTATTCTTTTAATCAGCTTACCAGATAAATTCTAAATTAGGCAATAGGCTTTAACAGGTTTAATAATGTCAATGCACTCACATTGCCTCTTCATAGAGGAGAAATTGTCATTAACAGCCTCCAGAAAGGAAATCAAACAGATGCTCGAATCCTAAATTTAAGAAAATGCTTAATTTAAAAGTGTGTTTAACATCTTATTTTCATTAGTAAAAGCATAACTTTTGAAATCTTTTTCTTTCCTATTTCGTTATCATCTACTGCCTTCCTGTTCTCTTGGAAATGTAAAGCTTAATGAGATATTCTTATGTAACAACAGAAGTTCTTAGAAGAAAATTAGAATGTTTGCTCCTGAAGCGATTTACAGATTAATTTGCCCAATCACCTCATACTATAAGGGAAGAAATCAAATAAACATTTTACGCAAACAGAAAGAATGACTTTTTTTTCTCCATGTCTATTATGCGGGGAGTTTCGCTGGCTTCTTTCGGTGTGGTTTGATGTTAGGCTTTTATAAGGTGACTCACGACTCAAGACGTGAAAGACATGCAGGCATCAGCAGGAGCACTTCTGGAGGCTGGTAACATGCAGACCATACTCAAAGCAGACTGTGGATCTCCAGCTATTTTTATTTCATTTTGTTTTGTCTTTGCTAAGGACTGAGAAAAGGAAACCATGGAATATTGAGGAATTATCTAAGGTTAATATCCCTTCCTTGTGTACAGACAAGCTGGGGACAACTTACACAGAAACCAGATACACTCTCCAGGCGCACACACACACACAATCACTCACAGCTAGTTAGAAGGGAAAACACAAAAAAGAAAGAAATGTGAGGGTGGAGTGTGGAGGACTTATTTCACAAAAAACTTCGACAATCTGTATTCTATTGTACATTAAACTGTATCCATTGTACTGAATTTTACATGGTTGTGAAATCATTACCCTTTTTTCACTTGGGTTATTAAGCCTTTTTGGTTCTTTGAGGATCTGTGGTTATGAATATTTACATCAAAGAATGACATTTGAAAAGCAAAGTATTATAACTGAAGCAATTTTCAAATTATTCTGAGTAGTTGGAGTTATTACAGAGGCTGCATCATTTGTTCATCTCTGTGACTGTGGCTATCATCAGCCATCATTCAGGTCCATGACAAGTTGTCTTTTTTCAAGACAGAGAAATTGTTTGTTCCAGTTGACATGATGAAAAAGGCAACTAAAGATGCTTGTAGCATGCCCACAACTCAATTGTCAGCCGACCTCGTGCACTCTGTAAAATTGCAACTTGAGAAACTCATGGGTAAGCAGTATTAATAAAAGACACAGATATCCTCACACGCAACCAAATTATGAAAGCAAAATATCTAAAAAGGAGCATAATGAAACTGTATATTTTTATCAGGATAGAAAGTCCTTGACCTAATAAAATAGAAGAAAATATTAGATGATGAAGTTCTACTTGTTACTAACTTAAGATGCAGTTCCCAGGGAGTAAACTTAATCTCTAAATTTAGGGAAAGAACAAATGTGCAATTAAGTAACAGAAATATTTCAGCCAAGAATTTAGGAGAATTCTCTTAGCCCTGGACTCCCTAACCTGCCAAAGCTAAATGAGATCTTCCAACTATACCAAACTACTGTTTGTCAGGCTTGAAAGAGTTCAGTCCACTACAGTGTCCTACATCAGAAAGCACATTGGCCTCAATAGAATGTGAATGTAGAATAAAATGTATATGGTTGCTGGAACTGAAAACAAACCTTTGCTGCATATAGAAAAGTGTTACTTGTGGAAAATTCCCTATTTAATTCCGGTCCGAAAATATCTCTGCCAGGCACACAAAGGTAATTTGAAAACAAACATATATATGTGTATATTTGTATAAGAAAATATAAATATATAAAAATATATATAAATTTATAGACTTTACTTTTTAAAAATCTGCCAAAAAATGAAGTTCATTATTTCATTATTACAGAAATGCCTTGTGTGGGGAACCAATGGCCTGAGTCACCTAAGTGATGGAAGTGGTTCTAGTCCATAGAGTGGGGCAGACTAGGGTTGGATCACACAATTTGCAAAGTGAATAATGTCATCCTTGCTAGGAGTGAAAAATAGCTACTGCTTTCTACATATGGCTAGCCAGTTTTTCCAGCACCATTTATTAAATAGGGACTCCTTTCCGTGCTGGGAAAACTGGCTAGCCATATGTGGAAAGCTGAAACTGGATCCCTTCCTTACATCTTATACAAAAATTAATTCGAGATGGATTAAAGTCTTAAATGTTAGACCTAAAACCATAAAAACCCTAGAAGAAAACCTAGGCATTACCATTCAGGACATAGGCATGGGCAAGGACTTCATGTCTAAAACACCAAAAGCAATGGCAACAAAAGACAAAATTGACAAATGGGATCTAATTAAACTAAAGAGCTTCTGCACAGCAAAAGAAACTACCATCAGAGTGAACAGGCAACCTACAAAATGGGAGAAAACTTTCGCAACCTACTCATCTGACAAAGGGCTAATATCCAGAATCTACAATGAACTCAAACAAATTTACAAGAAAAAAACAAACAACTCCATCAAAAAGTGGGCAAAGGATATGAACAGACACTTCTCAAAAGAAGACATTTATGCAGCCAACACACACATGAAAAAATGCTCATCATCACTGGCCATCAGAGAAATGCAAATCAAAACCACAATGAGATACCATCTAACACCAGTTAGAATGGCAATCACTAAAAAGTCAGGAAACAACAGATGCTGGAGAGGATGTGGAGAAATAGGAACACTTTTACACTGTTGGTGGGACTGTAAACTAGTTTAACCATTGTGGAAGTCAGTGTAGCGATTCCTCAGGGATCTAGAACTAGAAATACCATTTGACCTAGCCATCCCATTACTGGGTATATACCCAAAGGATTATAAATCATGCTGCTATAAAGACACATGCACACGTTTGTTTATTGCGGCACTATTCACGATAGCAAAGACTTGGAACCAACCCAAATGTCCAACAATGATAGACTGGATTAAGAAAATGTGGCACATATACACCATGGAATACTATGCAGCCATAAAAAATGATGAGTTCATGTCCTTTGTAGGGACATGGACGAAATTGGAAATCATCATTCTCAGTAAACTATCGCAAGAACAAAAACCAAACACCACATATTCTCACTCATAGGTGGGAATTGAACAATGAGAACACGTGGACACAGGAAGGGGAACATCACACTCTGGGGAATGTTGTGGGGTCGGGGGAGGGGGTAGGGATAGCATTAGGAGATATACCTAATGCTAAATGACGAGTTAATGGGTGCAGCACACCAGCATGGCACATGTATACATATGTAACTAACCTGCACGTTGTGCACATGTACCCTAAAACTTAAAGTATAATAATAAAAAAAAAACAGCTACTGACTGTGGAGTGTCAGTTGGCTCTCCTCTTCAGGGTTCCATGTAGGAAAGGGAAGAATGAGGTAGCTTTGGAAAAGAACCAGTGTTTAACTACTCTTTTTTTTCTTTTTTTTTTTTTGGTAAACTTAAAAAGTGAAAGTCAATTTTACCTATTCACAGATCTCCATTCAAATGATATAAATACTACTTTATAGTGAAAATAAAGGAATCTTTCAAAATATTTTGGTAAAGAAAAAGTTAAAACATTATTTATGAGGATTATTTGATTTCAGATTAACTTCTCTGTTTGCAGATGACATCATTCTGTATCTAGAAAACCTCATAGTTCTGGCCCCAAATCTCCTTCAGCTGATAAACAATTTTAGCAAGGTTTCAGGATACAAAATCCATGTACAAAATCACTAGCATTCCTATCCTATACACCAACAACATCCAAGAAAAGAGCCAAATCGGAAAAGCAATCCCATTCACAATTCCCTCAAAAAGAATAAAATATCTAAGAATACAGCTAATTAGGGAGGTGAAAGATCTCTAAAATGAGAATTACAAAACACTGCTAAAAAGAAACAGAGAAGACACGAACAAATGGAAAAACATCCTATGCTCATGGACAGGAAGAATCATTATTATTAAAATGGCCATACTTCCCAAAGCAATTTACAGATTCAATGCTATTTCTGCCAAACCACCAATGATATTCTTCACAGAACTAGAGAAAGCTATTTTAAAATTATTCTGGAGCCAAAATAGAGCTCAAATAGCCATAGCAATCCAAAGCCAAAAGAACAAAGATGGAGGCATAACTCTAGGCGACTTCAAATTATGCTGTCAGGCTACAGTAACCAAAACAGAATGGTACTGGTACAAAAATAGGCACATAGACTAATGGAATAGAGTAAAGAGCCCAGAAATAAGGCCACACACCTAAGACCATCTAATCTTCAACAAAGCTGACAAAAACAAGCAATGGGAAAAAGGCTCCCATTCAATAAATGGTGCAGAGATAACTGGCTAGCCATATGCAGAAGACTGATGCTGGATTCCTTCCTTATACTATATACAAAAATCAACTCAAGATGTATTTTACTGGGCACAGTGGTTCACGCCTGTAATCCCAGCACTTTTGGAGGCCGAGGTGGGAGAATCACTTGAAGTCAGGAGTTCAAGACCAGCCTGGCCAACACGGTGAAACCCCATCTCTACTAAAAATACAAAAATTAGCTGGGCATGGTGGCATGCACTTGTAATTCCAGCTACTTGGAAGGCTGAAGCACGAGAATCCCTTGAACCCAGGAGGCAGAGGTTGCAGTGAGCCAAGATAGCGGCACTGCACTCCAGCCTGGCAGCAGAGAGAGACTCTTTCTAAAAAAAAAAAAAATCAACTCAAGATGAATTAAAGACTTAAATGTAAAACCCCAAACTAAAAACCCTAGAAGACAACCTAGGCAATACCATCCTGGATATAGGAAGAGGCAAAGATTTAATGACAAAGACACCAATAGCAATTGCAACAAAAGCCAAAATTGACAAATGAAATCTAATTAAACTAATGAGCTTCTGCACAGAAAAAAAAAAAACTATCAACAGAGTAAACAGACAACCTACAGAATGGGAGAAAATGTTTGCTAAGTATGCATCTAACAAAGGTCTAATATCCAGCATCTATTAGGAACTTAAGCAAATTTACAAGAAATAAACAAACAACCCCATTAAAAAGTGGGCAAAGGACATGAACAGATATTTTTCAGAAGAAGACATACGTGTGGCCAACAAGCATATAAAGAAAAGCTCTATATCACTGATCATTAGAGAAATGCAAATCAAAACCTCAATGAGATACCATCTCACAACCACTCAGAATGGCTATTATTAAAAAGTCAAAAAACAAATTATGCTGGCAAGGTTGCAAAGCAAAGGGAACACTTATCCACTGCTGGTAGGAGTGTAAATTAACTCAACCATTGTGGAAAGCAGTATGGTGATTCCTCAAAGAGTTGAAAGCAGAACTACCATTGAACTCAGCAATTCCAACACTGGGTATATACTTAGAGGAATATAAAGCATTCTCTCATAAATATACATGCACGTGAATGTTCACTACAGCACTATTCACAATAGCAAATACGCAGAATCAACCTAAATGCCCATTGACAGATTGGATAAAGAAACTGCGGTACATATACACACCATGGAACACTATGCAGGCATAAAAAGGAACGAGATTATGTCCTTCGTGGGAACATGAATGGAGCTGGTGGCTATTATCCTCAGCCAATTAATGCAGGAACAGAAAAGCAAATACAGCATATTCTCACTTATAAGGGGGAGCTGAGTAATGGGAACTTTTGAACACAAAGAAGGAAATAACAGACACTAGGGTTCTCTTGAGGGTGGAGGTTGGGAGGAGAAAGAAGAGCAGAAAAGATATCTACTGGGTACTGGGCTAAATTCCTGAGTGATGAAATAATCTGTACAACAAACCCCAGTGACATGAGTACCTATGTAGCAAACCTTCACATGTACCCCCAAACCTAAAATAAAACTTAAAAAAAAAGTCCTGTTAGCATAGCCAAGAACATACAATAACCACCCTCAAATGGTAAATTATTGAATTGAAAACTTGGAACACATTCACCATGAGTAACCTGAATTCATGAGGATAAGATTTTTTTTTTTTTTGAGATGGAATATCTAGCTCTGTCCCTCAAGCTGGAGTGCAGTGGCACGATCTTGGCTCACTGCAACCTCCACCTCCTGGGTTCAAGCAATTTTCTTGTCTCAGCCTGCTGAGTAGCTGGGATTAGGGACCGTCACCACACCGGGCTAATTTTTGTATTTTGGTAGGGGCGGGGTTTCACCATGTTGGCCAGGTTGGTCTCGAACTCCTGACCTGAAGTGATCCACCCACTTTGGCCTCCCAAAGTGCAGGGATTACAGGAGTGAGACACCACGCCTGGCCCAACTCCAGTATATATTATAAATACAAAGAAGATAGAAAAACTAAGATATTTCTGAGGAATGCAAGAAACAACTATGGTCAGAAGAATGATACCCTGATGTCTTATGTCTTTGTCTTCCTCATGCTAATTCATATCAGGTCATTGATAACTTAGATACATCATCCAAAATAATATTTCAGAGTTGAGAAAATTTGCTGTGATTCTGAAAGATATTTGCTGGTGCTTTTGACTTTTAGGTACTCTTAGATCCTGCTTTCTCTACTTTATCAATTCCAATTTCAATTCCATTTGACTCCATTAAGTTTATTTTTATTTTTATATTCTTACAGCAAGCAGGTTGCTATGCCTAATGTTTCAGGGAAAGAAGAGGCAAGTAAGACACATACTCTACTCTTAAAACTTTTAGTTTATTAGTAACAATCAAAAGTTCAACACTAATATATTTCAAGAAGAATATATATAGTATGAAAGAAATCTAATAAAAATGTTATAATAATTTTTAAATAATCAAATAACAAATAAAATTTCCTAACCTAAATGGTGCCTCTAATTAAATTGAAAAAATGCTTGTCTCTTCTTTGCCTCAAGTTTACTTCCATTTCCTTGAAAACTATCATAACACATATGCACATGCAAGTGCTGCCTCCCTGAGCTCTGTACAGCTATATACAGTGGCCATAAAATAAAATTAAAAATCTATATTTATATACATATAAACATATGTATATTTATAAATATATATATAAAGATACACGCACACACATAAAGGAGAGAACATGAAACAAAATGCCCTTAGGGAACAAAATAAGTGACTTACCCCCAAGATATGATACATTTATTACAAAGTATGTTCCTTATTATCAAGGGGGATTTTTAAAGAACTCTTATTCAAAAGCTCAGCAAACTCTTGAAGTCATTCAAATAGAATTACCCTTGAACAATGTGGAGGTTAGGGTTGCCTTGAAAAATGTGTGCCAAGCCTTGCACAGTGGAAAATGTGAGCACAACTTTTGATTCCCCAACAACTTAACTCTCAATAGCATACTGTTGGCCAGGAGTCTTGCCAATAACATAATTGTCACTTAACACACATTTTGAATGTTATATGCATTATATACTGTATTGTATTACAATGAAGCTAGAAAAAAGCTAAGGCTATTAAGAAAATCATAAGGAAAAGAAAATACATTTATCATTTATTAAGTGGGAGTGTATCGTAAAGATCTTCATCCTCACCACCCTCACATTGAGCAGACTGTGGAAGAGAAAGGGGAGGGAGGAGTTGGTCTTACTGTCTCAGGACTGGCAGAAGCAGAAGAAGTGGAAGGGGAGTCAGGAGAGGTAGACACACTCAATGTAACTATGAAAATACATCCTAATTTATGTTTTACATTTTTGCTTTTTCATTTCACTAAAAATATTGTATATAATACCAATCATTCTTCCACCATTTTCTTCAGTTTCAGTGCCCAAATCATAGAAAGGTCCATGTGGTAAAAGAAGTCAAAAGTGTTTTTGAATAATTGGAACCTTTCTGCCAGATTATCTTGTGTCAATTTGTTTCTTGGCATTGCTTCTTCTACATCTTCTTCCTCATCTTTGGGCACTGATTTGGAAGCATTCATCTCCATCAGATCGTCTTTTGTTAATTCCTCTGATGTGGTGTCTATTAGATCTATATCTTGAAATCCATCACCCTCCACCTTTTTGTCATAGCACAAACTCTGTCATGATTTTCTTGATTCTCTCATAAATCCTATGAAACGTGTACATCAGGACACAGTTTCTCCAGCAGGAATTTATTATTTTTGAGGCTTTCATTGCTTTTTCTATAACAACTATGGAATCTTCAATGGTATAATCCTTCCAGCCTTTCATGATGTTCTCTTTACCAGGGTTCTCTTCCACAATATTGATGATCCTTTTCTTAGAGTACCATGTGTAATGAGACTTAACGTTCCTTGTCACTACCTGACAAAGTGTTTGGGAATTTGTAGACCACTTCAGTGCTTTTGGTGTTGAACTCATGGAGTTCTGGATGGCCAGGGGCATTGTCTAATATTAACAGAATTTTGTAGGGAAGTTCCTTGCTGGCAAGCTACTTCTGACTTTGGCGACAAAGCATCAATGGAACCAATACAGAAAAAAAGGGGTTTCATTCAGGTTTTCTTATAGTACAAGCAAAAGATTGACAGCTCATGTTTATCTTTTCCCTTCAAAGCTTGGGGGTTAGTAGCTTTATAGATAAGGACAGTTCTGATCATAAACCTGACTGCATCTGCACAAAGCAATAGAGAATCTATTCCTTCCTGCCTTAAATCCTGGTGCTCACTTCTCTTTCTTATTAATAAATATCCTTCGTGGCATTTTTTTTCCAGAATAGAATACTTTCAAGGGCATTAAAAACATATTTGGGCAGATATCCATTATCCTCAATGATTTTCTTAATGGTATCTGGGAACTTGTCTGCTGTCTCTTGGCCAATAGAAGCTTGTTTTCCTATTATCTTGACTTTTTTTTTTTTTTTTTTTTTTTTTTTTTTTTTTTTTTTAGCGTCTCGCTCTTTCAGCAGGCTGAAGTGCAGTGGCGTGATCTTGGCTCACTGCAACCTTCACCTCCCAGGTTCAAGTGATTCTCTTGCCTCAGCCTACCAAGTAGCTGGGACTACAGGTGTGTGCCACCACACCCGGCTAATTTTTTGTATTTTTAGTAGAGACGAGGTTTCACCATGTTAGCCAGGATGGTCTCGATTTACTGGCCTCATGGTCTGCCCACCTCGACCTCCGAAAGTGCTGGGATTACAGGTGTGAGCCACGGCACCCGGCCTGTCTTGACATTTTTAAAGCTAAACCTCTTTCTAAAATTGTCAAGCCATCCTTTGTTGGCATTAAATTCTTCAGTTTTAGATTGTTCACCTTCCTTTTGCTTTAAGTTGTCATATAATCACTTCTCCTCACATCATATGAGAATCTATAGGTATATCTTTATTACAGCAATCCTACACCCATATACACACTGCATTTTCAGTATAAGATAAAAAGGTATTTCACAAAAAGTGCAAGATTTCAATGCATGCTACCATAGCTGCAGCTATGGATTCATGAATTTCTTCTTCTTTTTTTATACAGTGGTCCTTATGCTGATTCATTTATCTTTGACATGGCAGGCAATTGTAGTTGAAGACCCCAGTATATGGTACATATCAATCCATGAAACTTTTTCTTGTAATGTCTTGACTTTTCTCTGCTTCTTATGAGCATTTCCAGCATCACTAGTGGTACTTCGCTTGGGTCCATGGTGTTATTCAAGGTTTGTGGTATTGCACTAAATGTGATGAAAAACATATGCTAGAACCATAAGAGATCATTTTTACTGTGATACGTAATTCACTGGAGAGATGAACTGTTCACAGGAAGACAGTTAGCATCATACAGCATTTTAGGGGATGCTCACAACACTTGAGCTCACCTCACTAGCAACAGGAAGTGGTTATAAAATTATTGACAGTAGTATGTAGTATGTACTACATTTAATTTTATGTAGTTATAATTTAATACTGTATATTTACATATTTTTACATTTGTTTTGACTGCAAATGGTACTGTGTATGCTCTTAAGTATTTATGTGTATGAGTTTTGATAAAATTTAACTTTTTATAATAGATTTGTGTGTATTTATGGTAGTAAATATTAATAGAGAGTAGTATCTACACATACTTCATTTTTATTTATTTTTTGAGATGGAGTCTCACTCTGTCACCCATGCTGAAGTGCAATCTTGGCTCACTGCAACCTCTGTCTCCCAGGTTCAAGCAATTCTCTTGCCTCAGCCTCCCAAGTAGCTGGGATTAAAGGCATGTGCCACCATGCCCAGCTAATTTTTCTATTTTTAGTAGAGACACGGTTTCACTATGTTGGCCAGGCTGGTCTCGAACTTCTGACCTCAAGTGATTTGTCCCCCTCAGCCTCCCAAAATGCTGGGATTACAGGCGTAAGCCGCTATGCCTGGCAATATCTATACAAATTTCATGCATTCATAACACCTAACTTTAAAAAAATTTTCAATATTTTTAGGCTACATGGTTTACTTGCAGGTTTTTTCAGTATGTTGCAAATATCCAAAAAAGCTTTCCAACATATTTATTAAAAAAATCTGCGTCTATATTGACTCACACAGTTCAACCCCATGCTGTTCTTCAAGGGGCAACCATACTCTAATACTGGGAATATTGTTTTTTTTTTTCCTATTGCTTTTACACACAAAAACTAGAACATTTCTGTAAGTGGCATTTATCAATGCCTCCATTGATTAAAATAACAAAAGTCATCCACCCTGTTTTGTACAAAATTTCAATGTTCAAGTGAACCTTTTCCAAAACAAGGGAAACATGACTAGCAAAAAGGTTTCAGCTCTAATAGCAAACTTCTAGCTTGCTATTATTTCAAAATAGAAATAAATAACTCAGTTTTAAAGAAAGATGTTTTACTTTCAGACATTTAATATTTTCTCCATTCTGACCTAAATTATATTTTCACCTTTTTCACAATTTGTGTTGTACATATTATTTAACTCAAATTAGTGTTCTAGATATTAGAAACTATTTTTGAACCATAGCAGCTACACAGAGTCAGCTGGAGATTACTCACAATAGATAACTTCATATTAAGGGTGAGACCCTCCAGAGCTTTTGTCTTTAGTCATGAAGGTGGAAGTTATTTATTTGCCATATTCTAACAATGGAAGGTCAGACCATTGTGTAACACATTTACTGTTTTATTCATGCTATTATAAAGTAGGTCTTTTGCCTGGGAAAAAACAAAGACAAATCTTTGTAAATAGCTACAGAAACCTGGAAATACCATAAAACAGTTCTGGAATCTTTTCTCTTGTTTCTGGCACACAGATCTCATTTGGCAGTTTCCATGAATATTGCACAATTACTGCTTTCTGTGTAGTTCAAGGAAACAATGATGTGGCATTACTGAGGTTGTTCTGGACCTAAGAAAGAATTCCCAGAGCTGGGCACTGATAAAGGGTCTAGATGGAAACGGGAGCCAGGAGAAGGCTTGTTTTAAGAAAGCTAAGTCAAGTCACCTCTGGGACACTGGGAGAGGCAAAAGTATAGCAGGAATGCTAGAAAGCCTTTGTAAATGCCGCTTCATTAATCCTCACTCTCCCTAATTTTCTCTCACACACATTCTAAAACCTAAAACTAAACTGAAAAGCTCTGGTATTCTCAGGTGCCTTCTCGGTCACAGGATTATTGAGGAAGAAAAAAAGCCAACTTCACTACTGATTCAAATTTACTCGTAACCTAGAAATGGCGTGGGAACAGGTATAGATTTGGAATTTCCTTCTGGTCCTATTTACTGTAAAATATAATAAACAAAATCTTAATAAGCTTTTGCAGTAAAGCACATCTATGGAGATATAGGGTGTTTTTTTGTTTTCACTTTTTGAAAAACAAATTGGAAAGCATTAATATTTTGATAACTTATAAAATTCTATATTTATCTCACATCAGTGTAAATGTAATGTTCAATGTTGAAAAGTGGCCATTTCATAGTGATGCTAATGACTACCCTAATAGTTTGTGAGCTGAAATTTGAGATTAAAAAAGTTTTCTTTTATGAAATTGATACATGGAAAATTCAATGATCCTTTAATCTAACTAAAACACATTATAAACATCTTATCCTCGGTCCACATTGCATGGCAAAATTTCTTATGCGAATGAGAGTTGTTTACTTTTATAACATCGTGCAGAATTTAAGTAAAAATTTGGGCATATACTGAGGCATTGGGCATATACTGAGAGGCATATACAAAGAAAATATACTATTTCTATACTATAAGACTTTATAATTTAATTTAGGAATGTGTTAATTTAGTTCCTCCAAGAAGCAGACGCCAAGACAGAGTTAGATACGTGAAATATTTACTGGGGTTGGGGAGAAGGAATGCCAGAGAAATAAAGAGGATGCAGAAATAGGCATGAAGAGACTTCAGAGTTAAGGCAGACCTGACACCTATGAGAAGAGAGAGGGAACTAAAAAAGATTGGTCAGAAAGTGCTGTATTGCAGTCCTGAGTAGTACCAATCAGACTGACGGGGAGTTCTCAAGATGAGTTATGCATCAGGGGAGTTCCATATCTTACAGGAATGGTCCTGAACTATCCCCAGCATGTGCAGTCATTGACTAAGAGCAGCCCAAGGGAATAATGGCTTTAGTGCAAACACTGCAGTTTATCCAGACAGGAGTCACTTGGAAGAATTGTGCATTTTCCAGGATAGGCTACTCTTTCTATCATGCAAACTTATTTCTCCACAGAGATACAGACAGCAAATCCTTGTTAGTTCCTGTGGACTTCTCCTTTTGAGGAAAATTTAGAAAAAAGAAAGGCAATGAGATGAAATGTAGCCCCTCCTGTAGTTTCAATTGAATTCTTACTTGTCTGTATGTTGTCTGGCATTGGTTACACAAAAGCAAGTGTTCACATCCTGTTTCATTAATGCTCATGGCAGCTCTGCAATGGAATTAGTCTCCCATACTAAAAACAAACAAAAGCAATACAACAAGAAAGCAAGGAAAAGAAAGAGAAAAAATGGAAGAAGAAACACATAATGAAAATTCAGAAATGAATGCTTACTGTTGGTTATTGGAGAGAAAAAAATGTCACTTAATTTCTAGGAATCATGACCCTGACTGTTAAAATGTGCAGTAATTAGAAAAGTTAGTTCTAAATTCTAATAAAATGCAACAGTTTTGGGTAAGAGAATACACTTCATTAAGCCTGATTAACATAATTTAAAAAGCTGGTTGATTTAAATTTTTAAAAAGAAAAGGAGATGTAGAAGAAGAGCTAATGTAAAAAAAGAAACAGAATGCCACATATATGGAAGGCATTCTTTGTAAGTATACATCTTGGAAGTATACCACTCTTTGTAAGATGATTTCTTACAAATCAATCTATAATCAAGCTTATCTGTGTTATTATCTTTATTTTCCATTTCTATATCTGTATCTAACTACTTTATATATAAAGAGATGAATAAACACTGTATTTCTATTCCCATGGCTTTCTCTTTCTATTTGCTTTGATTTGCCTTTAAATTTTTACTGTGGTTCCCTTTGAATACATCAATATCATGCCAGCATAAAAGATGAAAAGGAATTATGAGGCAAAGAAAGAGCCACAGAGATAGAGATGTTAGAGCCTTAAGTCTGATTCCCTCTAACTCAAGGTTTTCTCTTTTATATTGCTAACTCTTATATACACTGTATGATCTTCTTTTTGGCTTTGAGAGCATTTTTCTCTTCAAACTAATTAATATGTTGATTTATACATGTTTCTGAGATGAGTGTTGGGGGCGGATTTAATTAATGTGTTACTTCTTTCTCAACCAGGGTGTTAAAAAAAAAAGAAGTTTGATCTAACATTTGTTTACAAACCATATTAGAAAATACTTTTCTAGGTTCTTGTAATTCCAGCTACTCAAGAGGCTGAGGTGGGAAGATCGCTTGAGCCCAGGAGTTCAAGGTCACTCTAGGCAATATAGTGAAACACCATCTCTAAACATATATGTATTTTTATATATCTATCTCTATATATTTATGTATTACTATTTAATCATTATGACATCTTAATGATCTAGATTTTTGTCACTTTAGTTTATGTGAGAAAACACCTAAGTTTATTAATTTCAGACTAGACTTAACTGCACGTAAAAAATTATGCTACATATCTTTGGCTGTCTTCCACAGTACCGCACGTTAAGACCAGCCCAACATGTAGCTAACATAACCGATGTTGAGAATGTGAGCTTCTTAAATTTTTCCTGTACATACTACTATAACTCAAAGATGGGACAAAGAGAGAAAATTTATAGTACCCACAATATTACCACCTAAATAAGTTAGGTAATTCTAATAGGCAAATGTATTTGACAATTTTTTTTTTTTTGAGACAGAGTTTCGCACTGTCGCCCAGACTGGAGTGCAGTGGTGCTATCTCTGCTCACTGCAACCTCTGCCTCCCGGGTTCAAGCAATTCTTCTTCCTCAGCCTCCGGAGTAGCTGGGATTACAGGAGACCACCACCATGCCCAGCTATTTTTTTTTTTTTATTTTTAGTAGAGATGGGATTTCACTATGTTTGCCAGGCTGGTCTTGAACTCCTGACCTCATGATCCACCCGCCTCAGCCTCTCAAATTTCTGGGATTACAGGCATGAGCCACCACACCTAGCCGACAATTTTTAATATGATTAGTGTGTGTGCTAACAACAATAGATACATTATTGTTTTTAAGTGCCTTTTTCCCACTGATATGTATTTGATACTTTTCATGTCAATAAATGTGTATCTACATTGTCACTCACACTGAGTGAATGTTATTCTATTGTATGTCCTACATTATTTATCAATCAAGGGATTTCATACATACCATTGTTAAAATGAGGCCATTAAAGTAGGGTAGATCCCTAGTTCTATATGAGTGATATGCTTACAAGAAGATGGCCACGTGAAGGCAGAGACTTATAGGAAGAACATTATGATACATCCAAAGCAGAGATTGCATTGATGCAGCTACAGGCCAAGAAACACGAAAGATTGCCAGCAAAACGTTAGAAGCTAGACTAGGCAAGGAAGGATTCCCCTGCATGTTTCAGAGACATCATTGACCTGCTGACACCTTGATCTTAGAATTCCAGTCTCCAGAATTTCTGTTGTTTTAAGCCACCCAATTTTTGTACTGTTACAACAGCCCAAACAAACTTATACAAGTGACAACACCAAAACTATTATTTATAATAAAGACGCCAAAGTTTCTCTAGTTAGAATTCCATAATACAAACCCATTGTAAACATGAACCTCTGTAATGTACGGAAAATAGAAACCAAGAAATAAAGATGATATTCCACATCTTTGTTTAATTTGGGATCATGGATGTTTTTGATGTTTGAAACTTAGAGAGTATGATATTGACTAAAACATTGCATCCCAAATTTCTTCAAAAGATACCCAACCAAATAAAGAGGATTAGTTATAAATCTTATATGAAGGCCTTGTTATCTCCAATTGATACCCTTAAGAAAGTATGCAAGTACATCTGTTCCATTATTACAAAATATCTCATTTGGATAATTGAATGAAGAGTATAATGTAAGAAAGTTTTATGTTTTAAAGCAAGCTAAAAGACATAAAGATATGGACAGAGCCTCTCAGTACAATACAGAGCAGAAATCATGGAACCATTAGCATTTAAGGGAAGACTACAATAAGGCTATTAAAATATAACAGGAATAAAGCCTGCTCGATTTAACAGAGATATCTATATTAAGAATGGTTCTTAAAAAATACGGGTAGAAGTTGCTGGCCTTCAGAAAGCTTTTATTGTAGTGACAATAACCTCACTCCAAGCTGAGCAAATTGCTTGATGAAAGCAAGTGCGGCAATAACCTTCAGCTCCTTCAGTCTGCAGAAAAATACTAAAAACAAAGAAAACAAAAATCTCTAAACTTGAAGTTTTCAAACTATGGGTCAAGGCACCTGGAAAAAAACTCAGCAAAGTAAGCAAAGTGCTCTGCAGTATTTTACATTTCCAAGGGAAACATAACTACCTTTGTTGGACACAGCATAAGCTACTATCTTGAGGTAGTTTATAGTTTCAACATTAAACTAATTTTCATAATGACATATATTTGCAGAGCTGGATTTTAACAGTTTGCCTGATAAAAAAACAAACACAAGTATCGTATGAAAATTTATCTGGGATAGGTAATGCATGGTGATGTCCAATAGGACTCAAAGATTTGAAAAGTTGTACAGTGATCAAAACATGCTCAGTTGTTAAGACATAAATACTTATCAAGATGTTAGAATTAACTACTGTTTAAAATAAACTGTTAGGGTTTGTTTAGGTTTAAGGATTCCATGAAAAACATTACTAACATGCTAAGTGCACCCTGAAGCAAGATGATGTGGAGACCTTCAGAGTAAATGTTAAAAATATTTTATACAAGAGTGATGGTTGTTATTCCCCAGCTATTCTGGAACCTTATAAGCCTAATTGCCTAAAATAAACTCAACGATTCAGCCAAGGGAAGCACCTAGGAAATGGAACTTTTCTCCTTGAAGTTTATATTTTATTAAACAGAAAAATCTGGTTTTATAAAATCTTTTAAATCTTAGATTTTAAGTCGTAAATTGTAAAATATCACATTTTTTCCCAATAGAAGATCAGTTAGCCATGATTTTTAATCTTTTTGAAATATTGCAGATTAAAAACAACAACATTGTATCATCAGTGTTGTCAAATACAGTGTTCTATATTGGAGGGTGAAAACTGTTTCAGCATTTTGAGCAGAATATATGAGTGCATACATAAAAACATCTATATTCTTTACCAATTGTGTATTTTGTTAAATTTATTCTAAGAAAATGATCAAATGAGTATTCATGTAAGTATATTAATTTCAACACTCTTTATAGAAGAAAAAATGGAAGTAAAGCCATTATCTACTTATAGGGAATCTCTTGAATGAATACTGTCATATATATGAAACATGTTTCTCATATATAACATATCAAATATATGACATATTTTTTATACATATGATATGTTATTTATATTTGTTGTTGTCCATGCTGAAAAATAAAAATGATTTTATGTATTTTCACAGAGAGAATGTATATATATTTGGAATAAAAAAGTATTAACTTGATCTTATAAAAATACAAATTACCTGATTGTAATCATAGAACTAGAAGAAGGATTCAGAGAAAATAATATTAAAATATAAGTACCATTATTTTGCTAATATATAGTATACACACTTTCACTTTTGATGATTAAACATGAAATACATAGAGATAGCATATTTAGAAACAGAAAATATACAAAAGATCCAATCTAAAAATGTGACTTTTTTTTTGCCTTCTTTGTGGTTGGTATTATACAAGGATTCGAAGGGGTTCAAACAAGCACTTTGAGACATAGTTCTTGAGGAGTTAGCATAAAAACATTACTTAAATATTCTCCTCATCCCATCCCTTATTTAGAAAATGCCTCAGTGAATGTGTACAGCTCTGATATAAATATTTACACATGAATGGAAAATGACTATGTGCACTGGTGTGTGTATATATATATATATATATATTATTTGCACATTATTTATATTTATATGTTTATATGTCTGTTTCTCCAACTAGCCTGTGAGCTGCTTATGGTGAATGTTATGTCTTATTCCATGCCCAACCCCTGGCACATTGAGGTGCTAAATAAGTATTTGTGAAATGGAACAAGACACGGTCTCTGCCTTCAAAAAGCCTATAATCTAGAACATCTGTAAATCTAAATAACTTAACCTTATCAAATACTGAACACATTTTTAAAAATAATTTATCTGTATATAAAGAATATGAACTTTTGCATTCTGTAAGCCTAAATAACAATCGAGGAGAGTAAATTGCAAAAATAGTAAATAGTATAGTAAGCAGCAGCATTTTTTTTAAAAAAGCAAAACTTATAGAGAATGTATATTTTTAGAAAAAGGGAAGCGATAGAGCAGCTGAAATTCTGAAGAGAAGGTGAATGTATAGAGGGATCAGTGACGTTAGAAAACTGCGACTTTTCCAGATGACCAGAGAAGCAAAATGGAACATGGTATTCCCCAGAGGTCAGTGTGGTCTCAGCAGCTGGTGATACTGCTGTTGGAAACACTACCAGATGCCTCTTTATTAGGCAGCAGGAGCTCTGCTCTCAGACACATTGCCACTTCTTGCCATTATGGCAGCAACTCACAGTAAGCCATAGTCACATGCTGCTCCTGTAAAGAGAAACCCAGGAAGTGTGCTGCTGAGAATGCTGGAGTACACCTCTCACTACTGTTGTTGGAACCACGCTGTCTGAGCAGGCACCTCGGAGTCTGTACTTACCTGGCATTTATAGAGCTGTTTACAGACACCAAAAATAAATGGCTCATCTTTTCTCCCCCATGTGCAGTACTCTGCCAGCGGCTCTCACTGGAAGACTCTTTAACTTGAAGTCAATTTGCAAATGAGTCTAGATAACATAGTTTGTTAGCCTCTATACTTCCTATGGCACAGAGGAGAACACAGAACAGTGATAAAATTGAGAGCTAGAAAACCAGCACACCTCATAATGAATAGTATGCAAATTTATACACAAATAAATTTTATCACATGGAAATATGTTCAAAATATTTTTCTATTTAAAATTAGCAGTTGCAAGAATAATATGTACATAAAACATATTAATCGTATCATCTATATTTCTCAAAAAAGATTAAATCTGGGAAAGTGAAAATATATAAAGATGTTTGTAATCATTTAATTTACATGATTTGCATATTTATAAGTATATATTTGATTTACACACTTAATATAACATATGTTCTATATCAGTGCAAAAAGATCTGATTAATTCTTTCTAGAAGCATTATAAGCTACTGTTTATGAACTGCTTTCACCATGCTGTATATATTCCAAGAAAAATAATTTACCTTTTATTGACAAATATTTATTGATAAGAAAATATTTATGATCTGATTAGGGCATGATCTGAACTTGTACCATGTGTATATGCATAAATGCCAGGTAAAACATATTTTTGTACAAACGCTTACAGTCTCCTTTGAAATCCCTGCTGCTAGAGAATTCAAGACTTGCCTGCTCAACTTTTCCCTATACTTTAGGGTGAATGTGTCTTTCAGAGTGGTTTTGAGACTTTGTAAAACAGAATCTGGAAAATGGAAGAGAAAGTAAATGAAATCCATATGAGGCAAATGATAGAACATGTAATAAGGAGAAGCATAAAGAAATAGAAATAAAAAGAAAGAAAAAGAGAAGCCTGGCCAGAAATACTAAGTTCACCCTTCACCTAGAAATACTAAAATATATTTAGGCAGATTAGAACATGAACTACAGGGAAGTGAGTTCAAAGTATGCATATGGGAATACTTTGACATAGAAATGAGCAGATATACTTTAAAGGAGTGCTTTCAAAACAGCTTTTGCAGGGGCAAAAATGAACAAATAACGAAACAGCAACAACAAAAAGCAAAAGGAGTAACTACCAGCAATTGGTTAGTGAAGAGGAAAAATAAAAATCTCATAGGACAAAAGTCAATTGCAGGTTTGGAGGACTTATTTCAGAACCAAAACAATTAAATGAAATACTATCAGAATACATGAACTTTGCAAAACTGAGAGAAGATATTATGAATTTACAACTACCATAAAATGCACTAAAATTGTAAAAATTAACAAAAGTAATGTACAGTTCACACAGACCTATTGTACAATCTCAAGAAATGAAAGTGCACACATATCAAATGAGGAAATCCACCTCTAAAAGACAATCTTGGGAAAAAGGAAATTATAATTCAAACAGAATTATATATACTCAAAGGAGTATTTGTGGATATAAAAAAATCACCTTGAATTGGAAAGTCAAAAACTATATAAGGCAAAGAATGTTAACTAAACTCAGGAAAGAAAAGAAAGAAAAAATAATAAGAAATGAGGAATAAATGCCAAGGTGCTCAAGGGAGAATAGAGTGAAATAAAATGTAATAGGAACATTAGGGAAAGACAGGAAAACAACCAAAGGAATGAAAATAATAAAGAAATATGCAAAGTGGGTTATAGAAAATGTAGTAGAAATACTAGTTGGGAAAAAGAAGAGTGATATTAATATTAGCAGAGAACCTGAAGAATCAAAACAATAGAAAAGAGTCAATATTTAAAACCATAATTCAAGAAAACCTTTAAAAAAGTTGAACAATGCTTGGATCTATATATTGAAAGGGACTGCCAGTTAACTTAGAAAATCAACTCATAATAATCATCTATGAAACACATTCTACTAAAATTATTGAATTTTATAGAAGATAAAATCCTCAATGCCTTTAGGCAAGAAGATCAAATAACTTGAAGTGATAAAAGAATTGACTATCAACAAACTTTTCAAAACCCAAATGCAAAACACGGCAGCAAGAGAGCAGCATTTTTATAAAGCTCAGTAAAAGAAAGTGTGTACTAAGGATTTTATATGCACCCAAGCTGTCCTTCAAATATCAAGGCTATAGAAAAATTTATGATAGAAGATTTAGGGAATTCTGTACCCAGCAGCTCTTCTAGAGTAACATTTATCATTTTAGTCCAGGAGGAAATATCATCAGACCTAGGCCTTTAAGAGTGTAATTAGAAAAGTGTCAGCTGTAGTTCTTCTCCAGTAATGCCATGTAAAATAACATATTTGCCGGTTTCCAGGATTACAACATGGACATCGTAGGGAAGGCATTATTTAACCTATCACAGCTGGATTTATGTTCATTTATAAGGTCCCACCTTTAAATCTGGGAGTTAACTAAGTAACTAGAATAAAGGAAAAAAAAATAATATGTATGCTAATATGATTTTAATTTCTACTTAATTTTTAATTTTAATACTTTATAATTGTTTCTTAATCAGAAATTTATTAAGTGCTGTTAAATGCTAGTTAGTTAATTGAATTATATAATCTGTGGAAAATTATTTTTGAAAAAAACAATAGCAAAACATGCACTAGATTGAGTCAGAACACTTAGACTATGTTCCCACTTCCACCAGGATTAGTCTGAGTGATCTTGTATCCTCAACTCTTAATATCTCTAGGCCTCAGTCTCCCCTTGAATTGCGTAATATATTTAATTAGATCAGTGATTTTCACACTGTGTTCTGTGAAGGCCTAGGACTTAGTGGAAACATTAAGGAGAATAAGCAGGGAGGGCTTATTCCTTTATGTTTTATATATCAGGTTTCTGACTGATTTTATTTGATGACTAACAAATAAATATTAAAACTAGTAGGTAAAAACAATTTTAGAATACTCATATTTTCTATAAAGTTATTAGGAAAAAAAATGGAGACGAATTGTAACCAGGCAGCTTAACTTCAAAATGCATTTTAAGCTTATTTTTTCCTCTTTATTTTGGGTTTCAAGATATAACTTTGAGGTAAACTGCAGAAGCCTTTCTCCTTAGCTTTAAAATTGACTCCATGTCCCTCCCTTTCTCCCTGTAATATACTCCCTTCACATTCATCTAACTGCATTCTAGTATCTAATTATGTGCCATCTTAGAAGTTTCAGGGGCTAATCTTGACAGACCAAATATGGAGATCCAGCTGCAAAATTCCAGAGATAACTTCAAGGCAGCTAATTAACAACCCAGCCATTGTTGAGATGATGCTAGCCTGGGATCCATGTGGACTGAGACCCAGAATAGCTACCAGAACCAGACACACAGACGTCATACTCAGCACAATTCTTGTAAGCTATACCTTCCTTATCAAGCTTTTTATTCTTTTTTTTTTCTTTTCTTTTTTGAGATGGAGTACCGCTCTTGTTGCACAGGCTGGAGTGCAGTGGCGCAGTCTTGGCTCACTGCAACCTCCATATCCTGGGTTCAAGCGATTCTCCTGCCTCAGCCTCCCAAGTAGCTGGGATTACAGACGCCCATCACCATGCCTGGCTATTATTTTGTATTTTTAGTAGAGATGAGGTTTCACCATGTTGGCCAGGCTGGTCTCGAACTCCTGACCTCAAGTGATCCACCCACCTCGGCCTCCCAAAGTGCTGTGATTACAGGCGTGAGCCACCTTGCTTGGCCAAGTTTTTCTTTTTTAATCCCCTGTCTTGCCCGTAAAAACAGAAGTGATTGCTTGGGATGAGAATCCAGCCACTTCTCTTTTACTAGTTTTGGTTAGTAAAGTCACTTTCTTTCTACCAACCCCTGCTTTTGTTAATTAGACTCTGCAAGTGGAAAGTATTTGGACCTGTGTTCCATTACAGAATTCCTACTGCATATAAGACTCTAAGAATTCTGAGGATTCTTCCTCTTGAAGAATGTATAACGTGGTTGAGGAAACTTAAAAAAATAATAATAATAAAATTTAAAAAACCCCCAAAGACAAAAAAAGTGAATCCTGGACATGCAATTGTTTTAGCTGGCCAAACTTTACCTTCACCTATAAATTATGTTCATACTACCTTCTTCTTGTGTTTATTAAAAACAGTACAGAACGTAGTACAGTAAATTCCTTCTCTTTGACATTATTACAACTATATAAATTTGTCAAGGACTTTTGTAGTAAAAGCCAAGTGAACAAGTTGTGAGGACTGTCAGAAGTAAACTGTCATCCAGCACCTTCCACCAATGTCTTTGTACCACTTTGTATTCGTTTTCAAAACTTGGCAGAAACTGACAGCCACACCACCATATCTGAGCCTGCTAGCTCTCAAATCTATTTTTCTTCCTTTCTCCTGCTCTGCTCTGATGCTGAAACCTGAAGGACACATTTCCCAGGCTCTGCTGTCACCTTCTTCTGGCAGGTTGGGCTAATGGGAATCACTGGAATCTTAGCTTGTAGGGGTAAGAAAGCAAATGATGAGCCAGGATGTTTTTCTCTTCCCTCTCTTCCTTGGGGAACTTCTTTGGAAGCTCCTGTATCGATCTGTGGGTCCTACTTCCTCTGGATAGGTCCACCCTATTTTCAGTTCCCATCACAGGATCCAACCTCCAGACTCTGGTAACACTAAATCCTTCTCCCTTTCTTTCCTTCAGACCAAGAGTGGCCCAGAAATCCCATTTCTGGGTATATGCTCAAATAAAATGAAGTCACTATCTTAAAGAAATATTTTCACCTGCACGTTCTTTGTAGCATTATTTACAATAGCCAGGGTTTAGAAACAACCTATGCGACCTTTGATTAATAAAGAAATGTGGTGTATGTATACAATGAAATATTATTCATCCTTAGAAAGGAAGGAAATTCTGCCATTTGCAACAACATGGTTGAATATTATGCTAAATAGAATAAGCCAGACATAGAAAGACGAACACTCTACAATCCCACTTATATGTGGAATCTAAAAACATTTAATTAATAGAAGCAGAGAGTAGAATGATTATTGTCTAGGGCTTGGGGAGAAGAGGGAAGAAGTTGGTCAAAGATTACAAACTTTCAGTTAGAAGATGAATTAGCTCTGAGGGTCTGTTAGAGCATGGTGACTATTAATATAATTAATCATACTGTATTGTATACTTGAAATTTCCTAAGAGAGTAGATCTTAAGTGTTCTCCCCATAATAATAAAAAGGTAATCATGTGAGGTGACAGATATGTTAATTGGCTTGATTGTGGTAATCATTTCACAATATATACATGCATTAAATCATCACATTGTACACCTTAAATATTTATAATTTTTAATTTCTCAATTAGATATCAAAGGTGAAAAAGGAAACAGTGCTCTTGGCATATTGCTAATCTTGTAGTTACCTCTTTTCTCTATTTTGTTTTGATAACGTCCATTGCCTGTGGAATCCATTTGTTGCATTCTGTTTCTTCTGTTTTAACTTCCAGAAGGACTTTCTGTTTTCTGTGATAGATCTAGACCAATATACTATCCTTAAAAAAGAGGGGTTCTAGTTTGCCCTACTCCTTAAGTAAGAGGCAGTTGACCTTCATTTATGGAACCCTCCCTTTTTATAGAAATCATTTCATTTATTTCCCAGGAAACTGGGGTCTAATTCAGGAATATTCTCTGGCTTAGCATGTTATGTACAGTTGCTACAGCATTAGTGGACTTTGAAAAAAATTGTAGTTCTCTGTTCTCTTTTAAGAAAAAATGCATCCTTTCAACTTGGTCTCAGTACTTTTCTACATAATGTAGTTTATAGTTTCTTGATAGAATTTTTCTTTATAAAACATATTACACTGCTTGTGTTTCATGTTTTATGGTGTGTAACTGTAGCCTGCAAAGGAATAAGATTACTGATATTTGATGAATATTCTTCCAAACCAATAAGCCAATTATTTTATGATGTAAGGAAATGTTGCTAAAATGATTAATTCCATGGAGAGTAATAGTGCAAAAGGTGACAGAATTCACAAATACATTTAGGGGACAAGTGTAAAGAGCAGTTAGGATCTTGATACATAGTGGATAGCTAACTAACCTCACCATCTTATTATGTTTATTTCTCAGAAAACTAAAAATAGAACATGTGATTTTCATAATTTAGAGAATGATTTTTTAATCCTAAATTTAGATAGAAAAATTACTTTGAAAAAATATCTTTTCTAGTTAGAGATTCAACCAGTTACTTTAAAAGGGAATTTATTTATTAATCAATTAAAAATGTGAATGTATAATTTAAAAATATTCAGCAACATACTAGGCAATATAAGAAATATAAGCTGTAGTTAGGGCCAGGTGCAGTGGCTCACGCCTGTGATCCCAGCACTTTGGGAAACTGGGATGGGTGGACCACATGAGGTCAGGAGTTTGAGACCAGCTCAGCCAACATGGTAAAACCCCGTCTCTACTAAAAATACAAAAATTAGCCAGGTGTCGTGGCAGGCACCAGTAACCCCAGCTACTCAGGAGGGTGAGGCAGAAGAATCACTTGAACCCAGGATGCCGAAGCTCCAGTGAGCTGAGATGGCACCATTGCACTCCAGCCTGGGCAACAGAGGGAGACTCTGTCTCAAAAAAAAAAAAAAAAAAAGATGTAGTTAGACACTTTTCTCACAATCTTGAATTCTAATTAAAGAAAAAGATACAAATATGGAAATATATGTAAATGGGCTAAATGGGCTAAATGCCCCAGTTAAAAGACACAGACTGGCAAATTGTATAGAGTCAAGACCCATTGGTGTGCTGTATTCAGGAGACCCATCTCACATACAAAGACACACATAAGTTGAAAATAAATGGATGGAGGAAGATCTGCTAAGCAAAGGGAAAGCAAAAAAAAGCAGGGGTTGCAATCCTGGTCTCTGATAAAACAGATGTTAAACCAACAAAGATCAAAAGAGACAAGGAAGCCAATGACATAATGGTGTAGGGGTTAATTCAACAAGAAGAGCTAACTATCCTAAATATATATGCACCCAATACAGAAGAACCCAGATTCATAAAGCAAGTTCTTAGAAACCTACAAAGAGACTTAGACTCTCACACAATAATAATGGGAGACTTCAACACCCCACTGTCAATATTAGACAGATCAACGAGACAGAGAATTATCAAGGATATTCACCTCTGGACCAAGTGGACCTAATAGACATCTACAGAACTCTCCACCCCAAATCAACAGAATGTACATTCTTCTCAGCATCACATCGCATTTATTCTAAAATTGTCCACATAATCAGAAGTAGAACACTCCTCAGCAAATGAAAATGAACAGAAATCACAACAAGCTGTCTCTCAGATCACAGCGCAATCAAGTTAGAACTCAGGATGAAGAAACTCACTCAAAACCACACAACTACATGGAAATGAACAACCTGCTCCTGAATGACTACTGGGTACATACCAAAACGAAGGCAGAAATAAAGATGTTCTTTGAAACCAATGAGAGCAAAGACACAACATACCAGAATCTCTGGGACACATTTAAAGCAGTGTGTAGAGGGAAATTTATAGCACTAAATGCCCACAAGAGAAAGCAGGGAAGATCTAAAATTGACACCCTAACATCACAATTAAAAGAACTAGAGAAGCAAGAGCAAACAAATTCAAAAGCTAGCAGAAGGCAAGAAATAAATAAGATCAGAGCAGAACTGAAGGAGATAGAGACACAAAAAACCCTTCAAAAAATCAATGAATCCAGGAGCTGGCTTTCTGAGAAGATCAACAAAATTGATAGACCGCTAGCAAGACTAATACAGAAGAAAAGAGAGAAGAATCAAACAGACGCAATAAAAAATGATAAAGGGGATATCGCCACCGATCCCACAGAAATACAAACTACCATCAGAGAATACTTATAAACACCTCTACACAAATAAACTAGAAAATCTAGAAGAAATGGATAAATTCCTGGACACATACACCCTTCCAAGACTAAACCAGGAAGAAGTTGAATCTCTGAATAGACCAATAACAGGTTCTGAAATTGAGGCAAAAATTAATAGCCTATCAACCAAAAAAAGTCCAGGACTAGACGGATTCACAGCCAAATTCTACCAGAGATACAAAGAGAAGCTGGTGCCATTCCTTCTGAAAGTATTCCAATCAATAGAAAAAGAGGGAATCCTCCCTAACTCATTTTATGAGGCCAGCATCATCCTGATACCAAAGCCTGGCAGAGACACAACAAAAAAAGAGAATTTTAGGCCAATATCCCTGATGAACATTGATGTGAAAATCCTCAATAAAATACTGGCAAATTGAATCCAGCAGCATATCAAAAAGCTTATCCACCACGATCAAGTCTGCTCCATCCCTGGGATGCAAGGCTGGTTCAACAAATGCAAATCAATAAACATAATCTATCACGTAAACAGAACCAATGACAAAAACCACATGATTATGTCAATACACGCAGAAACGGCCTTTGACAAAATTCAACAGCCTTTCATGCTAAAAACTCCCAATAAACTGTGTTGATGGAATGCATCTCAAAAGAATAAGAGCTATTTACGACAAACCCACAGCCAATATCATACTGAATGTGCAAAAACTGGAAGCGTTCCCTTTGAAAACTGGTACAAGGATGCCCTTTCTCACCACTCCTAGTCAACATAGTGTTGGAAGTTCTGGCAAGCGCAGTCAGGCAAAAGAAAGAAATAAAGTGTATTCAATTCAGAAAAGAGGAAGTCAAATTGTCTCTGTTTGCAAATGACATGATTGTATATATTTAGAAAACCCCATCATCTCAGCCCAAAGTCTCCTTAAGCTGATAAGCAACTTCAGCAAAGTCTCAGGATACAAAATCAGTGTGCAAAAATCACAAGCATTCCTATACACCAAGAAAAGACAAACAGAGAGCCAAATCATGAGTGAACTCCCATTCACAATTACTACAAAGAGAATAAAATACCTAGGAATCCAACTTACATGGGATGCAAAGGACCGCTTCAAGGAGAACTACAAACCACTGCTTAACGAAATAAAAGAGGATACAAACAAATGGAAGAACATCCCATTTTCATGGGTAGGAAGAATGAATATCGTGAAAATGGCCATACTGCCCAAGGTAATTTATAGATTCAATGCTATCTCCATCAAGCTACCACTGACTTTCTTCATAGAATTGGAAAAAACTACTTTAAATTTCCTATGGAACCAAAAAAGAGCCCGCATTGCCAAGACAATCCTAAGCCAAAAGAACAAAGCTGGAGGCATCACGCTACCTGACTTCAAAGTATACTACAAGGCTACAGTAACCAAAACAGCATGATACTGGTACCAAAGCAGATATATCGAGCAATGGAACAGAACAGAGCCCTCAGAAATAACACCACACCTCTACAACCAACTGATCTTTGACAAACCTGACAAAAACAAGCAATGGGGAAAGGATTCCCAGTGCTGGGAAAACTGGCTAGCCTTATGTACAAAGCTGAAACTGGATTCCTTCCTTACATCTTATACAAAAATTAACTCAAGATGGATTAAAGACTTAAATGTAAGACCTAAAACTATAGAAACCCTAGAAGAAAACCTAGGCAAAACCATTCAGGACGTAGGCATGGACAAAGACTTCATGACTAAAACACCAAAAGCAATGGCAACAAAAGCCAAAATTGACAAATGGGATTTATTAAACTAAAGAGCTTCTACACAGCCAAAGAAACTATCATCAGAGTGAACAGGTAATCTACAGAATAGGAGAAAATTTTGCAATCTATCCATCTGACCCAGGGCTAATATCCAGAATCTACAAATAACTTAAACAAATTGACAAGAAAAAAAACAAGCAACCTCTTCAAAAAGTGGGCTAGGGATATAAACTGACACTTCTCAAAAGAAGACATTTATTCAGCCAAGAGACATATGAAAGAATGCTCATCATCACTGGTCATCAGAGAAACGCAAATCAAAACCACAATGAGATACCATCTCATGCCAGTTAGAATGGTGATCATTAAAAAGTCAGGAAACAACAGATGCTGGAGAGGATGTGGAAAAATAGGAGTGCTTTTACAATGATGGTGGGAGTGTAAATTAGTTCAAGCATTGTGGAAGACTGTGGCAATTCCTCAAGGATCTATACTGGAAATACCATTTGACCCAGAAATCCCATTACTGGGTGTATACCTAAAGGATTGTAAATCATGCTACTATAAAGACACATGCAGATGCATGTTTATTGCGGCACTATTCACAATAGCAAAGACTTGGAACCAACCCAAATGTCCATCAATAATAGACCGGATAAAGAAAATGTGGCACATATACACCATGGAATACTATGCAGCCATAAAAAAGGATGAGTTTATGTCCTTTGCAGGGACATGGATGAAGCTGGAAACCATCATTCTCAGCAAAATATCACAAGGACAGAAAACCAAACACCGCATGTTCTCACTCATAAGTGGGAGTTGAAAAATGAGAACACATGGACACAGGGAGGGGAACATTGCACACAGGAGCCTGTTGGGGGGTGAGGGGCTGGGGGAGGGGTAGTGTTAGGAGAAATATCTAATGTAAATGACCAGTTGATGGGTGCAGCAAACCACCATGGCACATGTATACCTATGTAATAAACCTGCATGTTGTGCACATGTACCCTAGAATTTAAAGTATAATAATAATAATGAAAAAGAAAATATATGTACCAAAAAAATTTAAAAATTGTGAAAATGTCACCTGCAGATATCACAAGACATAACATTACTTGAGTGTCTGATAAGAGTTCTAGAGGGCTCCATCAGAATCTTCTGAAATGCCTTTTAAAATAATATATCTCTATACCTAAAGATCTACTTAGCCAGAAATTCATGCATGATGTTGAGGTACTATACCTCTGAGGAAGCCAGGCCTTATTTTATTGGTGGGAAGTGCCAGGGGCAGTGGGGGATGTAGGTCAGGGGAGTGAAACATTGCAGGATCTGAAGTGACATGGGAGGGCTTTTAGGAAGAAACATGACTCTACCAGAGCCTTGGAGGTTGGGGTTATACCGGTAGGTTGATAAGGGATGGGGATGGATTCTGTTAGGAAACTAAAGTTGGGGTTATATGTATCAATATAGAGATGATGAATTTACCAGCCCTCCTAGACCAGAAAATTTACCTAAGAAAGAAGGAGGAAAAGAAGAAAAAGGCAGAGGAAGAGGAGGAGGAAGAAGAGGAGAGAAAAAAAAATCTGTTTTGGACTTAATTGTGCTACCCAAAACTCATATGCTGAAACCCTGAGCCTTGGTACCTCAGAATGTGACTGTATTCGGAGACAGGGGCTCTAAATAATTGATTAAGTTAAATGAAGCCATTAGGTCGCTCTAATTCAATCTGACTGTTGTCTTTGTAATTGGAGATTAGGACACACAGAGAGATACTAGAAGTTCAGGTGCACAGAGGGATGACCCAGTGAAGATGCAGAAAGAGGGCAGATATCTGCAAGCTGGGAAGAGAGGCCTCAAAGGAAACCAGCTGTGCCAGTACTTTGATCTTGGACTTCCAGCCTCTAGAACTGTGAGAAAATAAATTTCTGTTGCTTAAGCCAGTCTGTGGTGCTTTGTTATGGCAGTCGTGGTAAAAATAATACAATATATAATGCAGTTACGTTCCATATTTGAGCAGCATGACACACAGTTTGCTATATTTCTTCTACATCTTCTGATCCAAATCAGAGGAAAACAGCCCCTAAAGGAGTTCAGGAAATCTGAAGAGATTATAGATCCTGGTGATGTTTGTACACTGAGAAAAAGTGGACCTTGGTGTTTAGATTATTTAATACAACAGGTCCATGAATAACGTTGTTTTGTTCAATGTCATTTCATTATAATGTTGATGAGAATAAAGATCGATTTCCAGCGAGGACCACTGTCTGTGTGGAGTCTGGAGGTGCTTCCTATGTCTGTGTGGGTTTTCTCTAGGTACTCTGTTTTCCCCCCACGTCTCACAGCGGTGCATGTGAGATGAGTTGGCCTGTGTGATGGTCCCAGTGTGAGTGAGTATGAGTGTGGGCGTGAGTGTGCTCTGTGATGGGTTGGTGTCCTGTCCAGGATTGGTTACTGCCTGGAACCCTGAGCTGCCAGGACAGTCTCTGGCCACCTGTGACTCTGAACTGAAGTAAGTGGGTAAATAATTATCTTACTTGTTTTTATGAATCTTTTTAAAATGTGTGTATAGCTCACATTTATGTCACTGTTTAATACTAAAAGAGTTTGGAGTCTTTTTTTAGAAGTTTGATGATTTTTTTTATTACCAGAAATATTTCATAGGAACTGAAGTCTTGTTTATATTAACTAGTTTAGGGTCAAATATGTCTTCTTAGACTTTGCTTTGCTTAAAATTGTGGTTTCCAAGAACCTATCCACAAGGTTACATGAGGACTTACTGTAATTCTGTGCTTCTCCATGTCTTTTTCTGTAAATTTCCAAGTTATAAATATTAAAAAAACTATTAACAAAGTACTTATATATAATAATTAGTGTGGTTGTTTTTTAATCTCAGGCTATAAAAAGGAAGAAAATTTGGTGGCATTTGCCATAAAATCATTTTCATTATGTGACAAAATAAATTTAAAAGATTAACCTTTTGTTACTGAATAATCATTTCATTCTTATAGAATGAATTAACAAACAAAACTATTTCATGATTATGATTATCTGATAAATGAATACATATATTTTTATAAAAATTATTGAAGATTAGGCAAAATTGAAAAAACAATTCTAGCTAGAAAATTATTTTGTTATTATCATTAATGAAGTATTGTTGGAACTGAGTTTTTACATATCTGCCTTTTACATCTACAAACTTATTTTGTTTTCTGATTAATCTATGAAAATATCAGCTCTGTTAAACTGGAAATATTGATTTTTTTGTTGTTGTTGTTCACTGCCTTTTCCCAAAGCCTAGAACAGTGCATGGTACATAGTAGGTTTTAAAAAAGTGTGTAGAATTTATAAAGGAATCACAAATGTAACACAACCTCCCAGGTAAAAATGCAAACAACCTAAGAGTATATAAAATATAAATAGTTTTGTGTTTCTCTCCTTCTTTTTCTCACTTTCCAGGATGAAATCACAGTTACCATGGCATGTGTTTTAATACATGTATTTTGTGTGCTTATCTGCCTTCCTCAGCACAGGAACCACAGATAAATAAGTAAATCACTGCAGCTACTCACCCAGGAGTGTAGAGTTTTCCATTTGAGAAGTAGCTTGATCATAAATCCATGTCAGCTGTTAAATATATCGTGTGGCTTTTAACTTAGGGTTCCTATTTGAACCTGATATTTTTTTCTGTTTATTCACAGCAGTTCTATTTTTTTTGAATACTTAAATAATTCTGAAGGGCTTAAATCTCAACATATCTGTTATGTCTCTTTTGATTTGCATTAACTAAAGGTTTCCTGAAGCACTTTCTAATTCTCTGGAGAATTAAGAAAATGACCAGCTATAACTTTGAGCTGCCCACCCTTGTTTCAGGCACCAAGTCTCAAAAAGTTACTTCGATTACATAAGATAATTTTATGATTTAAGACTTAACATCACAAACATACACTCCAAAGTTAATGAAAACATGCCTTTTATGGTGTAATATAATAATAAAAATGTCTAAAACTAGTTTAATTTAGGCAGCAATATTTTAATCTCTTTCCTCTAATGTTTGAGGAAGCTTTAAGGAGACATTTAAATCATGGGAAATAGGAAGACACATAAGACTACATAAGGAAAAAATAAAATCATGTCAATACATAGGTCATAAACTAATATTCAGTAACTAATTTTAGTATGAAAATAGGCACTTATCTGCCTATCAACAAAAAATAAGTCTATTTATTTAACCAACATTAAAGAGAAAATTGTTTCCTTTGAAGATAAAATGCTATTTCTAGCACACATTTGAAAAAAAATGTTTTCTTATCCATATATTACATTGGCTTGAAATTAGCTTACATCTTGGTTAGAATATCTTCCAGTAGCCTAAAACTGTCTACCTTAAGGAGGCAGTTACGAAGTTATAAGATAGCATTCATCATTTAAACTGTCTAACTACAGATAGGCTTCAAATGTTTAGGTTATTCAAAACATCACAGTCTGAGAGTAGAAAAATCCTTGAGAAATCATCTAGCTTATCTTTTTTATTTTACAGTAAAAAAAAACCTGTATGCCTTTGATAAGGGCTATTTAATTTTTCAATCCTTTATACATAGACTTGTTCAAGAAACAATAAGTTAGTACAGAGTAAGAAAATTATTTGAGTTAAATATTGAAGCTGGCCCTAAATGACTGTGATCATTTTTCTTCTCTAAACCAGTTTCTTCATTTTACTTATAGGGAAGGTAAAATTCCTCATCTAACCTGTTAGGATATCCAGCTGGGACTGATATAAAACAGATTAGCAGGAGAAAAACATACAAATTTTATTTAGTAGTTTTTACATGTATATGGGAGCCCTCACTAGAAAAATGAAGACCCAAAGAAGTAGATAGGCCTGAGTGGTTATATACTAGGTTAAAGAAAGAATAACAATTGCAGAAAATTAAAATATATGGGAAGACAAAAGGAAGGTAATTATCTATTTGTACAGGGTTCTCACAGCTTTGACTGCCCATCTCTGGCAGTAAAAATGTTTCTTTTCTCCTGATATAGGGAGGGTATCTTAGAAATGGACAGTGATATTTATAATTACCTATTTACTTAACTTACCAAGATAATGACTTACAACCTAGATTTTTATTTCCTTTATTTATTTTTTCCACCAAATAAACATTTTCCAATTTCTTCTTTAAAACTGTGAAAAAATATGGTTTTGCAAGACGTTATACTGACCAAATTTATGCAGTTGCTTCAATTGTGTTCAGTTTTGCCTGGAATCTGTCTACATTTTACCAAAAAAAAAATGGCACATTTATTTTCTAGCCTCATTTAATTATGTGTAATTTGGTCCACATATTGACAGGATTTTAAAAAGTGTAAAGTTTTCATCTACCATAAATGATTTGAACATCAACAAATAGCCTTGCAACTTTCTTCTAAGGAATGGAAATCTTGAAACACTATGTTATTGCCTTTCATATCTTGGTTTTTGAATAGCTAGCGTGGCTATATTTTCTTAGCCAGTTATTCTTCATACTTTACAGTGTGAGTCCAGAACACATTAATAGGAGACACTTGGATTATTATGTTGTTATGAAACTAATAACTGCTATTGGCTATGTTTATGTAGAAGGGGCATAAAATGTAGCATTTATTTACTGAATAAATCTCTATTAACAGAGATAATTAAAAACACTGATTCTAGAAGTCAAATAGCTCATTATTATCATATGTCCCAGGGGCAAATATAAAATTGGCTAAAGTTTGATTTATTCAGCAGGGAATGAAACCTAGATTCACATTTTGACTGGCCTGCAATATTTTAGCATTGCTATTCCCCATAAAGAGATATTTCTAAATAGATTGGAAAGTAAATATAATTATGTTCACACCACTGGCTAATTAATTATGTAAATGGGCCTTTGCTTGCATTATGTTCCTCTTCTGTGAATAAGTGATTAAAGTTAGGAAAAAGAAGTGTTGCTATTTCACGGTTTTTCAGAATGTCCTTTGGATAGCAATATTAGAGTTTTGTTTTGCTGCTTGTTTCAAGTTTAGTTTATTCTGCCTTTTCTAATGTCTTAAATTGGAAATTTAGATTATTATTTGAGACTGTTCTTCTTTTCGACTGTAAGCATTAGTTTTTGTCCTAGCTGTTGTGGTTATTTCTCACAAATTTTGAATTTTCATTCTTATTCAGTTTAAAATATTTTCAATTTTCCCAAAATGTTCCCATTAACCCCTGTTTGACCTATAAGAGGGTTGTTTGTTAATTTCTATATATATGAGAATTTTCCACGTAGTTTTTTTGTTTGTTTGTTTGTTTGTGTGTTTTTGACACAGAGTCTTGCTCTGTTGCCCAGGCTGGAGTGCAGTGGCCCGATCTCAGCTCACTGCAAGCTCCGCCTCCTGGGTTCATGCCATTCTCCTGCCTCAGCCTCCCAAGTAGCTGGGACTACAGGTGCCCACCACCACGCCCAGCTAATTTTTCGTATTTTTAGTAGAGATGGGGTTTCGCCATGTTAGCCAGGATGGTCTTGATCTCCTGACCTCGTGATCCACCTGCCTCAGTCTCCCAAAGTGCTGGGATTACAGGCGTGAGCCACAGCACATGGCCTTCCACATAGTTTTTTTAAATTACATGTTATTTTGTGATCTAAGAATATGAAGTATATTCTTTCTTTTTTTTTTTTTTTTTTGCGATGGAGTCTTGCTTTGTCACCAGGCTGGAGCACAGTGGCACAGTCTTGGCTCATTCCAACCTCCACCTGCCAGGTTCAAGTGATTCTCCTGCCTCAGCCTCCCGAGTAGCTGGGACTACAGGCCTGCACCACCACACCCAGCTATTTTTTTGTATTTTTAGTAGAGACAGCTTTCACCATGTTGGTCAGGATGATCTTGATCTCTTGACCTTGTGATCCACCTGCCACAGCCTCCCAAAGTGCTGGGATTACAGGCATGAGTCACTGAGCCCAGCTGAAGTGTATTATTTCTATTGTTTTAAAATTATGAAGGTACGATTTGTGGGCTGAAACAAAATCTGTTTTGGTGAACGTTCCATGTGTACTTTAAGAAATATTGTATTCTGTTTCAGGCTATGTAAGTGTCAATTAGGTCTAGTTGGATGATAGTTTTGTTAAAAGTATATATTAATTCTAGTTTTAGCTCTGACATAAATGAAGCTAAGAAATAATAACTCACATCCTTACAACAAGAAAAATGGGACAAGCTGAAAATCAACCACTGTCCTTTAACCTGTCAAAGCAAAAATCACACCAGACACACTGAAACAGGCAGGAAAAACTTTAAGGTTATTAGAACAGAGGAAAGAAACTCAACTAAATTCTGCTAAAACAAATAACTGAAGAATTTTTAAGAGCTGGGATGAGGTGAATCACAGGCCATATGTGTATGTTAATTGGCTTTACCAGAAGGAAAGGTAAATTTTCTCCTATCTTCATGACAAGAGGTAGTTTTACACATTGGAGCAGCAAAGTGTCCACCTGTTAGGCTCCTAACTCCTACGATATTGAGAGATAAGGGCTTTATCTTTTTTCATGAGTACATTTCAAAGGATAGCTCCCAGGTGCTTGAGAAAGACATTCATGGGTTGCAAAACTGACCAGAGGCTTTTAAAGTTTGTTTTATTTTTGGATTTAAAATAGACATTTATTTGTCTTTCAGACAGCATTCTGAGGTAAGCAGGGATGGCAGATGAGCAGATGGCTTTACCTGTTTTGTCCTTTAGGCACCCAGCTTCTTGCTATCTGACTGCTCTACCATTGCTTAAAGCAGTACTGCCCATGAGAAGTTTCTGTGATGATGGGAATATTCTATAATTTGCATTGTCTTATATGGTTGAGCCACATGTGGCTATTGAGTACTTGAAATGTGGCTAGTGAGGCTGAAGAACTGAATATGTGATTTATTTAATTTTAACCAATTACTTAAATTTAAATAGCCACATGTGGCTAGTAGCTGTCGTATTGCTTAGAATAGCTCTAGAGCATTGTTTCTTGGTTTTGTGTGGTTTTGGTTTATTTATTTGATTGTTTTCGGCTTCGTCAAGGTATAATTGACAAATAAAACTTGTATATATTTAAGGTGTACAATGTGATGCTTCCATATACAGATAAATTGTGAAATGATTATCACAATTAAGCCAATTAACATAGCAATCACCTCACGTGGTTAACTATTTTTGTGCTTATGGTGAGAATACTTACCTGCTCTCTTAGCAAGTTTCAGGTGTACAATACATTATTATTAATTATAGTAGCATGCTGTGCATTAGACCCTCAGAACTTCTCAACCTTATGACCAATTTGTACTCTTTGACTAACATCTCCCCATTTCTCCCACTCCCAAACCCTTGGCATTATCTTTTATATATAGAATATAAAAATGTTAAAGTCATACAAATGGAAAGTAGAAGGGTGATTACCAGTGGCCAGAGAGTTTTAGAAATATTTATGCCCTCAAAGGGGCAGAGAAATAATATGCAAGTTTTCTAAAGTAAATGCTCTAAGGAGAAGGAGAATAGGGGCCTAGTGGCAAGAAGAAGCCTATGGAAAGTTTAGTAAAGCTGAGAGAAAAGTAAAGGCTTTCTTGGTCAAACTCATCAGAGATCTGATGTCACAAGTCAAAGCACCATGACAAAATCTGGAGAGATAAGAGTACTCCCCCACCAAAAAATTGAACTGAGATCTACTGATGGCTAGGCCTCTAGAAGACTGTGTGGGATATTTTTATGCCTCCTCTTGTAAAAATAAGCACATTTTGGCTAAGAATAAGCAAAACAAGCCCATTATACCTTGCTTCCTTGCATGATCAGTGGATTACTTCACACAAAGGTTTGCTCAGCCAAAAACTCACATTTATAGAAAACTTAAAGAAATAAGCTCCAAGTGGCCGTGCTCCATTGCCAGCTCACAGTCCTGTTTCGTCACACCGGGTTCTGTGAGCCACACAGAGAAAAGCCTCCACACTGGCTTTATTCTGCTTTTTTAATCAGCCCCCAAACAACATGAGCAGTGGGTGTTGCAGCAATCTTCACTCCTTATCACCCATGAGAAACCTGGAGTTTTAATTTTCTCTTTCATGAAGCACCAAAATATCTTTTTCTATTAGCAGGTTGATCTTCTTTCTTCTCTCAGCACAACTTTTTGTTTTATTCTTTACTCATAGACTGTGCCACATGAACAAGAAAGAAATCAGTGTGGAAATTTCATTTGGATATTTGTGTTATTATTCAGTTTCCTAAATTGTATTTATATAGCTATTAGTGTAATTCTGTGATTACTGTACCATGTGCTCAAATACTCATGATTAACAAATGTCTATAGCACTCTGGAGGAGACGAAGTACAAATACTCTCTTATTTCACATAATCACCCAAACCAATGAATTTTTTTCCATAAGACTAAGGAAACATTATGTTATACAAATCATTTATCAATAATTTTAATGTAGGGTTTTATTAAACTCTGTTCCTTTTTTGAATATTTCCCATATTGAAATGCATAATCAGGCACTTGTCATGATACTTCATTTTCAATAACCACACACATACACACACACACACACACACACACACACACACACACACGATTTAGGGCTATCTGTTATAATTAAAGATGAGATAAAATTTCATGTTTCCAGGATTGCCAAACTTTACTCATTAGACTATTATGTTTCACTTGAACATATAAACCTAAAACACCCCAAGTAAATGCCAGTGATCATTCAGACCATTGTTTTCTGTAATGTTTTATATTACACTGACCTATTATGTGTCAAAAATGATTCATGAGTTCCTACACATGTCTCCTATGAGTAGTTGTTAGCCCAGGAAGCAAAATAAAATCTTGGAGCTAATCTCTGCTCTTTGACACAGACCATTCAGGTCCTCCCAGGTCCTAGACTAATGGTCTCCAAGATGATTTATGTCATTCTACCCTTGACACAGAGTGATGTTTGCCCTGAATAATATCCTTTCGTTTCTGCTCTGTGATCCAAGGCATATAAGTCAGATCCAGCAAGTGTTCTGCTTTCTTCATCAAAACTTTCTTACAATTCTAGTCTCAGAAGCCTCTTCCCGTTATTCATTCTCTAATCTCATTTTGCACTTTTCTCTGTATCAAATGAATCTCTCCAAATATTCTTTTTATTGAATACAGAAACCGTATTCTCAGTTTCTGTGATACACAGAACTGACTATTATAGTGTGAGGCACACAATAAGAGCTCAGTAAATGGCTATTCATTTGACAGTTCAAAAATTAGTGAAAATTTAATTGATTCATATAAAATGAGAGCCTCCATTATTAATGTCCAAAGAGAATCAAGAAACACATGCTCTTGTAAAAATTCTGATTTGTTTTAAATAGAATACCTTATGTCTGGACCTACACGATGGCCCTGCCTTGTCTGTATATTCTATTTTGTGAATAATGGTAGACAAAGTTGTGGGAAAATGGCTCTGTGCTCAGTTTTCCTGGGAAAGCATTGATATTTCAAATAATGGAATTCAGTATTCCAATGCATAACAGGTTTTTAAAAACCTAGCAAAAGTTTATTCACATAAGCTTGTTCTGTCCCTAAGGAAAAATAACTAGAAATAAACACATCCAACTTGGTCTTCATTGGCAGTTATTCACCCAAACATGTTCACTTGCTCCGAATAAAGACTTAAGCTAATACCATACTTTTTGTAGTGAGTCACAAGTTCTAACTGAACATTTATCATTCTTCAAATATATTATTTTATGTTCCAAAGATTACAATGAACACCACACTCACAAAGAAAAAAATATCTTGAGCAAATGCAGAAACCTTAACAGAAATCTGTGGTCATCCTCCCCAAAACCTATAAACCTCTGTAACCATGAGAAAAGTATTACACAAACGCATATAAAAAACATTTTACAAAAAAACCTCACCATTACTCCTCAAAACTGTAAAGTCATTCAAATAAGGAAGACTGAGAAACTGCTGCAGCCAATAGGGGCCTAAGAAGACATCGTTACTAAACATAATGTGGTATCCTGATTGGGACCCTAAAACAGAAAAAAAAGGCATTAGGTTAAAAAATAAGAAAATTGGAGTAAAGCATATACTTTATTTAATAATAATATGTCAGTACTGGTTTATTACTTGTGACAAATATAGCATATTAATGTTAATGATAAGGTAAACTGGTTGTAGGGTATATAGGAGCCTTCTGTACTAGGTTCACAACATTTCTGTAAATCTTAAGCTATTCAAAAGTAAAAGTGTATTTTTTAAAATATGCATTTTAATGAATTTATAAAAGTATTGAATAAGTATGAGGAGAATAAACATGGCACTTCCACATGGGAAATGTCTTTTGAGATCAGCAGTGTATCCAACGTAGAGGGACATGAATAGCCAAGCGATTTCCAGCACATATCTACCGTTTTAATTCTACATAGATTTAATCCATATAATATTGTCACATTATTTAACATAGATAATACTAATTTAGATTTCTCATGTTAATTCTTAAAATCACTCTTTACCTTATCATTGAACTGGTCTCATTTCATTTTTACCGAAATAATACCTTTTTAAATATGGTTGTCAATGAAAAATTCAAGTTTTTTTTTTTCAAAAATCCCTTTATCTTGTTTCATTTGGAGATACCATTTAGCTGGTTATATTAGTCTTCTTGGGCTGCAATAACAAAATACCACTGACTGGGTGATTTAAACAACAGAAATTTATTTCTCACGGTTCTGGAGACTGGGAAGTCTGAGATCAAGGTGCCAGACAGGAAGGTTTCATTCGGAGGCCTCTTCTCATACTCCTAGTGTCTGCCGTCCCACTGTGCCATGTGCTCACATGACTTCTTTGCACATGAGAGGGGAGAAAGAGAGAGAAGCCGCTCGTATTTTTATTGTAAGGACACTAATCCTGTTAGGACTCCAACCTTATGATCTCCTTTAACAGTAGCTACCTCCCTATAGGCTCTATTTTTAATATAGTCATACTGGGGGTTACAGCTTTAATATGGATTTTGTGGGGGACACAATTCAGCCCATAGCACTGGTTATAAAATTTTATGTTGCTTGGTATGCTATTTAATTACATTGCTTTCTGTTTTTAATTGTTTAAGTTGAAAGTTATCTGCAAGTTTTATTCGCGTCCCTTTGAAGGCATTTTGTCATTTTCCTCTTTTGCTTTCTGAATATTCTCTTTCTCTTTTTTACCACTATTTTATAAATCAAAGGCAGCAGAAAGTAGTTTCTTTTATTGTTGTTTTGTCTCATTTCTGTATTTCATTTTGTTTTCCCTTTCTTTCAGTAAGCCAGTAGCTAATGAGTTGGCAGATTTACTGTCTCCGCAAGGGCACATCTCTGGTCTAAAACCCATCAGGAAGAGCGGGGGGCAGTCATTTCTTTCTCAACATGATGGAGGTTCTTATTTTATTCCAGCACAGAATGTCAGCAGGCAAAGCTTTTTGAGAGTATAAATAGCATGCTGGTACTTACAATTCTTCTCTAATGAAATAAACCAGCAGTTTTGGCTCAGGTCACCTTGAAATCCACTGATTTTCCTACCTGTATCTAAGAAACGCCACTGTGTCTTCTGCTGCTACCTCCTCAGCCTTTGCCAGTGGAATTCTCACTTGTTTTCCCCATGATATTTAAGAATTTTAAGCCTGAGACTCACCTTCCAAGATCCAACAGTAGTCTCTATTGAGTATTGTGTGGCTCCAGAGAGGAAGATAGAAAAGCAAGAAATTTAGAACCAGACATTTAGGATTCCCCCTATTCCATTTTGTTTGCATTTACTACAAATGTGTTCAGTTTTATGTTGAAAGTTATAACCATAACATTGTATCAATGGTTTTATATTTGAACTTATATGTAAAGTATTTTCACAGAGCAATTTGGAAATAATTTCAGATTCTAGAATAGGCCTAGGTCACTTTGTTAAAGTTACTTTACGTATATGTTATGTTACTTTACATATATGTTAATGTTAAATATGTGTTGAAGTACTTTAAAGTACTTTACATATAAGTACCAGAAGATTCACGCTATTTTAATGCACTAAACATGTAGCTCTCTGTACTGCATTTTCTATTTCTGTAGAAATAGAAAACTATTTACATAAAAACATTTTTATTAGGTATTTCTCGAGCAAGTCTTAAAATTAGGCTTATATCACTGTATCCATTTTATTGAGTTATTCACACAATCTGTTTTTGCATGTCGCCACTGAATTCAAGAAAATGTTGGTTTGAAAATGATTTATATGACGGTGAATGAGTGGACTGAACTGGCTGAGATAAAACAAATATATGTCTCTGGTCTCATCTGCACACCTGACTGCTTTTGTGATTCCTGGGAAAGTAGTGCTGCCCTCTAAGCTGTATTTTGTAAGAATATAGCTCTGAAATAAGATCCCAGAGGTAATGACTTTGATTTCAAATGTGATTTCCTAATATGCTTATATCTGCTTGATATGTTTGAAAAAGAAAATAATCCAATAAATGTATAACCTACTATAGTATTTTCTGATCAGTTGAAGTTTTATTATCTTTTTCTGTTGTCTGAGATAAGTTCACTGATTTAGGCTGCTCAATATTTTTCCATATAAGATCATTCCTACTTTCACTTAACTCTACTTTCCCTTCTCATTAGCCTGGTCACTCACTGGTCTCATCTCTTTATCTTTTTATAAGTGTCGTGAACGAAACCTACAGGATTCAGCTTTGTAGTGGGATTTACCTCAAGGGAACATAATCCAAGATCATACATTGATTTTGAAATTGATCAGTTCATTTATTATGTTTAAAAGATTAAAGTGTATTGTATTAGGAATAGTTTTATTAAAAGGTAGTAAGAGACTCCCTTCTTGCTAAACTGTAAATTATTTAATACGTTCTTTATACAAAATTGCGGATGAAATATGCAGCTCTCATAGACAGAAGGGTATTTTAACAAAGCACCTCAAATTGTGTTTAAAATGAGAGTAAGTCATTACAAGATAATGAATCTGGTGAGTAGATTATTCTTTCTGAATAGCTTCAAAAGTCTGAGCATCTCTAATCCAAATTTAGGACAGACAAATAGATCTTATCACTCCTTTCTTTATGAGGTAGAAATTGCCTTAGTCATTTATATCTAAGGGCATCCATAGTAATGATAAACAGTTTCAAACTTTCCTTTCTTATTTAAAGCACAGATCCCCTTAAGAGATATTACAATATAGCTTCACTGTACCAGTCTCTCTCTGCAACAGCTTTCTAGTCTCTGTGTGTGTGTGTGTGTGTGTGTGTGTGTGAGAGAGAGAGAGAGAGATAAATAAGCGTATAAATAAGCGTATAAGCATTGCTGGATAGCTAGTGGTATGTGGCCTTTCCAAGGGTGTCATGCAATAATCTAAAGTACCTGTAAAACTTCCTAAAATCCCCCTTTATCAACTGATCAATTCTCCATCTACTTCTCAAATCCCAAAGATTATCACTATCCAAGCCAGAAAAAACTCCCTTCAACACTGGGTGCTCATGGCTGTCTCAGTGCTTTAATCTTAACCCATCCCAGCCCACTCCATCCTCTCTCACCTTTTTATGAGCCCAGAACTTGTACACTTCTTTTGATCCCACAACATCTCTATCTAGAATACACTAAATTTGTTTTATTGCTTGTATTCCTCTAGTTTCTCCAAATCTTACACCAAAAATTCCTGATGACAGGACACTTCTATAAAGTCAGAAAACACTAAGTAAAAAAGGCAGAACTATCTTTAGATGATACAGATGAGAGAAGAGGAAAGGGTAGAAAAATACATGTTAAAATATGTATTCCTATTAATATGTTTTTTAAACTGTTTCTCGGTAGAGGTGGTCATGAGTAAAATGAAGATAATCACTTGATGACTTGTGGTCAAGTAAAGGGCCCTGAAAAGAAACTCTTTGGGACCCAGTCGATACATAGGACCCCCTCTCCCGTTCTGCTGAAGGCAAATGCCAGGTTACTGTCCTTATGAATAATGCTATTATAACTTTTAATATCCATTAAGACATGAAACCAAAGCAGACTCATACTAATAATGAGATATCAATTAATTCACAGCTTTTGACATTAAACCACCTAGTGGCAAATGACACGAAGGACAAAAGCAGAGCCCTGGGGTCATAAGCACTAGGTTTTGAATCAGGTTTCTCTGTCTTATATTGTCTATTTAGTTTAACCATTTTTTTTTGTATCTCTGCTTTTTATATTTGATGTGATAACAATATATATGTAACAACTCTTAGTTTTAAAGACAATGCATATTGAGCACCTAACTCCATGCCTAGTATGTACTACTTAATTCAAAGATGGCACCAACTCTTTTCTTGCATTTTTTCTTTTTGTTATCTATTCATATATACTTATATGTGTTTATATATTCATTTATTTAATTACTTAAGAAGCTTATTTGTTCTCCTATAAAATGGGTACAGCAATAAAAATCCATTTATTTTAGAGTATGACCTATTAAGTAAACTTGTATTTTGGGTTTTGTAAGAAATTCCAAAGGTCTGAAACGTGAAAAGTGAATGGAAGATAGGAGACAGCTGCTGGTTAAATATCACTAATCAAGCATTTCATGAACTCCTGCTTCAGTATTAGATCTCTAAACACTTAGAAGCTGACATCTTAAAGAAGTTGGGTATCTGAGTTAAATTATAAATGTGGCTAAGGCAATAAATATTTTAAAAACATTAATTAAATCTGATATTTGGGGCCATAGGATAAAATCTTTATTTAATAAATTCCAAAGGTTAAAGCTTTCAAATCAGCCAACCAGAAATTTCTGAGCAGGTCAACATATGAGCAGTTCAAAGTCAATTTTGCAGTGAATATAAAGTTAAATTTTATATTTACATATGCAACAATTTTTTTTTTTTTTTTTGAGACGGAGTCTGGCTCTGTCGCCCAGGCTAGAGTGCAGTGGCACCATCTTGGCTCACTGCAAGCTCCGTCTCCCGGGTTCACGCCATTCTCCTGCCTCAGCCTCCCGAGTAGCTGGGACTACAGGCGCCCGCCACCACGCCCGGCTAATTTTTCGTATTTTTAGTAGAGACGGGGTTTTACCGTGTTAGCCAGGATGGTCTCAGTCTCCTGACCTGGCCATCTGCCGTCCTCGGCCTCCCAAAGTGCTGGGATTACAGGCGTGAGCCACCGCGCCCTGCCTACATATGCAACTTTTATTAGACATACATTTGCTCAAACTCTGGAAAATTATTGAGAGATTTAAGTTAAATCTAAAGAGCAATTTCTGCCTGAAGTAAAAACAGTCTCTTACATTTTAGATTGCTAAACTGCTTGAGCTCCAGATAACCTATGATGTGAATTGCCAATATGTATGTCCATCAGTGTTTCAGATTACCAAGACATAACTCAATTCTTTCAATCTCATGTTCAATTAATGAAGTAGACATCTCCAATTTTTAACAACATTTATATAATCAGACTGGCAAATATTAAACGTAAAGTATTTGTGAGTTTTACAAGTACAGATTTTTAAAAGTGTTATTTGTAGAAAAAATTTTGTGTGAACTCCAATTTTATTTTAGCTTCCTTTTTTTTTAGGTATACTTAGAATGTCTATTCAATAGGCATGATTACCTTTAAAGTTAAAACAAATAGTTCAGGAGAACTAGAATTTGAGGAATGTTAGTTAGAAAAAAATACTCTTTGGTAAATCAATGAAATTAATGCGTCAACTCTTTTCACCCAACTTCTCACCCCACCCCAATCTGATACACTATCTTCAGGCTCAGTTGACTCCCTTCTTTACATGAAGTATATGTAGCCCATTCTGGTCTCCAGTACTTTGTGCTTGCTATTTATGACTTATGTTTGAATGATCTTCCTGGAGACAGTCACACAAGTAACTCTCATTCATACTCCTCGGAGAAGCAGTCCCTTTGGAAAGTACACACCTACTTAATTATAAGTAGCCACCCTCAACTTCACAATTACCACCGTTCTTTATCACATGTATATTCTGTTTATAGTACTTAGAAAAATATTTTTAAAATGTTTTTATATAGTTGATTTTTCATTGTCTGCTTTCCCCTACTGAATTTTAACTTCAGTGAGGCCAAGAACCATAACAGACTTATTTGTCTGTATCCCAGGGCTTGAAACAGTGGGTGAAAAACTCAGGTAATGATGGTTGTCAAGCAAGTAAATAAATTTTGCATCTTCAAAAATCTCATATTAATTGGGTTTTTTCCTGAATCATTCTTTAAAAAAAGATTGCTTTGCAAAATTATATAAAGTAAAGCAAAGACTTAGATTTTTGTCTTAGATAATTAACTCAACCATAATATTTCAATTTTTTTATTATTTATGGTTCCACAGTGCTCTGTAACTAGGTGGAAGTTTATTGCTTGCTTGTTTATTCTTATAATAGTATGTATAATTGGTTTTAATAATCATTTATGAAGCATAAATTAGATTTAAAATACTTAGGATATCGTGTATAATTTATTTTAGCCAAACTAATTTAAACTTGTCAAATCTGGGTTAAGCTGATTATTTGTGCATAGAAGGACTAACATTTTGCTTTCTAAAGTCTTAAAACTTAGGTGTCCCTATTGTCTTTATATTGCTTTCTTTGTCACCCTTGGAGGGTATTCATCTGTCTTCACCGTTGATCCTTGAACTGTGCCAGTCCGCTTATATGTGAATTTTTTTCAACCAAACTTGGATGGAAAATACAGTATTCACAGGATGCAAAACCCATGTATATGGAGGGCCAACTTTTCATATGTGCAGGCTCTGTGGGGCCCACCGCAAGACTTGCATGTGCTTAGGTTTTGGAATATGTAGGGGTCCTGGAACCATTCCCCCAACCAATACAGAGGGACAGCTGTAATTTATAAGCAGGTATACTAAGAGAAAGAGACTGTATAATTAAGGATAATAATATGTGTGTAAATTATAGATGTTATCAATTGCAATGACATGGAATATTATATATGTATACACATGTGCATACAGATATACAAAAACTATCAAATCTACAGTTTTGTGAGTTTTGTCTTGTCAAATGAAACTACTGCTGCAATCAAGATGCAGAGTATTTCCATCCTCTACAAAATTTTCCCCATGGCCATTTGCAGTCCATCTTTTCTGCTGCCCCTAGCCACAGGCAATCACTGATTGCCTTTTTGTTATTTATAGATTCATTTGCAATCTCTAGAATTTTATATAAGTGGAATCATAAAATAAGTTTTTGATTCTGGCTTCCTTCATTTAGAACACTGACTTTTATATCAATCTATGTTTCAGGTATCAGTAAGTATTTTCTGGTATATACATATTTATTGCTATTACTGAATAACATTCTACCATGTAGATGTGCAACACTATGTTTGGTAGATATCTGGATTTATTTCTGCCACTATGAATAAAACTACCATGGACATTTATACACTAGACTTTGTGATTTTATTTATCTTAAATAAATACCTAAGAGTGGAATGTTTGGATTGAATGTCAAGTGCTCATTAATTATTTTTAGAAACTATCACTTTTCCATGGTGTTTTATATGTAAAATGGATATTAGCAATGTATGAGAGTTGAAGTTATTCACTATCCTCATCAACACTTTGTGATTTTAGACTTTTTTTTCACTTTTTCCATTCAAGTTATGAATAGTGTTATTTTATTATGATTATAACTTACCTTTTCCAGATGACTAAATATTAACCATTCTTTCATATGCTTATTGGGCATTTCTAACTCCCTTTTGTAAAGTGTCAATCAAATTTTATTCTTTCCCCTCGATGAATTACTTGATATTTGTCTGCAATATCAGGTGATCCATTATGTGTGGGACTATTTGTGCACAATTCATGGCTTATTAGGAGGTTTCACATGCACACAAATGAGGCAGAAAATGCCTATTCAAAAGTAACATCCAGGATGGACTTGGAAAATGCCTAATTCTTGAATGCACTGTCCAATCCACTGTGAGATCCTTTGATAGAGAATGGAACCGTGACTAAAGTAAGATATTCAAACATAACCTCTGCCAAACCTGTGGCTGAATACTAACCTATGCAAACACAGGTGCATCCCCTAGGAATCCAAGTTAAAAATAAAAAAGAATGTAAAAAGCAGCTGCACATTGAGAGGAAGCGAAATTCAACAGATCTTACAAGTTATTATAGTTAAAAATATCAATAGTGAAAAGAAAATTCAAACCTTCTAAAATATTAGAATTAAGAGTTATAAAGCTATATGACCTTAAATGTCTAAGTTTCTACAATAAAAAAATCAGAGACATTCTAAGAAAGAGGAGAAAATAGTTGAGCAGTGACCTTATGCATAAGAAGGTGACACAGGCAACTTCTATGCCAGAGAAAATATACTGTGGGACAACATTAAGTATACCTGTATACTAAATGAGGACCCCAGAAGGAGAGAAAAGACAGGCAAAAAATGTAAATAAATGGCAAAAAAAAGTCCAAGTTTGATGAGAAACATAAATCTACATATTAAGCACATCAGCAATTCTAACATAGAATAAATATAAACACATAGACACAACATAGCCAAACTGTTAAAGGTGAAGAATAAGAGTATTTGTTGAAATCAAGATGATAAAAATAGCTAGCTATGGTAAAGGTTATACGATGCAAACAGTAGCCTTAAGAGAGCCAGAGCAATTATTTTAATGTAAGACAAAACATATTTTAGAACAAGAAGTATTATTGGATACAAAGAGATTTTTATTTTTGAAATAACAAAAGTGGATTTTATTAATATCGTCAGTGTCATGAAAATACTTTGTTCTCAACTGTCATTATAAACTCATGTTATCATTTTATCCCTTTGGTAATTTATATATTTCTTTTTTTGAACTTTTATTTTAGGTTTTGAGGGTACATGGAAGGTTTGTTACATAGGTAAACTCATGTCATGGACATTGGTTGTTCAGATTATTTCATCACCCAGGAATTAAGCCCAATAAGTACCCAATAGTTATCTGTTCTGCTCCTCTCCCTCCTCCCACCCTCCACCCTTCAGAGGACCTCAGTGTCTGTTGTTTCCTTGTGATTATGGGTTCTCATAATGTAGCTCCTATTTATAAGTGAGAACATGCAGTATTTGATTTTCTGTTCCTGTGTTAGTTTGCTGAGGATAATAGATTCCTACCTTTCTTACGGCTGCATAGTTCAAAAATTGCCAGCAAACCAAAAGGAGGTAAGAGAGAGGCATGGGACAAATTTCCCTCTGACATACATCAGAAGGAATCAACCGTGCTGGCATCTTGATCTGAACCTTGTATTCTCCAGAACCATGAGACAATAAATTTCTGTTGTTTAAGCCACTCAATCTGTGGTACTTGGTTATGTCAGCCCTAGAAACTAACACAGCTAGGAATGAAATTTCTCCATTATTTTTAACTCTAAGTCTTGTTTTTCTTTTCCCAATGCGCAGTGGACGTGTTGGTTCTATGGATTATCGAGGTATTCTCCAGCTCTTTCACTATATAATTCAGATGACCCTCTGATTTCTGTTTTTCCATAGGTAGATGAAATTGCTTGTCATTTTGTTAGCTTTCCCTTCAGTTGGGCAACAAATTATTTAGATTCTTCACTAGAATATCATTTGTTTATGCTTAGGCAGCCCAAGAAAACCATGGTTATCAGGATTGATGTTCTTTACACAGGTGTCCTTCTGTTTAATTAACTTTGGCAGAAGAATAAATTTCTAAACACATTGAATATTTAGTTAGGTGTTATAGATGCCTTAGGCTTTCTATGAAGACTCATTCAAGACAGTTCCAGCTGATGTCCAGGTGTATTTCATGACGGCAACATTTTCTTTTGTGCACTAACAACCGTAAACAATAAAACAGTAAAAGATATTTTCCTTATCCCAACTTTTCTTGTCACTTGGCTTCATGTGCTATGGGAAGGAACTTCCTCCCGTAGCATATAGGAAGAACTGATATATATTGTGCCAAGATGATTGTTTTATTGTCTGGGAAATAATTCTCATGGTGGCACTTTTGGGAAATTGACCCTTTCATCGAGAGCAAGTACACAATTACTTTGTCAGTGCAGAAAATAATACAGGAAAGAGAATTCTAGATACACCCTTTCTACTACAGATTTTTTAAATTAATGCAAACATCAGAAGCCAAGGTACAGCTAAGAACATGACAATAAAGAAATAGAATAATGGCAGTCACCATCAATAGCAACATGGAGTAAATGGAATATGCAAGATCTTTGTGGGAGGCAAATTTTAATAGAATATTTCACAAGATAATAAGGAGGGAAAGAGAAATATTGCTTATAAGCTCACATGGACATAATAGTGTAATAAAACCTGGAGTAAACAAGTATGGTAAAATGAAAAGTCTGAAAGAAAAGAAGAGAATCCATAAGATGCTTCTGAAAATGTCACCAGGGTTTCATTAGGAATAGGTTTGAAATAGGAATGAAAATAGGTCACTGCTGAGAAATTTGTGACATCCCTGAATAAAAAACAAAAAAGAGAGAAAAATAAAGATAGGTGAGAATACAAAATAAAATGAAATGCTGATTTAGTTATTCATCACTAGGTAAAATTTGGTTTAAATTATGATGTCATATATATTCTCAAGTAAACATCAATTATTAAGCCAAATTTCGGTAACCTGAAAATATATCAGTAACATTGCAAATGTTCAAATCCACACAGCATATGTGGAATCCTTAGAGCACTGTTCTTTAGGTGTTATTAATTGTCCTGTGGAAGAGAAAGAGAAGGAATTCTTAAATGGCATTTGAAATTTTATCATTTTCACCTGCTTTCCATGCTCTTCACTAAAATGTCTTTCTTACTGAAATGCAGACAGTTTCTTTTTAACTTTTATTTTAAGTTCGGTGGTACATGTTCAGCTTTGTTATATAAGTAAAGTTGTATCATAGGAGTTTATTGTACAGATTGTTTCGTCATTCAGGTATTGAGCCTAGTATCCATTCATTATTTTTCCTGATTCTCACCCTCCTCCTACCCTCCACCTTTTGATAGTCCCCAGTGTACTCTATATGTCCATGTGTTGTCATCATTTAACTCTCACTTTTAAGTGAGACCACGTGGTATTTGAATTTCTGTTCCCATGTTAGTTTCCTAAAAATAATGTCCTCCAGCTTCATCCATGTTCTTGCAAAGAACATAATCATCTTCTTTTTTATCACTGCATAGCATTCTATGGTGTATATGTACCACATTTTCTTTATCTAGTTTACCATTGATGGGCATTTAGGTTGATTCCATGTCTTTGATATAGTGAATAGTGCTGCAGTGTGCATATGTGTGCATGTGTCTTCATAATAGAAAAATTTATATTCCTTTGGGTTTATGCCCAGTAATGAGATTAGAGTCAAATTGTATTTCTGTTTTTAGATCTTTGAGGAATTGCTACACTGTTTTCCACAATGGTTAAACTAATTTACACTCCCACCGAAAGTCTATAAACATTCCCTTTTCTCCACAATCTCGCCAGCACCTATTATTTTTTGACTTTTTAATAATAGCCATTCTGACTGGTGTGAGATGGTATCTCATTGTGGTTTTGATTTGCATTTCTCTAATGATCAGTACGTTGAGCTTTTTTCATATGATTCTTGGCCTCATGTATGTCTTTTGAAAAGTACATGTTCATGTCTTTTGCCCACTTTTTATGAAGTGATTTGTTTTTTTTCTGGTAAATTTGCTTAAGTTCCTTATAGATGCTGGGTATTAGACCTTTGTCAGATGCATAGTTTGCAAAATTTTTCTCCCATTCTGTAGGTTGTCTGTTCACTCTGTTGATAGTTTCTTTTACTATGCTGAAGCTCTTTAGTTTACTTAGATATCACTTGTAAATTTTTGCTTTTGTTGCAATTGCTTTGGAATCTTTGTCATAAAATCTTTGCCTGTTCCTATGTCCAGAAAGGTATTGCCAAGTTGTCTTCCAGGGTTTTTTTAGTTTTAGAATTTACATTTAAGTCTTTCACCCATCTTGAATTAATTTTTGTATATGATGTAAGGAAGGAGTCCAGTTTCAATCTTCTGAATATGGCTAGCCAGTTATCACAACACCATTTGTTGAATTGTTGAATAGGAAATCCTTTCCCAATTGCTTGTTTTTGTCAGTTTTGTTGAAAATCATTTAGTTGTAGGTGTGCAGCCTTATTTCTGGGTTCTCTATTTTATTCCATTGGTCTATGTGTTGTTTTTATAAAAGTACCATGCTGTTTTGCTTACTGTAGGCCAGTAATATAGTTTGAAGTCAGGTAGTGTGATACCTCCAGCTTTGTTCTTTTTGCATAGGATTGCCTCAGCTATTTGGACTCTTTTTTGGTTCCATATAAATTCCAAAATATATTTTTCTAGTTCTGTAAAAAATGCCATAGATAGTTTAATAAAAATAGCATTAAATCTATAAATTGCCTTGGGCAGTATGGCCATTTTAACTGTATTGATTCTTCCCATTCATGATAATGGGATGTTTTTCAATGTTTGTGTTATCTCTGATTTCTTTGAACAGTGTTTTGTAGTTCTCCTTGTAGAAATCTTTTCCCTCCCTGGTTAGCTGTATTCCTAGGTATTTTATTCTTTTTTGTGGCAATTGTGAATGGGATTGCATATCTGATTTGGCTCTTGGCTTGACTGTTGTTAGTGTATAAGAATGTTATTAATTTTTGTATGTTGATTCTGTATCCTGAAACTTCGTTGAAGTTGTTTATCAGCTTAAGAATGAGGCTATAGGGTTTTCTAGATATAGATTCATGTCATCTGCAAACAGGGATAATTTGACGTTGTCTGTTCTTATGTGGAAGGCTTTTCTTCCTTTCTCTTGCCTGATTGCTCTGGCTAGGATTTCCAATACTGTGTTGAATAGGAGTAGTGAGAGAGGGCATCCTTGACTTGTGCTACTTTTTAAGGGGAATACTTTCAGCTTTTACCCATTCAGTATGATGTTAGTTGCAGTTTTTTATAGACGGGTCTTAGTATTTTGAAGTATGTTCCTTGAATACCTAGTTTATAGGAGTTTTTATTATGAATGGGTGTTGTTGTTGTTCTTTTTTTTTTTGAGGCAGAGTCTCACTCTGTCACCCAGGCTGGAGTGCAGCGGCACGATCTTAGCTCACTGCAAGCTCTGCCTCCCGAGTTCATGCCATTCTCCTGCCTCAGCCTCCCGAGTAGCTGGGACTACAGGCACCCGCCACCACGCCCGGCTATTTTTTTTTTTTTTTTTGTATTTTTTTAGTAGAGACGAGGTTTCACCGTGTTAGCCAGGTTGGTCTCGATCTCCTGACCTCATGATCCACCTGCCTCAGCCTCCCAAAGTGCTGGGATTACAGGCATGAGACACCATGCCCGGCTGAATGGGTGTTGATTTTTATCAAAAGCTTTTTTCTCTATTTATTGAGATAATTAATGTGGTTTTTGTCTGCAGTTCTGTTTATGTGATGAATCACATTTATTGATTTGTGTATGTTGAATCAACCTTGCATCACAGAGATAAAGCCTGCTTGATTTTGGCAGGTTAGCTTTTTGATGTGCTGCTGGATTTGATTGGCTAGTATTTTGTTGAGGGTTTTTACCTTCATGTTCATCAGGGTATTGGCATGATTTTTTCATTTTTGGTTGTGTTTCTGCCAGGTTTTGGTTTGATAATGCTGGCCTCATAGAATACATTAGAGAGGAGTTCTTCCTACTTAACTTTTTGGTGTAGTTTTGGTAGAAATATTGCCAGCTGTTCTTTGTACATCTGGTAGAATTCGGCTGTGAATCCATGTAGTCTTGGTCTTTTTCTGGTTGGTAGACTTTTTATTACTGCTTCAATTTTGGAAGTCATTATTGGTCTGTTCAGGGATTCAATTTCTTCCTGGTTTAAACTTGGGAGATTGTAGTTTTCCAGGAATTTATCCAATTCCAAGTTCTAGCTTGTGTGCATAGAGGTGTTCATAGCTGTCATCTCTGAGAGTTTTTTTTCTCCCCATGGGGTCGGTGGTAATGTCACTATTATCAATTCTGATTGTGTTTATTTATATCTTATCTTTCTTTCATTATTAGTCTAGCTAGTGGTCTATGTCATTTATTGTTTCAAAAAACTAACTCTTGCATTCATTTGCCTTTTGTATGTTTTTTCATGCTTCAATTTTATTCTGTTCAGCTCTGATTTGTGTTATTTTTTGTCTTCTGCTAGCTTTGGGGTTGGTCTGTTCTTGGTTCTCTAGTTCTCTTAGTTGTGATGTTAGGTTGTTAAACAGATCTTTCTAACCGTTTGATGTGGGCATTCAGTGCTGTAAATTTCCCTCTTAAGTCTGCCATAGCTGTGTCTCAGAGATTCTAGTATGTTACATGTTCTCATTATTTTCAAAGAACTTCTAGATTTCTGCCTTAATTTCAAAAGTCGGACAGGAGTAGGTTATTTAATTTCTACATATTTGTATGGTTTTGATGATTTTCTTAGTCTTGATTTCTAGTTTTATTGTGCTGAGGTTCAAAAGAGTGGTTGTTATGATTTCTAGTCTTTTGTATTTGCTGAAGATTGTTTTATTTTCTGTTGTGTGATTGATTTTAGATTATGTGTCATGTGACAATGAGAAGAGTGTATATTCTGTTGTGTTTGGGTAGACAGTTCTGTAGATAGGATGTAAATGGACTCTGTCAGGTCCATTTGATCCAGTGCTGAGTTCAGGTCCTGAATATCTTTGTTAATTTTCTGCCTCAGTGATCTGTCTAATACTATCAGTGGGGTGTTGAAGTCTCCCACTATTATTGCATGGGAGTCTAAGTCTCTTTGAAGGTTTCTAAGAACTTGTTTTGTGAATCTGGATGCTCCTGTGTTGGGTTTTGGGTCTTTATCCAGCTTGCCAGTCTGTATCACTTTATTGGGTCATTTAGCTCATTTATGTTTAAAGTTAGTATTGATATGTATGGATTTGATACTGTCATCATGATGTTAGCTAATTATTATGCACACTTGTTTGTGTGGTTGCTTTATAGTGTCACTGACCTGTGTATTTAAGTGAATTTTTATAGTGGCTGGTAATGATCTTTCCTTTCCATATTTAGTGTTTCTTTCAGGAGCTCTGGTAAGGCACATCTGGTGGTAATGAATTGCCTTATGTGTCTGAAAAGGATCTTATTTCTCCTTGCTTCTGAATCTTAGTTTGACCAGATATTAAATTCTGTGTTAGAATTTCTTTTCTTTAAGAATGTTGAATATTGTCTCTCAGCCTCTTCTGGCTTACAGAGTTTCTGTTGAGAGGCCCACTTAGACTGATGGGCTTCCCTTTGTAGGTGACCTGAACTTTCTCTATAGCTGCCTTTAACATTTTTTTTTTCATTTTGACCTTGGACAATCTGATGACTATGTGTCTTGGGGAAGATCTTGTTAAGTATCTTACTGGGGTTCTCTGCATTTCCTGAGTTTGAATATTTTCCTCACTAGCTAGATTGGGGAAGTTCTCATGGTGATACCCTCAAATGTGTTTTCCAAGTTGCTTACACTCTCCCTGTCTTTTTCAGGGACACCAGAGATTCATAGATTTGGTCTGTTTACATAATCCAATATTTCTCAGAGATTTTATTATTTTTCATTTTTTTCTGTATTCTTGACTGGCTTTTTTGTTGTTGTTGCTGCTGTTTGTTTGTTTTCAGACAGCCAGACTTCAAGCTCTGAGATTCTTTCCTCAGCTTGGTCTATCCTGCTGTTGATACTTGTGATTGCATTATGAAATGCTTGTAGTGTGTTTTTCAGTTCTATCAGATCAATTATCTTCTTTTCTATAGTGGCTATTTTGTCTGGCAGTTCCTGGATCATTTTATTGTGATCTTAGCTACCTTAGATTGAGCTTCAACATACTGCTGCATCTCAATAATCTTTATTCCTATCCATATTCTGAATTCTATTTCTGTTATTTCAGCCTTCTCAGTCTGGTCAAGAACCCTTGCTGGAGAGGCGATATGATTGTTTGGAGGAAAGAAGGCACTCTGGCTTTTTGAGTTGTTTGAGTTCTTGTGTTTCTTCTCATCTTTATGGGCTGATGATTCTTCAATCTTTGAAGTTGCTGAACTTTGGATTTTTTTTCTTTTTCCTATTTGATAACCTTGAGGGTTTAGCTGTGCTATAAGGTGAATTCATCCAATAAACTACATTTTTGGAAGATTTTAGGGGGCCAGCACCTCAGCTCTCAACTCCTGGATTACATGCTCTAACTCTGGGGACCTTATATTGGGGCCTGACTTTGTTATCTAGCTCCTAGAGGTTAGGAATCCACTGCACTGGTTGTAGGGGAGGGGGGTGATGAGGTGCTCCTGGACCGTTTGTCATTGAACTCCAGTGGGTCCACCCAAAGCATTTTGTAGTGAGGTGGCAGTTGAATCCTTACTTTTTCACAAGTATGAGCAGCAGCAGCCGCAGCAGCAGCAGTGCAGCAGGGTGCATACTCGTTGGCTGCTGCAGGATGCTAGTGGGTGCCGGGGTGCCTGCTTCCATGTGGGGATTCACTCCAGTGGTGGAGGCAGCACGGCTGTGGGGTTGGGGGCCCTTGCTTAAAACTGTGAGTGAGATTTGCTGGTAGTAGTGTTAGCATGGGGGCAGGGAGCTGACAGCACAAGTCTGTGTGTGCTCTTTGTGCACCACAGGCAGGAGTGGTTGCTCAGGGCAGGGGAAGGTCCACTGTTCTCTGTGCCTAGTTTCACTCCCACGGTAGTGTTGGTGCAAGAGTGGCTAGCTGGCTCTGTGGTTCTGACAGCAACGGTGGTCTAGTGGGGAGATATGGGCAAACTGCATTCCTGCCACAGCTGTGGCAGGGCAGGGCGTATCCACACGCTCGTGCTGGTAGGGCAAGGAAGGCAAAACCCGCCTCCTCAAGCCGACGTGCTGGCGAAACAATATGAGGGGTTTGCTGTGGGCCTGGGGTAAGCTGCAGTGTGGGGAGGCAGCAGGTATGCTGGTGTATAACCATGGGGGCTGCCCTGCTAGAGCTCTCTTCAGGTTAGGCACATCCACTGGTGCAGGAGCTATGATGCGTGCCCCCAAGGCACCTGAGGCGCCCTGCAAGCTGGTGTGGCCAGGCTGGCACCCTACAGAGGCCACAGACCAACAGTTGCTCAGGTTGAACTGGCCCCATCTGATAGGGAAGACCGCTCTGCAGAGTTCAGGACCGACAGTTTTCTTATGGCTGAAGTCTCCTACCGGAGCAAGTTGAGCCTAGGGGAATGGCCTTCCCTGGCTGTGCTCTGCTACAGATACACTGGCACCAGACCCTCTGAACTTCACATCAGCTGGCTTGAGGCCCCTACCACTTCTGTAAACAGCTCTCCCTGCCAACTCAAGTGTTTGTGGTGGTCAAGGGGGTCTCCTCCTGTTGGCATTCTGGAGGCCCATGGCGAGAGTGGGTTACTCCTTGTCAGTTCAAATTCACCCGGTCCCCCAGAGTCACTGGGAGCCCACAATTAGTCTCATTGCACAGTATCTCTCTGCAGGGTTCCCAGCTTCTTCTCCTTTCAGCCCGGCTTCTGCGTCTTCCCTTCCTCCACTCTCCGTGCCTCCCCTCTGAAGATCTGGTAGGAGTGCACCAGTCGTCTTAGTTCCTCAGAGGCAACAGTTCCACCTGGCTGGGTCTAGTCGGCCATCTTGCCCTCTCCCCAACCACTCTCATTTTATTGTTTTCACTTACTTGTAGCTTTATATGCTATTACACAGTTATATAGAAAAGAAATCTCTTTAAAGGATATGTAAATGATTCATATAGCTCACCAAATATTCCTGCTTTTGCCCACATCCAGGTATAATACAGGCTTTCAACTACCAGCCCCTTTCAATCTACAAGTTGCCATTTGATTTGCTTTGGATAATAAAGCATGAATGATTACAACCACATTTACATAGAATTCGGAGTGCTAAGATGCAAAATTCACCACATCTTACTTCTTTGCCTTGGTAATCATGGATGAATGTTCCAAGATGATGATGAAAACTACAGCAGCCCGGGTTACTAAGTGACTACAACCGAGAACACCCCACATGCCTCCCCACATCATCATCTGTGAGGGACAGGTGGCATGAGCAAAAATATAAATATTTGTTAGTGTAAGCCACTGAAATTACAGGATTGTCTGTTACTTTGGTATACCATATATTAATTGATAAGAATGGTATCAAATCTTCTACTTCGTTATTTAAAAATGCATCAAAATATAACATACACTTAAAGATTTGAGTAGTTATTTCTTTAAAAAAGCAATTAACAGAGAATCCACTTTGAATGTGTCACTAAAGAAAAAGCAAAATCAAGCAAACAAATCAAAATAAAACCTTAACTATCTATGAATTGTTTTCCTAGAAAAAGTGTTATATATTTTTAGAATCAAAATTAGCAGATTTTAAAGTATTCTGAGCTATTAAAAATTAAAGAAATTAAATTTATTTGTTCCAAAAATTTATAATTTTGGTCTCTCTGTCTCTTATTAAAATAACGGCAATTCATTTTCTGGAATAAAATAGTATTGTTTTTAATTCTATGTGTCTAGATTCACAGAGTCATGAAATTTTAATAACCTTATGGAATCCTGATAGAAACATTCTAATCTGTCATACTATCTGTTTTTGTATGTCTTCCCACTATTCCAAAAGGGATTTATAGTAAGTAATATATGTAGTGGGTATAAAGCTAATCTATCAGACAAGATCAGCACAATGTTGCATTTGATTAGTAATCTTGTTAATCATCCAAAGACATTGGAAATTATTCCAGATGTTTTCTGAATTATACCAAGAAGTGGCAAAGAAAAATTACACTTATGAAATAACGTAACTAGTTTAATGTTATTTTCTTGCTGAGCTACCACTACCTCACGTGAAATTAGTTACTTCTCAAATTTGCAAATCACTCCTCAATACCATCTCTTCAAACTGAGCCTTCTGTATTTCTCATTCTCTCTCTCTTAACTGCCTGATATGATTTGGCTGTGTCCCCACCCAAATCTCATCTTGAATTGTAATCCCCATAATCCCTACGTGTCATAGGAGGCACCTGTTGGGAGGTAATTGAACCATGGGGGCGGTTTCCTCCGTGTTGTTCTCGTGATAGTGAGTGAGTTCTCACAAGATCTGGTGGTTTAAAAGTGTTTTTACAGTCCCCTCACTCTTCTCTGTCTCTCTCCCCTGGCTAGGTAAAATGCACCATGCTTCCCTTTCGCCTTCCGTCCTGATTGTAAATTTCCTGAGGCTTCCCCAGCCATTCGTAACTGTGAGTCAATTAAAACTCTTTTCTTTATAAATTACCCAGTCTCGGGTATTTATTCATAGCAGCATGAGAACTGACTAATATACTGCCCTTATCAGAACTATTATTTCGTTAAGTTATTAAATGTTCAATTTGGAGCTTCTTTTAATATTTTGCTACCTTTTACATCAATACAAGTCATTGGCCAAGTGGTGGTCAAACATAAGAAATGCATTAATACAGTAAGAAAAGTTTTAATGTCCATTAACGTATAAAAGCAAATGTCAATTTTAAACAATATAGACATATCCAGAAAATATAACATTAGCTTAGACTATAAGTTGAAATATTTTTAACTTTTATTTCTAGATTTTAACTTGTATTACATTATGTACAGAATGGTCTGTTTATTTATTTTAATTTGCTTCCCTCATATTTCATTGTGTTTATTTAACACCTTTCTACCACCAGTGTGGATCTTGAGTAAATGGGGAAATTTATTAAGCTTCCACACTGTCCTTCTATTAGTAAGCAGATAAGGCTTATATTGTCACCATTATTAGGGTCTTTTTTCCCTCTAGGTCTTATTATTTTAGTTGCTTCCCATGATGCTCAGTTTATACATTAAGGAGATAGCAGAGGATCTTTAAAACTGTATTTAATTTCTAAGAAGTAAGTTTTTGAATGTAATAGCAAAATATTAACAGACGGTTGCATCCCTTAAATCCATGTGAGAGCACTCTTGAGAAATCTAGCATGAACAGTGTAAGTTCAACCTTTTAAGATTCCTATCTAGTGAGAAATTGTCATCTATATTTTCTTCTCTTAGGTATTTCGAGATAAAAATCACACAGTAGCATTTCATATTTCACAAACTAAATGACAGTACAGGAGTAGTTTCCCATAATAAAGGTGCTTTGGGGAGTTGAGAACTATTATATGACTCATCAGCTTCAAATAATTTTGCCACTGGAGATGAAGGGTAATATCTCCTGTTGAAAGCACAAGTTGAAATAAGTATTTTTATGAGAAAATTTTTAGAAACTCTCTGCATAACGTATAGTCCAAAATTGTGACAGGTTTATACTATGCAGTTCTGCTTAATGGCTTGTGAGAAACCAAATCAACAAGAAATAGCTAAAGAAAAAAAGGGATGTGCAGAGTGCATGGTAGAGAAATTTAGTGACTGAAGCCAGTAGGCTAGCTCATAGGTACATAAAAAGCTACTTTGATGACCCCTAGAATCAAATGAAATAGAATAAATTATACCTTAAATGGAAATCTTATTCCCCTGATGTGCTAATTATCACCAGAGTTGGATAATCACTTTATGGGTATTAATCCTTTCTGGACAGTAGATTGTTATGTACTAAGACTGGTTTAAATAATAGCCTAAAAACTAGAATACTTTATTATTAGGGGAAAAGTTAATTTATCATTCTTCAAATTTAATCTCAAATGTGACAAAAGATATTTCAAAATGGCATTTCTTTTTGAACACCTGATGTTCTGCAAACAATATTACTCAGTAAATATGATTACAATTGTCTAATTTATTTTTGTATTTATAAGCCTGTGATTGGTCCATTGCAAGAAGGCACTGGTGGAAATATCCCCCACTCAGATTTTTCTCTCAGTCGTACAGTGTCCTAATGTGGGCAGATAATAATTTATGAAGTGAAATGATGCAAAATGTTAAAGAATGAGTTTAGAAATAATAACATGTACCTTTGAGTAGGAAAAAATTAGATCATTCTGTTGGCACTTCTGAGAAAGACTAGAGGAAACCTTAGTAGAATAGTCTTCATAAAATGATAGACACGTAGCTTCATTTTTAAATTATTTTTAATTATATTTTTCTTTATTTCATATGGACTTGGGAAATTTTATCTTTCTCTTTTTCTCACACCCTTTCTTCCACTCTTAATAAAATACAAACAGCCAAACAGAAACAATTGTATTCCATAATTTACAAAGAGTCTGAAGTACAAAGGAGTACCTGGCTTACTGCAGTCCAGCAATCTGCAGAATGCATTAAGTGTTACTATTCCCATATCCAGGTACTACTTAGTGGACCAATGATTTGTGGTTTTGTAGTTTGCTTTTATGAGAATTGAATTGCAAATGCAAATGCCATGAAATGGTTTGAATTGTAACATTGATGAAAATGTGTTTGCTAAGTGATTTCCTAAATTACTTTATGGAGCATAAAATATCTGCATTTAGTTTGATTCTGTTTGGCTGAAAAATAAACATTTCTAAACAATACCCTTCATGCTTGATAATGATAATATACTGAAAACTTTAAATTGCATAAGGCAATCTAAATGTTTTCTCTTAAAAAGCAGATGATATTGTTAGTTTGTGACATGCTAGACTGTACTGCTTAAATGGCATATTCTTCCTAAAGATATGTAAATGTCATGGTTGTGTATTCTCACTTACAAAGCAAACAATAAAGGACTATCTGATAAATACTGGGATATAAGAAGACAACTTTTGGATCTACTTTTCAAAATTGACAAGTGTAATAATAAAATACCCTCTTATAAAATGATGAAAGAAACAATAGGGAGACAATGTTTCTTGATTTCCTCAAATAGAGAAGGCAAAATTCAATAATTCTATATTGCTTAGTAATTTCATATTCCTTGTCTAGCAAACATTAAATTTAGAGTAATGCACAACAAGAGTCAATACATGATTTATCAAGGTGTTTTGGATACAACAGAAATTTCTTTTTTTTAAATTTTTTTATTTTTTATTTATTTATTTTATTATACTTTAAGTTCTGGGATACGTGTGCAGAATGTGCAGGCTTGTTACATCAGTATACACGTGCCATGGTGGTTTGCTGCACTCATCAACCCATCATCTACATTAGATATTTCTCCTGATGCTATCCCTCCCCTAGCCCCCACCCCCCGACAGGCCCCAGTGTGTGATGTTCCCTTCCCTGTGTCCATGTGTTCTCATTGTTCAACTCCCACTTATGAGTGAGAACATGCGGTGTTTGGTTTTCTGTTCCTGTGTTAGTTTGCTGAGAATGATCGTTTCCAGCTTCATCCATGTCCCTACAAAGGACATGAACTCATCCTTTTTTATGGTTTCATAGTATTCCATGGTGTATATGTGCCACATTTTCTTTATCCAGTCTATCACTGATGGGCATTTGGGTTGGTTCCAAGTCTTTGCTATTGTGAACAGTGCTGCAATAAACATACATGTGCATGTGTCTTTATAGTCGAATGATTTATAATCCTTTGGGTATATACCCAGTAATGGGATTGCTGGGTCAAATGGTATTTCTAGTTCTAGATCCTTAAGGAATCGCCACACTGTCTTCCACAACGGTGGAACTAATTAACACTCCTACCAACAGTGTAAAAGCGTTCCTGTTTTTCCACATCCTCTCCAGCATCTGTTGTTTCCTGACGTTTTAATGATCGCCATTCTAATTAACATGAGATGGTATCTCATTGTGGTTTTGATTTGCATTTCTCTAATGACCAATGATGATGGTTTTTTTTCATATGTTTGTTGGCCGCATAAATGTCTTCTTTTGAGAAGTGTCTGTTCATATTCTTTGCCCACTTTTTGATGGGGTTGTTTTTTGCTTGTAAATTTGTTTAAGTTCCTTGTAGATTCTAGATATTAGACCTTTGTCTGATGGATAGATTCCAAAAATTTTCTCCCATTCCATAGGGTGCCTTGGATACAACAGAAATTTCAACCAGAGGTTTTCTGTAAAGAAAACGAAAAGGACACCATGTGTGTTGTGATCTTTGTGTCAGAAGACCCATGGAGCATGCTTCCTACAGTGTGCTGATGCTGAACAGCCAGTATGATTTGGTTTCTGCTTCTCATGCATCGAGACAGGAAGAGTTGGTCCTGTGAAGAAACCTGTGGTGAGGAAGGTGAATGCCTGACTTGATCTCATTTTTTCCATTGTAGAAACCACAAGTCCAGGGTATCTTTTCAACATGTTTTCTGCCAGTTTGGAAAAGGGTTGTTGTGGATACAGAGATCTGTTTCTCTTACTGTGGATACAGAGATCTGTTTCTCTTACTTCTGCTTGCAGTTTTTTTACTTCCCCTTGGCCCCAAGGATCATAACTGTCTCCGTTTTGAGTTCCGGGATATTCCTTGGGATAAGGATGGCACCGAATAGTTGTTTTTGGTTTTCTGAAGGGAAAGGTGGGCCAGATGACTTCTACTCTGCCATTTTGGTGATGCCACTTTCTTGACTGATTTTTTATGCTGATTTAGTATCTTACAACTTTGCTTTTTTTAGTAGTTCTTTTTCCTGGTGGAGTCTTTATATTTTTTAAAATATATAAATTGTGTCATCAACAAGCAGAACTTGTTTCTACTTTCAAATTTAGATGACTTTTATTTCTTTTTCTTGGTAATTTCTTTGGTTAGGACTTCTGGTACTATGGGAAATAGAAGTGTTTGGAGTGGGCACCCTTGTCTGTTCCTGGTCTTGGAGAACAAACTTTCAGTTTTTCACTATTTTGAATGATGTTAGCTGTGGGCTTGTCATACTTGGCTTTTATTACTTTGAGGTAAATTTCTTCTATACCTAGTTTATAGAAAGTTTTATTATGGCCAATATGTTAATTTTTTTCAAATATTTTTCTGCATCTATAGAGGCAATCACATGATTTATTATTTTACATTCTGTTAATGCGGTGTATCGTTTTGTTTGGGTTGAACATGTTAAAACATCTTGCATGTCAAGGATAAATCCTTCTTGGTGTTGGTGTATGAGCTTATTAAAATGCTATTGTATTTGGTTTGCTAGTATTTTATTGAAGATTTTGCTTCCATATGTATCAAGAAAATTGGCTTATAGTTATTTTTGTTTTGTTTTGTTTTTTGTACTGGTCTTATCTGGTTTTAGTATCTGGGTAGTGCTGGCCTCACAGATGAGTTTGGAAGTGTCACATTCTGTTCAGGCTGCCCTGACAAAATGTCCTAGACTGAATGACTTATAAATAATAGAAATTTATTTCTCAAAGATCTTGAACTTCGAGGTCCAAGATCAAGGTATGAGCAGTTTAGGTGTCTGGTGAGGGCCTTCTTTTTAAATAGATTTCTTCTTGTCTCTTCTGAAAATTTTTGACTTAATAGCTGCTTTGTCTAATATAAGGATAGCCAACCCTGCTTTCTTGGTTACCATTTTCATGGACTATATTTTTGTATCGTGTCATTATCAGGCTATGTGTGTCCTCAGATCTAAAGTAAGTTTTAGTAGACAGCATATAGTTGTATCTTTTTCTTAAAATCCATCTAGCCAATCAACGCCTTTTTTTTTTTTTTTTTTTTGAGATGGAGTCTTGCTCTGTCGCCCAGGCTGGAGTGCAGTGGTGCGATCTCGGCTCACTGCAACCTCTGCCTCCTGGGTTCAAACTATTCTCCTGCCTCAGCCTCCTGAGTAGCTGGGACTACAGGCGTGTGCCACCATGCACAGCTAATCTTTTGTGTTTTTAGTAGAGACGGGGTTTCACCATGTTAGCCAGGATGGTCTAGATCTCCTGACTTCGTGATCCGCCCTCCTCGGCCTCCCAAAGTGCTGGGATCACAGGCATGAACCACTGCACCTGGCCCAATCTATGTCTTTTGATTCAACAAATGTTTAAGAAATTACATTTATAGCAATTATTTATATGGAGAAACGTCCTTTTCCCACTTTGTTAATTGTCAGTTTTCTAGTTCTTTTGTCCTGCTTTTTCTCTCTTGTTGACTTCCTTTGTGATTCATTGATTTTTTTTGCAGTGATATGCCTTCAATCATTTTTGTTTTCTTTGTGTATTTTTGTAGATATTTTCACCATGAAACTTACATAAAATATATTTTAGCTATAGTAGTCTATTTTAAGCTAATAACAGGTTAACTTCAATCTCATACAAAAATGCTACTCTTGTATTTTCCCTTTACACTTTGTTATTACTGTCACAATTTACATCCTTTCATAGTGTATGCATTAACATATATTTGTTAGTACAGTTATTCCAAATACTTTTGTTTTTCAACTCTGTATCATAATTAAGTGATTTATACTACCATTTTAGTATTACTGTATTCTGTATTTGTTTATATTTACTTGTGAGTTTTGTACTTCATATACATTTGTGTTGCATTCTTTTGTTTCAACTTGAAGGACGTCCTTTCAAAATTTTTTGAGACAAGTCTAGTGTTGATAAACTTCCGTAGTCTTTGTCTGGGAAAGTGTTTATCTCTCTTTCATTTTGAGAGACAGTTTTCCCTTATGTGGTATTTTTGTTTTTTTGTTTTTCTTTTAGCATTTTGAATATATTATACCACTTCCTTCTGACCTGCAAGATATCTGCTGAGAAATCTGATAGTCTTATGGAGGCTTCCTTATACATGACAAATATTTTTCTCTTGCTGCTTTCAAAATTCTTTTTATCTTTGACTTTTGACAATTTCAGTTTAGTGTTTTTAGTGTAGACTTATTTGGGTTTAACCTACTTCAGGGCTGTTGGGCTTTATGAGTCTGGATGCCCATTTCAGATTCCTTAGGTTTGGAGTTTTCAAAAATATTTTTTAAAAAATCAGCATTCTGTTTTGTGTGTGTGTGTTTAAAACATGTATTCTCGTTAAAGGACTCCTATGATGCATACACTGTTCCACTTGATGGTGTACCAAAAGTCCTTTAGGTTTTCTTTACTCTTTTATTTATTTATTTTCCTCATCTGACTAGATAATTTCTAATAACCTATTTTCTTAGTTCACTGATTCTTTCTCAAGTCAGATTATGTTTTAGTCCATCTTCTGCTGCTTATAACAGAATATCCCAAACTGGGCAATTTATAAAGAAAAGAAATTTCTTTCTTATAGTTACAGAACCTGAGAAGTGCAAGACTGAGGGGCTGCATTTGGTGAAAGCCTTCTTTGCTCATGGGAACTCTTTGCAGAGCATCAGGGTGGCATATCACATCACATGGTGAAGTAGTTGAGTATGCTAGTTAAGGTCTCTCTTTCTCTTCTTAAAAAAAGCATCATTGGACAGATCTTCCAGACCAAAAAAAAAAAAAATCAACAAAGAGACATCCAGTGTAATCTGCGCTGTAGACCAAATGGATCTAATTAATATTCACACAATATTTTATCCAATGACTGCAGAATATACATTATTTTCCTCAGCACATGAATTACTCTCAAGGATAGAACATGTGTTAGGTCATAAAACAAGTCTTAAAACATTCAAAACAATTGCAATAATACCAAGCATATTCTCTGACCACAATGGAATAAAATAAATTAATAAGAGGAATTTTAGAAACTATACTAATATATGGAAATTATATACAATATGCTTCTGAATGACCTGTGAGTCAATGAATAAATTAAGAATAAAATTGAAAAATTTCTTGAAAGAAAGGATAATGGAAACACGGTACACTAAAACCTGTGGGATACAGCAAAAAAAGAGTACTAAGAGTGAAGTTTATAGCTGTAAGTGTCTGCATCAAAAAAGAAGAAAATTTTCAAATAAACAATCCAATGCATCTTAAATACAGCAAACCAAACCCAAATTAGTAGAAGAGGAGGAATAATAAAGATCAGGGCAGAAATAAATGAGATTGAAGAAAACAATATGAAAGATCAATAAAAAAAAAGTTGACTTCTGAAGAGTTAAAAAAAAGATAAACCTTTAGCCAGACTAAGAAAAAAGAGGCAAGACCCAAATAAATAAAATCAGAAATGAAAAATGAGACATTACAATTGATACTGCAGAAATTCAAAGGATCATTAGTTGGTACTATGATCAACTATATGCCAATACATTGGAAAATCTAGAAGAAATGGACAAATTCCTAGACACATACAACTTGACAAGATTGAACCATGAAGACATCCAAAACTTGATCAGACCAATAACAAGTAATGACATTGAAGCTGTAATAAAAAGTGTCCCAGTAAAGAATAGCCTGGGATCTGATGGCTTCACTTCTGAATTCTATCAAACATTTAAAGAAGAACTCATACCAACTCTACTCAAAATGTTCTGAAAAATAGAGGAGGAGGGAATAATTTAAACACATTCTACCAGGTAAGTATTACCCTGATATCAAAACCAGTCAAAGACACATCAAAAGAAGAAAACTACAGGCCAATATCTGATGAATATTGATGCAAAAATACTCAACAAATTACTAGCAAACTAAATTCAACAATATATTATAAAGATCATTCATCATGACTAGGTGGGATTTATGCCTAAGAGGCAAAGATAGTTCAACATATGCAAATTAATCAATGTCATGCATCACATCAACAGAAGGAAAGATAAAAACCACATGGTCATTTCAACTGATGCTGAAAAATCATTTGATAAAATTCAACATCACTTCATTGCAAAAACCCTAAAACAATTAGAGGTAGAAGGAACAAACCTCAGCATAATAAAAGCTATATACAATAGACCCATGGCTAGTATCATATTGAATGGAGAAAAACTAAAGTATTTTTCCTAAGATCTGGAACATGACAAGGATGCCCACTGTCAACATAGTACTGGATGTCCTAGCTAGACTAATCAGACCAAAGAAAGATATAAATAAAGATATAAAGATACAAAAGAAAGATATAACGGGCATCCAAATTGGAATGGAAGAAGTCAAATATCCTTCTTTGCAGATGATATGATCTTATATTTGGAAAAACCTAAAGGCTTCACACACACACACACAAACTATTAGAGCTGATAAACAAATTCAGTAAAGTTGCAGAATACAAACTCAACATACAAAATTAACCGTGAATAATCTGAAACAGAAATTAAAAAAATCCCATCTACAATAGCCACATATAAAATTAAATACCTGGAAATTAACTTAACCAAAGAAGTGAAAGACATCTATAATGAAAACTATAAAACCTTGATGAAAGAAATTGAAGAGAACATCAAAAAATGGAAAAAGGTTTCATGTTCATGGAGTGAAAGAATCAATATTGTCAAAATGTCCATACTACACAAAGCAATCTACAGAGTCAATGCAATCTCTGTCAAAATACCAATGACATTCTTCACAGAAATAGAAAATAAATCCTAAAATTTATATGAAACTACAAAAGTCTCAGCATTGCCAAAGCTATCCTAAGTAAAAGGAGCAATACTGGAGGAATTACATTCCATTATTTCAAATTATACTACAGAGTTATAGTAACCAAAACAGCATCATAGTGGCATAAAAACAGACACAGACCAATGGTTCAGAATAGAGAACTCACAAACATCCATACACCTACAGTGAACTCTCGACAAAAGTGCCAAGAACATACACTGGTGTAAAACCAGTCTTTTCAATAAATGTTGCTGATAAAACTGGTTATCTATATGCAGAAGAGTGAAACTGAACCCCTATCTCTTGCCACATATAAAAATCAAACCAAAATGTGTTAAAGGCTTAAGTCTAAGTCCTCAAACTACAAAACTACTACAAGAAAACATTAGGAAAATCTCCAGGACATTAGTCTAGGCAAAATTTTATTGAGTAATATCCCATAAGCACAGACAACCAAAGCAAAAATGGACAAATGGGATCATATCAAGTTAAAAGGCTTCTGCACAGCAAAGGAAAGTCAACAAAGTAAAGAGACTACTCCCAGAATGGGAGAAAATATTTGCAAATTACCCCTCTGACAAGGGATTAATAACTAGAGTATATTAGGAACTCAAACAACTCTATAGGAAAAAAATCTAAGAAACCGATCAAAAAGTGAGCCAAAGATTTGAATAGATATTTCTCAAAAGAAGACATACAAATACCAAGTAGACATATTAAAAACTGCTCAACATCACTGATCATCAGAGAAATGCAAATCAAAGCTACAGTGGGTTATTATCTCACCCCAGTTAAAATGGTTTTTATCCAAAAGACAGGCAATAACAAATTCTGGGGAGGATGTGGAGAAAAGGGAACACTTGTATGCTGCTGGTGGGAATGCAAATTAGTACAACCACAATGCAGAACAGTTTGGAGGTTCCTCAGAAAACTAAAAATAGAGCTACTCTATGATCCAGCAATCCCACTGCTGGGTATATATCTAAAAGAAAGAAAATCAATGTTTCAAAGAGCTATCTGCACTCCCATGTTTGTTGTAGCACTGTTCACAATAGCTAAGATTTTGAAGCAACTTAAGTATCCATTAACAGATGGATGGATAAAGAAAATATGATACCTATATATGATGGAGTACTAGTCAGCTTTAAAATAGAATGATAGTCTGTTATTTGCAACCACGTGGATGAAACTGGAGATCATTATGTCAAGTGAAGTAAGTAGGGCACAGAAAGACAAACATCACATGTTCTCATTTATTTGTGGGATCTAAAAACCAAAACGATTAAGCTCATATAGATAGAGAGTAGAAGGATGGTTACCAGAGGCTGAGAAGGGTAGTGGGGTGGTAGAAAGGAAGTAGGATGGTTAATGGGTAAAAAATAATAGAAGAATAAGCCCTAGTATTTGATAGCACAACAGGGTGACTATGGTCAATCATAATTTAATTGTATATTTAAAAAAAACTAAAAGAATACAGTTGGATTGTTTCTAACACAAAAACGATAAATGCTTAAGGAGATGGATACCCCATTCTCCATGATGTCATTTTTTTGCATTGCATGCCTTTATCAAAATAGCTCATGTATCCTACAGATATATATACCTACTCTATACCCATAAAAATTAAAAATTAAAAAAGGCACCAGAGCCACACTAATCACAGCTATTAATCTATTAACTTATTAATTCTTAATTCATTAAACCATGAATAGACTAATCCATTCTTGAGGGCTCTGCCCTCATGATCCAATTACTTCTTAAAGGTCCTACATGTCAAATCTCTTAAGTATGGTAGGCCTAGGTTTCTGGCTGGCAATCAGGTGGGTTTAATTAGATCAGTTATTTCCTGGTTGGCACAAAATAATCACCAACAGTAATATTGCATTTGTAATTTTTTTTAAAGTTTTATTCTTAATTTCTTGTAAACATTCAGTGCACTGAGGATATATCATTTCTTAAGAAAGCCCTGCATCTTGCATTGGTAATCTCTTAAATAATGTGAAAACACAAATAAATTATTAAGCTGCAGGCATCTTAGATCATTTCTCATACTTTTTATATTTTCTCACCCTAAAAGCAGGCTAACTAAATGTAAGTAATAATATGCTGGACCAGTAGAAATGCATGTGGGAGAATTTGTGTTATGGCAAGATACTGTAATTAATGGCAGGAGGCTTCCTTACACTCTCCAATCATTCTTTCATTATTCATTTATTATACAAACATTCACTGAGGGCTGCTTTGTGCACAAAGGCATGCTGACAGCTTCATGAATTTGCTGTAGCCAAGGAGCCTTGGGAGTACAGCTGATCAAGCAGAGGATGCAATAATGTCCTAAATGGAGTGGAAGTTAAGAACAAAATGATCAAAAGAATTCTGGTCAATTGGCTAAGTCTTGTGGTTCCCTTGAGCAAGGCTGTTCTGTCTAGAAACCAGTAGTGTCCTTCTTCATCTTTGGAGACATCCTCTTATATCCATTTTTTCAGACAGAGATGTCTCTATTATTTAGGAGGTGAAAATTCATTACACAGTCACTTTATATTAGAATGTTGTCATCTATGTTTGTATGGGATGGGTGTGTGGATTTTTTTGGAGGTAGGGGAAAAATTGTCATCTCTGTAAAATAGCTATCATTAAAAATAGGGACAATATGTAAAGAGAACAGTACTGGTAGCCATTAGGGAAAATAGAACAGAGAGGAGCTATGAACCAAGCTCATTTATTTCAAACAAACGTGTTTTAAAAATAAAAAAATATGTATTTCCACGTTAGGGATTACATTTTAACATGAATTTTAGAGTGGATGAAAATTCCAACCATCACAAGCAGTGACTCCCTCTAGTAAATTTTTAATTCTGTTTTTATATTCTTTAGCTTCATAATTTTTGTTTTTTTAAGTTTTATCTCTTTGTTGATATTCTCATTTTCTTTATGAATTGTTTTTGTGATTCCATTTTGTTTTTTCTCTGTGTTCTCTTGTAGCTCACTGAGCTTCTTTAAGATGATTATGTTTAAACCCTTTCAGGTAATTCATTTTTTAATTTGATTTATTTTGTTCTTTTGATAGGCTAACACTTCTCTTATTTTTTATATTTCTTATCTGTGCATTGGTAACCATTTATTTGAAGAAACAGCCAGCCACCACAGTCATTACAGACTGACTTCTACAGTGAAGAACTTTCCCCAGTCAGTCTGGCTAGAGATTCTTGGAGCACTGCAAATCTTTTCTATGGATATGCCTTCTTTAGACTGTGCATGTAGTTTTCTTTCTTTTAAAAAAAATAATTAGTACAATTTACTTTTAAAAAAAAGTCCTATAATCTTTTCCTCTCTCTGGTGTGTGGCTGCTGTACCACGGATTATAACTGGAGAGACACTCTTTTCCCTCACTTTCTGGGGTGAAGCCTCAAGTTCTGTTTTTTTCCCAATCTCATCAAGCCATGCAGCCTTCAGCAAGTCATTTGTCCCTTTACTTTGTTCTAACCTACTCTCCAGTGTTAAAACGACACAGTTTCCATCAGTACTCTGTATGGAATGAAACTGGTTTTTCGGGCAGCGCTCTGAGAGGCCAGAGAACTTGGACACATGCTCTACTCTCTCTATTCCCTCAAGTGAAAAGTTGCATGTCTAGGTGATCTTTCTCAGTGCTGAGCTGCACTGGTTTAGGAGAGCAGCTAATGCAGGTATAGTTAGATTGCTCTTCTTATCCATTTCAATGTGGCCGTTCTCAGTTTTGTACTTATGTACAGCACTGCAACTTCTTCAATGAATATGCACATCTCATACAGATATCTTGGTTCATTTATCATTGTTAAATCTGTGTTTCTGTGGAGAAACAAGGGTGGGACTTTCTATTTTGCTGTCTTTCTGACATCACTCCCTGGGATCAATATAAAGTGTTTTAAATATAGCTTATTTTGACTCTTTCTGATTAAAATGTAAATCAGATAGATTAATAAAAAACACACAGAGAAAAAAAATAGACCTGTTGCAGCCCAAAAAGAGCAGATTTATCAGGCCAAGTACCTAAAATATGCCTTCGGTGGTTCTGTTTTCTTGTTAGCCATTACACTCTGAGGCAACATCATGATGCCAAATAGTGACAGTGAGAAGCCTCGCAATTCTGATCAATTTTCTATCTCAGACTTCATGCTCACTTCTCCTAAGTGGAAGGGCTTGTCTTTTCCATGTCCACCCAAACATCATTAATAACCACAAGTCAAGGGTTCTCCTAGTTAATTCTAAATCCAAGTTGTGCTAGTATGCTAAAAGGATTTACACATCCATCCTCCTGGGAAGCATGTGTGGTTATTAATACCAGTTTTATATAGGTTATGACACTACATCTGTGTTACAATTATTTATAGTAATGGTGACAAATGCAGGTCAGGTAAATAAAAAGATAATACATTTAATGATTGGGAAATCAATGGCTTTACTCAATACATATTGACAATTCTTAAATCTAAATGTATAGTTTACAAGTCTGTAAGCCAATAAGTTAAATACCTAATTACATACCCAATATCTTCACTTGGAGGTCACAATGGCACTTCAAATTGTGCATCTATACTCATGGATTCTGTTTTCACCCTCTGATCTTAATACACTATTCTACTGGCCACTGCTCTACCCTGATAAGAAACTGAAATTCTTGTTTCGCTCACACCTGCTCCTAAACAAATTATTTACATTATTAAGGAAATACTCTTCAAAAAAAAACTTCTTACAAATACAGAGTTCACTCTATTTTCAATGGCATTTTTTTCTTTATTTTTGAACAGGTTTCTTGAGGTAACATTTACTTTGGTGAATAAACCTTATTTTTTAGCAGATCATTGTATGGGTTTTAAATTCACATGCACTTGTGTTGCTAAAACCAAAATTAATATGTAAAACAGTTTCATTATCCCTCAGAATGCTGTCATGTGCCTTTGTACTCAAATCAACAACCCTCAGTCATGGGCACCATTTTGTTTATTTCTTATCCCTATACTTTTGACTTTTCTGGAATGTCATATAAGTAGAATTATTCAAAATATAAATGATTGTGACCTCTTTCACTCGGAATAATACACCTGAGATCCATCCATGTGATTGTAGAAATCAATAATTTGTTCCTTTTTTATTGCTAAGTAGTATTCCATTATATGGAAGTGTCACAAAGTTTGTGTCTATTCTTTTATGAAAAGGCATTTGAATTGTTTCCAGGTGTAATGGGCTGAATGTTTGTATCTTCTAAGAATTTGTGTTGAAACCCTGACCTCCAATGTGATGGCATTAAGGGATGAAGCCGTTGGGATATGATTAGATTATGAAGGTGACACTCTCATGAATGGCATTAGTGCCCTTGTAAGAGGGATCCCAGAATGATATCTCTCCTTTCTTCTGACATATTAGATACAGGAAACATGGCTTCACTAGACACAGAATCTTTTGGTGCATTGATCCTGGACTTTCCAGTCTCTAGAACTGTGAGAAATAGACCTTTGTTTAAGCCTCCCAGTCTATGGAATTCTGTTATGGCAGCCTAAATTTACTATGGCAAAAGGTTTGAACATTTAGGAATAAAACCACAATATATGTTTGTGTTTAAATTTTTGAGTGAACCTGAGTTTCCTTCCTTCCTTCCTTCGTTCTTTCTTTCCTTTCTTCCCCCCTTTCCTCCTTCCCTCCTTTCCTCCCTCCCTCCTTCCCTACTTCCCTCCTTTCCTCCTTTCTTCCTTTCTTTCTTTTTCTTTCTCTTTTTCTTTTTCTTTCTTTCTCTTTCTTACTTTCTTTTTCTCTTTCTTTCTTTCTTTCTTTCTTTCTTCTCTTTCTTTCTCTCTCTCTCTCTTTTTTTTTTTGACAGACTCTTGCTCTGTCACCCAGGCTGGAGTGCAGTGGCATGATCTTGGCTCACTGCAATCTCTGCCTCCTGGCTTCAAGCAATTCTCCTACTTCAGCCTCCTGAGTAGCCAGGAGGCGCCACCAAGCCCAACTAACTTTTGTACTTTTAGTAGAGACGGGGTTTCACCATGTTGTCCAGGCTGATCTCGAACTCCTAACCTCAAGTAATCTGCCCGCTTCCGCCTCTCAAAGTGCTGGGATTACAGGCATTATCCACAGTGCCCACCTGACTTTCCTTTCTGATCAATAAATTTCTATAATTGGGAAAACTTGGTCATACTGTAGATGTAAGTTTAACTTCGGGAGAATTTTTAAAATTCTTTTAGGAGTTATCTTTACAATTTTGCATTTTCAACAGCAATGCGTAAGTGTTTCAACTGTTCTACTTTCTTGCTAGATGCTGGTATTGTCAAATATATTTGCTTTCATCTATGCTAAGTGTGATAGTACTTTCTTATGCTTTGTAATTACATTTATTTTTCTAATGTAAAATGGGGTGCATATCTTTTTATGTGTGTTTTAGACATCTATAGATATATTCTTTGACAAAATACCTATTCAAATATTTTGCCTATGCTTTTGGTAAGTTTTTTTTGTTATGATTGAGTTTTGAGAAGTCATATATTCTATAGATACAAGTTATTTATCAGCTATGTACTTTGAAAATACATTATCCAAGAATTTGGCTTGTCTTTTTATTTTTTTAACAGTATGTTTTGAAAAGCAAAAGATTTAGTTTTAATGCTACCTATTTATCTATTTTTTAATAAATTGTATTATTGATGATATCTAAAAAAATTACCCAATGTGAAGTCACAAATATTTTGTCTTTTGTTTTCTTCCAGAAGTTTTAAAATCTTAGGGTTTCTATAAATGTATAATATCCTTCTTGAGTTTTAAAAACTTGTATGAAGTATGGGTCAAAGTTTTGTAAAAATTATTTTTATTTTTTGCATATGTGTATTCGAATGTTTTTGAAGAGTTGATCTTTTCTCTATCAAATTTTCTTTGTGCCTTAGAATAAAATAAAAGGACATATATCTTCTCTTTCTGTCTCTATGTGTGTGTGTTCATCTATTTCTTCACTGTCTTTTCTTAAACATAAATCTACATGTCTTTAATTTTGCCATTACTACATTGTCTGAACTGCTGTACACTTTATAATAAGTTTGGAAATCAGGTAGTTGAGTCTTCCAACTGTGTTGTTTCCTAAATTGTATTGGCTATTCCGGCTCATTTGCCTTTTTCATACATTTAGAATTAGCTTGTTCATTTCGATAACAATCTGTCTAAATATTTGGGAAGAAATACACGTCTTAAAATTACTAAGTCTTCTGACATACAAACACATTATATTGCTGCATTTATGTGGATCTTCTTTGACATCTTTCATCAGTATCTTGTATTTTAATCATATAGTAGTTGAACATATGTTGTTGGATTTATATTATTCTATAATTGTACTGCTATTATATATGATATGAGTTTGTTTCATTTTCAACTGTTTCTCACTAGGTTATATAAATATATTTTTGTATTCTAAGATTTTGTTGGATTCATTGAATAGTGCTATTAGCTTTTTATAGATTCCTTACAATTTTCACTACAATAATCATACCTTCTTTGAATTGAAAACTTTTTATTTCTTTCTCTATTTATTTTACTTACCTTACAGTGCTGGTAGGAAACCCAGTATCATGTCGAATAGAAATGGTGAGAGCAGACATCTTGTCTTTTTCCTAAACTTTGTGAGAAATAAGTGAGTTTAATCATTAAATTTAATCATTAAGTATAATGTTAGCTGTAGGTCCAGTGACTTTATCAGTGTGAAGAAGTTTTCTATCAATTCCTATTTTGACTTTTATTTCTCCTGTGCTCTACCACAGAGCACAGAGACCAGTGCTTATGTGTGCCCTCTTTTTGGAGGGACAAATTTTTTCATATATTTTATGCTACTTGGTTGCCCTGTAACTTCATTTATCTAGTGAATTTATTCAAACTATAACCTGGCGTATTTCTTCTTCTTGCATTGTGAGTGGTGTAATTTCCAACTTTCCATTTTAGATGAAGGCAGCATATGCTTCTTTTTCTTAGGTTAAAGTCCATATGTGCTTAACATGCTGCGTATTTTCAGTCCCTTTACTTTTCATGATTTCCACACATACATTCTTTGTTCATATTAAGATTACATAAATTTATTCCCAATGTCATTCTCTTGTGGCCCAAGAGTCTGAGCGCACTGTGATGTATGCCCAAAATATGACCCCATATTTCTATATAAAATTTACCAATGTCAATTATCCCTCACATCTAAGCATTTATCTCATTATTTTCTGGGAATCTTCCTTGACATTCAAAATTTGGATGTTGAATCTCTCTCCTTTTCTATAGTACTATAACATTATTTCTATACTCTTATAACTTAATAGTTCTCCCCCTCACTGGTTAGCACTGAAAACTAATAGATTTGTTAATCTTGGTCAATGTTTCAAAGCAGCCCTCTTCACAATAGCCAAAAGGTGGAAATAACCCAAATGTTCATCAGCTGATAAGTGGATAAATAAAATCTGATATATTCATACAATGGAATATTTTTCAGGACTAAAAAGAAATGAAGTACTAATACATCATACATCACAGATGTACCTTGGAAACATTATGCTAAGTGAGAGACACAAGAGGCCACATATTGTATGATTCAATATACATGGAATCAAAAACAGCAAATCATTCAATACAGAAAGCAGATTAGCGTTGCCAGAGAATGCAATAGGAGAAAATGGGAAGTGATTTCTTATTAGGCAAAGGGAATTCTTTTGGGGGTAATAAAAGAATTCTTAAACTAGATAGTGGTGATGATTGCAAAACTGTGAATGTAATTAATGCTAATAAACGTAATTTAAAATAGTTAAATGGTAAACTTTATATTATGTATATTTTATAACAATTAAATGTGATGATTCATATTATATATATAAATATATATAATATGAGTCTTTATATATGGCTTCACATATATATGTGAAGACACAACTTTTCCACTGGAACTCACATGCCCGATCTTTTTGAAATCTTGTTTGGATGGCATATGCTATAAAAGAAATTGGCTAATTTTTAGTTTCTACCACTGCTCTGTTAAAAACAGAGCATAAACTACAGAAATTAAATTCTGGTAAGCATCACAACTCAAACAACTTTATTAAAACTAAAGAACTATCTCTTTAAAATCTGCATTTTGACTTAAATTTTATTTCATCGTTTGGAATAAAAGTGCAATATGATATTTCTGTCCATATTTATGACACATGTACACATTAAAACAATGCTACATTATATATAATTGGAGATAGGCCGCATTTGATGTCAGTTTGTATATTGCTTCTATTCCCAGAAGAATGGAACAACCATAAATACTGGCTAATAGTCCCTACTTACACAAAAGTATTCACATATTATATGAACCAACCAAAGACAGGTTGTCGTAATAAATATCTTTCTTTGTCTTAGAATTTATGTAATCATTTCATTAACATTTTCTTAAGGACATTTTGCTGTTGCTATCTCCTGCACACTAATATACCACGATTTCTTTTTTCTAAAAGTTTTTTATGTTCATGATACAAGTTTAGGAAAAATTATTTAATAATTTTGCTTTTCTAAAAGACTTGACCTTTCTTCTCTGAGTTAAATTTCTACTTGATTGTGGCATTTTCATTTGATGTCAGCTACTTAGTTGATTTGATGAAGGCTCAAATGTATTTTGATATAATGGGGCACTTAGAAAAATGTTATTACCTTCTTAGATATTTAGTATTTCTTTTCAAAATGCAGATAGAAATATGTGTTAGCATTATCAAATGGTATATATTTTTCTAGGTGTTCTTAAGATAATATACTCAGATGTTAATCTTCTCTTTTCACATTCATAAACTAATAGCAAAAATGACCATTTAGCTTGTATTAGATGGAGTTCAAGGTCTATGTTTTAGATAGAAGAAGATTATACTTGGCTAAGGATACACCTTAGAATTCTTCAATGACTTCTAGAAAATGATAAAAAAGGTCAAATGTGAGAATCAGTGCTTTAAGATAATGACAAGCAAAGAGAAGTAGAATAAAGTATATATCACTTATTTTTATAGCTTAATAGGAAATATACATAAAATGAAACAAATTAATATTTAGTGGTGGAAACATGGTTTAATGAAAGAAAAGTAATAATCCATAGTTTAGCAGTTAACATCAGAAGCACGTTGGTGTGTGTGTGTGTGTGTGTGTGTTTGTGCACGCGCAGAGGACAGGGAGGGTCAGACACATGATCAAAATATTTTGGAACTTTGCCCTGCTCTGAAGTATTTTGGATTTGGATTAATTCATAAACATCCAGGCTAGAATTTCTTCTTTCTTTTCCTGGTCTTGAGCCTCTCTGCATTATCTTTCTTGTTTTTCCACACGTGTTTGCATTGAAGAAACTGACACAGATTTGGCATTTGTGGCTTTAAGTACTACTGAATTCTGAAATGAGGCCAAGAATGCTTAGAAACTCTGAGCTAATCAGTGTACTTAGTGCTGGAAGAATGTGGAGGAATTCGCTTCTCTATACTTCAAGATGGAGAACAAAAATAAACACAAAATCTTGTAAATTTGAAATTTCCTTCTCATTATACCCTATAACACAAAGTAGCAATCCATTTTAAACATCATTTTCAGGCAGATGCACTATTGCTGAAAAGTACATTTGAGTGAATATTTCTTTACTGTATATTTAGAACATGATGCGAATTTATATTCTGTGCAATACAGTTAGGGATTTTTAAAAAATGTAAGCCAGGGTAATCTTCATTAAATGTTATTTGTCTACAATAGAGAATACACATTTCTGAATTTCATATCCTGACAAACTAAGCTTCATAAATGAAGGAGAAATAAAGTGTTTCCCAGACAAGCAATTGCTAAGGGAATCCATCATCACCACACCAGCCCTACACTAGATACTAAAGGGGTTACTAAACATAGAAATGAAATAACAATACTTATCACTACAAAAGCACACACAAACATATAGCCCACAGACTCTATCAGCAACTACACAGTCAAGATGACAAAGCTTCTAGCTAACAAGATTATGACAGGAATGAAACCTCACATATCAACATTAACCTTAAACATACATGGCCTACCTGCTTCACTTAAAAGACGTAGAGCAAATTGGATAAGAAAACAAGACCCAACCTTCTGCTGTCTTCAAGAGACCCATCTCACATGTAATGACACCCATAGACTGAAAGTAAAGAGATGGATAAAGATCTATGATGCAAATAGAAAACAAAAAAGAGCCGGGTTCACTATTCTTATATTAAATAAAATAGGCTTTAAACCCACAGCAGTAAAAAAGAATAAAGATCGGCATTATGTAATGATAAAGGATTTAATTCAACAAGACTTACTTCTCTTAAATATATATGTACCTAACAATGCAGCACCCAGACTTTTAAAACAATTACTTCTAGATCTCAGAAAGGACTTTAATAGTCACATAACAATAGTCAGGAACTTCAACACCCCACTGGGAGAATTAGACAGTTTATTGAGGCAGAAAACTAACAAATTCTGGACATAAATTTGACACTTGACAACTTGGATCTAATAGATATCCACAGACTACTCCACCCAAAAAACAGAATATACATCTTTCTCATCTGCACATGGAACATACTCTGACCACATGCTCAATCAACACAAGTCACAATAAATTTTTAAAAACTTGAAAACATATCAAGAATCTTCTCAGGCCAGAGTGGAATAAAAATAGAAATCAATGCCAAGAGGAATTCTCAAAGCCACATGAATACATGGAAACTAAACAACTTGCTCCTGAATTACTTTTGGGTAAACAAGAAAATGAAAGCAGAATTAAAAAAATTCTTCGAAACAAATGAAAATACAGATACAACATGTCAAAACCTCTGGGACGCAGCAAAAACAGTTTTAAATGGGAAGGTTTGTAGTCCTAAGAGTCTACATTAAAAGGATAGAAATATCTCAAATTAACAACCTTAGCTCACAACTAAAGAAACTAGAAAAACAAGTACAAATGGAACCCACAGCTAGCAGAAGAAAAGAAATAATTAAAATCAGAGCAGAACTAAGTGAAATTGAGAAAAAAACAACAACAAAAAACAAAGGACTGACAAAATGAAAACTTGTCTTTTTGAAAAGATAAAAAGAGTGATAGACTGCTAGCTAGATTAACAAAAAAAGAGAAAAGATCAAGTACAATGAGAAATGACAAAGGAGACATCACAATTGCTCTCACAGAAATACAAAAGATTCTTAGATATTACTATGAGCATGTCTAGGTACACAGACTAGAAAATCTAGAGGATATTATGAATTCCTGGAAATACACAACCTCCTAAGATTGAATCAGGAAGAAGCAGAAATAATGAACAGACCAAGAGTGAGTAGTGAAATTCAGTAATAAAAACACCTATCAACCAAGACAAACCCTGGAGTAGATTGACTCACAGCTGAATTCTACAATATATATAAAAAACAGCTAGTGGCAATCCTATTGAAACTATTTCAAAAAATTGAGAAAAAGAGACTGTTCCCTAACTCATTTTATGAAACCAGTATCTGACACCAAAATCTGGCAAAGTCTCAAGATACAATATTAATGTACAAAAATTGGTAGCATTTCTACACACCAATAATAATCAGAGAGCAAAATTAAAATAATCTCATTAAAAATAAATTAAAATACCTAAGGTTACATCTAACCAAGAATGTAAAATACCTCTAAAAGGAGAACTACAAAACACTGCTGAAAAAAATCATAGATGACATAAATAAATGAAAAACATCCCATGCTCATTGAGTAGAAGAGACAATATCATTAAAATGTCCAAATTGCCCAAAGAAATTTACAGGTTCAGTGCTATTTCTATCAAATTACTAGTATAATTCACATAATTAGAAAAAACTATTCTAAAATTTATGTGGGAAGATAAAGGAACTCAAATAGCCAATGCAATCCTAAGCTAAAATAATAAATCTGGAGGTATCACATTATCCAACTTCAAACTATACTGTAAGAGTACAGCAACCAAAGCAGCATGGTACAAAAATAGACACGTATACCAATGGATCAAAATAGAGACCCCTGAAATAAAGCCACACACCTGCAGTCACTTGATATTTGACATAGTGGACAAAAATAAGAAATGTGGAAAGATACCCTATTCAATAAATGGTACTCAGAAAACTGGCTAATCTTATTAATAAGAATGAAACTGGACCCCGTACATTTCACCATATATAAAAATTAATTCAAGATGGATTTAAGACTTAAATACAATATCTAAAACTATAAAAATTCTAGTGGAAAATCTAGAAAATACTTTTCTGACATTGGCTTAGGAAGAAAATTTATGACTAAATTCTCAAAAGTAAATGCAACACAAAAAATTGACAACTGGACCTAATTAAACTAAAGAGCTTCTGCATACCAAAGTAAACTATCAACAAGGTAAGCAGACAACCCAGAGAATGGGAGAAAATATTTGCAAACTACCCATCTGACAGAGATCTAATATCTGGAATCTATAAAGAAAAACAGATCCAAAAATAAAAATAAATAACCCCGTTAAAGAGTGTTCAAAGGAAATGATCAAAAACTTTTTTTTTTTTTTTTTGACAGAGTTTCACTCTTGTCACCCAGGCTGGACTGGAATGGCCTGATCTTGGCTCACTGCAACCTCCACCTCCTGGGTTCAAGCGATTCTCCTGCCTCAGCCTCCCAAAGTATCTGGAATTACAGGCGCCTGCCATCATGCCCAGCTAACTTTTTTGTATTTTTAGTTGAGATGGGATTTCACCACATTGACTAGGCTGGTCTTGAACTCCTGACCTCAGGTGATCCACCCACCTTGGCCTCCCAAAGTGCTGGGATTACAGGCATGAGTAACCACACCCAGACGATCAGATACTTCTTGAAAAAAAAAAGACATACAAATGGCCAAGAGCATATCAAAAATGTTCCACATAATTGACCATTAGCGGAATGAAATAAAAACCACAATGAGATACAATCTCACAATGCTCAGAGTGGCTATTACTAAAAAATCAAAAAATAACAGATGTTGGCAAGGTTGTGAGGCAAAGAGAATGCTTATACACTGCTGTTCGTAATGCAAATCAGTTCAGTCACTTTGGAAAGCAATTCAAAGATTTCTCAAAGAATTAAAAGTAGAATTACCATTTAACCCAACAATCCCATTACTGGGTATATATACCAAAGAAAACAAAGCATTCTACCAAAAAGATACAAACACTTGTATATTTATTGCAGCACTATTCACAAGAAACAAAGACATTGAATCAACCCAAATGACCATCAACAGTGACTGGATAATGAAAATGTGGTACATATACAACATGGAATACTATTTAGCCATAAGAAAAAAATGAGATCATGTTATTTGCAGCTATATAGATGAAGCTGGAGGCCAATATTTTAAGCAAATTAATACAGAAACAGAAAACCAAATACCGTATGCTCACTTATAATTGGGAGCTCAACATTGTGTACATATGGACACAAATAAGGGAACAATAGACACCAGGGTCTACTTGCGGTTGGGGGATGGGATGACAGTGAGGATTGTTTGGAATCTGTGCTTATTTTCTGGGTGATTAAATAATCTGTACACCAGACCACCACAGCATGCAATTTAAGCATATAACAAACCTGCACATGTACCCCCACACATAAAATAAAAGTTGGGAGGAAAAAGAAAGCTGTGTTTACACTTTAATATAGTCTATTAATTGTGCAGTAGCATTACATTAAAAGCGTATGTCTTTTAATTTAAAATATAGCTTAAAAATGCTAACAATTATCCCAGCCTTCAGTCAGTCATAATCTTTTTGTTTGTAGAGGGTCTTGTCTTGATGTCGATGGTTGCTGACTGATTAGGACAGTGGTTACTGAAGACTGAGATGGCTGTGGCAATTTAAAAAAATAAGACAGCAATGAAGTGTGCTGGATGAATTCACTTTTATTTTCATGTACAATGTCTCTGTATCGTGCAATACTATTTCATACCATTTTACTCACAGTAAAACTTCTTTCAAAATTGGAGTAAACCCTCTCAAACCTGACACTGCTTTATCACCTAAGTTTATGTAACTTGTTGTCATTTTAACAGTGTTCACAGTACCTTCCCCTAAGGTTGCACCTCAAGGAACTGGAAGAACAAGAACAAACTAAACCCAAAGTTAGCAGAGGTAATAAATTAATAAAGATCAGAGCAGAAATAAATAAAATAGAGACTAGAAAAACAAGAGAAAAAATTAAAAAACAGAGAGTTGACTTTGTGAAAAAAAATTGAGAAACCTGTACTTGGACTAAGAACAGAAAAATAAGACTCAAAATAAAAAAGAAAAAAGGAGACTTACAACTAAAGCAACAGAAATACAAAGGGTCATGAGACTGTTATGAAAAAAATTACACCAACAAATTGGACAAACTAGAAGTAACAGGAAAATTTCTTTTTCCTAGATGCACGCACTCTACCAAGACTCAATTATGAAGAAATAGAAAACCTTAACACCAATAATAGGAAAATTGAGTGAATAATAAAAAGTCTCCCACCAAAGAAAAGCCCAGGATCTGATGGCTTCCCTGCCGAACTCTATCAAATATTTAAATAATGAGGGCCAATTCTCAGATTCTTCCAAAATGTGGAAGAGGAGGGAACTCTTTCAACCTCGTTTTACAAAGCCAGCATCATCCCAATACCAAATTTGCCAATATCAAAGCCAGATAAAGACATACAGAAAAAAAAATACAGGACAATATGCCTGATAAATGAACATTGGTGCAAAAATTCTCAACAAAATACTAGCAAACTAAATCCAAAAGCACATTTAAATGATCATTCTCCATGATCAAATTGGTTTCATTCCAAGAATGCAAGAATGGATCAACAAATGTAAATCAATAAATATAATATATCACATTACCAGAATGAAGAACAAAACCACATGATCACTTCAATAAGTGCAGAAAATTGTTCAACACAATTTAAAATCATTTTATAATAAAAACCTCTTAATAATTAGGCGTGGAATGTATCTTAACACAATACATGCTATATATGACAAGCCCACAACTAACACCTTAGTCAACTGTGAAAAGGTGAAAGCTTTTTTCTAAGATTCAGAAAAGGACACAACATGGTACTGGAAGTCCTAACCAGAGCAATTAGGCAAGAGAAAGAAATAAAAAAGCATCCAAATTGAAAAGAAAGAAGCTAAATTGTTCCTCTTTGCAGACAAGATGATCTTATACACAGAAAACTCTAAAGGATCCACCAAAAAACTGTTAAAAATAATTAATGAATTCAGTAAATTTGAAAAATACAAAATAAACATGAAAAAATTGTTTTTCTATACACTAAAATCAAGCAACCTAAAAAAATTAAAAAATAATTTTATTTATAATAGCTACAAAAATAAAATAGGAATAAATTTAACTTAAGAGGTAAAAGATATCTACACTAAAAGTAGGGAACATTGATGAAAGAAATTACTAGTCATTAGAGAAATGCAAATCAAAACCACAGTGAGATACCATCTCACACCAGTTAGAATGATGATAATTAAAGTCAGGAAACAACAGATGCTGGCAAGGATGTGGAGAAATAGGAACACTTTTACACTGTTGGTGGGAGTGTAAATTAGTTCAACCATTGTGGAAGACAGTGTGGTGATTCCTCAAGGATCTACAACCAGAAATAACGATTTAACCCAACAATCCCATTACTGAGTATATACGCAAAGGATTATAATTCATTCTACTATAAAGACACATGCACATGTACGTTTATTGCAGCACTATTTACAATAGCAGAGACTTGGAACCAACTCGAATGCCCATCAATAATAGACTGGATAAAGAAAATGTGGCACATATACACCATGGACTACTATGCAGCCATAAAAAGGATAAATTCACGTCCTTTGTAGGGACATGGAAGAAGCCGGAAGCCATCATGTTCAGCAAACTAACACAGGAGCAGAAAACCAAACACCACATTTTCTCACTCATAAGTGAGAGTTAAACAATGAGAAAACATGGACACAGGGAGGGGAAAATCACACACCGGGGCCTTTTAGTGGGTGGGAGGCAAGGGGAGGGAGAGCATTAGAACAAATACCTAATGCATACAGGGCTTAAAACCTAGATGACCAGTTGGTAGGTGCAGCAAACCACCATGGCACATGTATACCTGTGTAACAAAGCTTCATGTTCTGCACATGTATCCCAGAACTCAAAGTAAAATTAAAAAAAAAAAAGCAAACTAAAAAAAAAAGGAGACACAAATAAATTTTAAGAAATTTATGCTAATGGATTAGAAGAATTAATATTGTAACAATGTTCATATTAGCCAATGTGACCTATAGCTTTAACACAATCCCTATCCAAATAACAATAACATTCTTCACAGAAATAGAAAAAAAAAATCCTAAAATTCGCATAGAATCACAAAAGATCCTAAAGCCAAAGCAATATTGAGCAAAAAGGACAAAACTGGAGGCATCACATTACCTGACTTTGAAACATACTACAAAGTTACAGTAACCAAAACAGCATGGTACTGTCATTAAAAACAGACATATACACCAATGGAACAGAGTAGAGCTCAGAAATGAACCCAAACATGTACAGTCAACTGATCTTTGGCTAAAATGCCAAAAACACACTTTCATGTTTATTATAGAATTATTCACAATAGCTAAGATATGGAATAAACCTAATTGTCCACCCACAGGTGAGTGGATAAGAATAATGTAGTATTCATACAAAATGAAATACTATTCAGTCATAAAAAAGAATCAAACCCTGTTATTTGTGACAGCATGAATGAACCTGCAGGACATAATGTTAAGTGACATAGGCAGGCACAGAAAGACAAATCCCTCATAATCTCACATATATGGAATCGAAAATGTTTGATTTCTTAGAAGTAGATCATACAATGGTGGTTACTAGGAGCTGGGGTTGTTGGGGTGGTGGTTGAGCAGATGTTTGTTAAAGAATACAAAACTGTAGTTAGATAGAAGGAATAACTATATCTATTGTACTAAATAGTGACTATAGTTAATATATTGCATTCTTGAAAAATGCTAACAGGATGGATCTAAAGTGTTTTCACCACAAAGATGAAAATTATGTGAGGTAATGCATATGTTAATTAGCTGGATTTAATCATTTTACAACATATATACTTCAGAACATCACATATAATCTTATCTGTCAATTTAAAATAAAATACCAAAAAGAAATTATTTTTGTTTAAAATAGCATCAAAATAGCATACTTAGAAATTATTTAACAAGAGAAATGAAAGACTTCTATGCTGAAAACTGTAATTTATTGTTGAGCAAAGAATGAATAAATAAATAAATGAAGATTTACATAAAATAGGAGACAATGCATATACTTGAATTAGAAGACTCAATATTGTCAAGATTTTTCTCATTCCCAAATTGATCAATAGAGTCACACAATTCCTTTTAAATAACTAGCAGTGTTTTTATTTTGCAGAAATTGATAACCTAACATAAAATGAATACAGAAATTTAAATGATTTAGAATAGCCAAAACAATTTTGATAAAAGGGAATGAAATTGAAGGACTTAATCCAATTTCAAAACTTACAATAAAGCTATAGTAATCAATCAAAGAGAGTGTTTTTAGCACTAAAACAGGCTTATAGATCAATATAACATTTTAACATTGGTGCCAAAACAATTTAAGGACAAAATGACACTTTTTTTCAGCAAATAAATTGAACAGTCACATTAAAAAATCTGAGATCCATACTGAAAATTAACCAAAAATGAATCATAGACCTCAATTTAATAGTTAACACTATAAATCTTCTAGATTGCAACATAACAATAAAGCATTATGATGTAGGATTGGAAAATGAGATAAATACAACATTAAAAGCCCAATTCATTGATAAGGTGTAATAAAAATTGAAAACTTTTGCACTTTAACAAAACAAATTTAAGAAAATAAAGCAGTTGCAGATAGGAACAAATGCTTGTGAATCATATATCTGATCAAAAACTTTTATTTAGAATATTTCAAGTTTTTATCCAGTTAAAACTCAATAATAAGGCAAACAACCCAATTAAAATTTGAGTACAAGATTTGAATAGATATTTCACTAATGAAATATGAATTACTAACAAGCATATAAAATGATGCTAAACTTAATTAGACATCAGGGAGAAGCAATTAAACGAACACTGGAATAACTAGCAGAAAATGCCGTATTTGCTAGAATATAGAAAACTATATCCCTCAATATTGCTTGTGAGAATATAAAATAGTAAAGCTATTTTGGAAATGATTTAACAGTTTCTTAAAAATTAAACATAAACTGACCGTAGGACCCACAAATTCAACTCCTACATATTCTCCAAGAAAAATTTTAAAAATCCACGTGAAGATATATGTGAGAATGTTTTCAGTAACATTATGCATAACAACCGAAAAACAAAAACAATCCAGATGACCATCAACTGTTTCGCAATAAAAAGGAATAAAATTCTAATACCTATTACATACTACTAATAATATGTGCTGCAACATAGATTAACCTCCAGAAATGCTGAGTGGAAGAAGAAAGATGCAAAAGATGACCCATTGTATGGTTCAACTTATATGTAATATCCAGAAGAAGTCTATTTATAGAGACAAAAAGCATAACATTGGCCCTTTGGGCCTGGTAGTGAGATAAGGGAGTGACTGTAAATAGGTACAAGCTTTCATTTTGTGTCATAAAATGTTCTAAAACTGAATTGTGGAAATGGTTACATGACTCCAAAAGTTCACAAAAAATCATTGAATTGTGTACTTGTAATGGGTGAAATATAAAGTATGTACATTATACTTCAGGGTGTCTAGGGGAGGGATAGCATTAGGATAAATACCTAATGTAGGTGACGAGTTGATGAGTGCAGCAAACCACTATGGCATGTGTATACCTAAGTAACAAAACTGCATCTTCTGCACATCTACCCCAGAACTTAAAGTATAATAAAAAAAGAAAAAAAAGTTTTAAAAGATGATTAAATACAATGAACTGCCTTTTATCAGACAGAAGAATTAGGTAAAGCCATTAACTTAATAGGAGACTTACATTCCCAATCTCTTAGTTACCTTTATATCTAAAAAAGGATTTTCTCATTTTAAGCATAGAACAGTCAAAATTTGAATCTTAAAATTTATATCTATTAGAATCTAGTATGATTTATTTTAAAATTTTATTGACATAGAAAATATCAGTTTGACCATTCTATAATTTCAAGTATCTTATCCAAAGATAAGTGATCTTTAATAGAGGAATTTTTGTTTGAATGATTTTCAATAATTAAAGAGATAAAAGCTTTCCATGTGAAATGCCAATGAATTCGGGTAATTCTGACCATTTATATTACTGCCTGTAGTCTACTACATTACCCTGTTCTCTCTTATTGAATCATAATGAGAAAAAAATGTAAGATATGTGATGGATAAAAATATAGAGAAATGTAATTGTTAGAATTAAATAATTCTTCATTCTCCTTTCTCAATTCACTGTTACAAAAATGTTTGAACATGTATTAAATAAAAGGGAAATGCATATAGGTATATGATTGTAATAGTTCAGTTAGATGTTTATCAAATAACATAAAATGATTTAAATTTCTTTCAAGAAAATTAATAATGCCACAGCACTTTCATAGTTTAGGACAATGTTAGTAGTTTTTAACTTTTTAGGACATATTCTTACTCTACCTTTTCCAGTAGTATTGTTTGTTTTCTTCTGAGACTTCTAGCCTTCTTTGATCGTTGGCAAGGTTTATGATTTGATTAGAATTTTATTTATAAAAATAGGTGGTAGGTAAAATTTAGCCTGTGGGTTGTAGTTTGTAGAAACTTGCATAAAATCAGAAGCCTAGTCAATGAGTAAAAATACATTGACTAAAATAAGTGTTGTTCCTTTATCCCAAACCATGGCAAAGTAGTATCTTGTCTTTATTATTATATATTTACAAAGTAAATATATGATATATTAAATATATATTACATATAGAATTTACATTATATATAATGTAAATTATTTAGCTACTTTGGATTATTTGAGAAGCACATTCCAGCTCTGAAAGGAAGAGAAGGGAGAACAAAATGTACTTTGCAGAAATGCTAAAGGAAGGACATCTTTAATGCTGTTTCATAAGGCCGAATGGAGTTAAGATAATCAGCCCTAGAAAATTCTGTAGTTGTTATTTTTGCAACTTTTTCTATTGCTAAATGATTAGAAAATTCAATTATTGAAAAGAACTAGTAAACATAACTTGGCCATCAACAGACCTTGTAGTGTGCTATAGTGTAATAGAAGAGCTTCCATATTTTTCTATTTAAAGGCCATTAAATAGAACCAATTTTCACAAGTTGGGTTTTAATTAGAAACTCCCTTTTTTTTCTTTTATTATTATACTTTAAGTTTTAGGGTGCATGTGCACATTGTGCAGGTTAGTTACATATGTATACATGTGCCATGCTGGTGCGCTGCACCCACTAACTCGTCATCTAGCATTAGGTATATCTCCCAATGCTATCCCTCCCCCCTCCCCCCACCCCACAACAGTCCCCAGAGTGTGATGTTCCCCTTCCTGTGTCCATGTGATCTCATTGTTCAATTCCCACCTATGAGTGAGAATATGCGGTGTTTGGTTTTTTGTTCTTGTGATAGTTTACGGAGAATGATGATTTCCAATTTCGTCCATGTCCCTACAAAGGACATGAACTCATCATTTTTTATGGCTGCATAGTATTCCATGGTGTATATGTGCCACATTTTCTTAATCCAGTCTATCATTGTTGGACATTTGGGTTGGTTCCAAGTCTTTGCTATTGTGAATAATGCTGCAATAAACATATGTGTGCATGTGTCTTTATAGCAGCATGATTTATAGTCCTTTGGTTATATACCCAGTAATGGGATGGCTAGGTCAAATGGTATTTCTAGTTCTAGATCCCTGAGGAATCGCCACACTGACTTCCACATTTGACTGAAACAATGATACGGAGACACATTCCATAAATATTAATTCCAAAAAAATATATAAAAATACTGTTTTTACTCATTCTCACTTTTTACATTCAATTGTTTGCTTTCCACTACCCTATGTAGATATAGATAGACTTAGTTATAAATAAAAATACAGATACATTTGTTTAGCAAATACTTATTTGATATTATGCCAGGCATTAGCAAGGTTTTGGGAGAGGTACATTAGCAAGGTTTGGAAAACTAACTAACAGTAGTGGATAGAAGCATTTCAATTTCTTTTGTTATCAAATTATACCTTCTTTGCTTTGGCAATTACCCTACAATGGCTTAAGATGTGACTTGCAAAATTTCATGTGCTGGGGTAAGGACTGCTGCAATTTCTGCACTCCTTTGAGGATGGTTCACATTCCAGAAGGAGGTGTATAAGTAGTCATTAAATGAGCCAAAACTTTCAAATATTCCTAGATTGTATTTCCCAGATTTTGCTGACTTTCTTCTTTATTTAAAATATTTTTCTTATCTAGTGGCTTTAAATTTACTCTGAAATCACCTTAAATATCTATCTATTTATCTTTTACCTGCTGTTCTAAAATGTAAGTGCACACAAAATTACCTATAGGGCTTGTTAAAAAATGTCTACTTTCCAGATCACAACACTAGAGACACTGATCCAGTGAATCTGGGGCTGAGCCTCAAAAGGCAGCATTTTATGAAGCTCCCTAAGAAGTTCTTATGCAAATGGATCAAGACTATATAGATCAAGAAACCATAGTTTAGATTGATTGCAAAGATTTTCTCCCACTCTGTGGGTTGTCTGATTAGTCTGCTGATTATTTCTTTTGCTGTGCAGAAACTTTTTTAGTTTAATTAAGTCCCATCTATTTATCTCTGTTTTTGTTGCAATTGCTTTTGGGTTCTTGGTTATGAAGTCTTTGCCTAAGCTAACATCTAGAAGTGTTTTTCTGATTTATTGTCTAGAATTTTAATGATTTCAGGTTTTAGATTGGAGTCCTTGATCCATCTTGAGTTGATTTTTGTATAAAAAGATAAATGAGGATCCAGTTTTATTCTTCTACATGTGGCTTGCCAATTATCCCAGCACTGTTTGTTGAATAGGGTGTTCTTTCTCCACGTTATAGTTTTGTTTGCTTTGTCAAAGACCAGTTGACTCTAAGTATTTGGATTTATTTCTGGGTTCTGTTCCATTGGTCTATATGCCTATTTTTATATCAGCACCATGCTGTTTTGTTGATTATGGCCTTATGGTATAGTTTGAAGTCAAGTAATATAATACTTCCAGGTTTGTTCTTTTTGCTTAGTCTTCCTTTGGCCATGCAGGATCTTTTTTCATTCCATATGAATTACAGCATTTTTTTTCTAATTCTGTGAAGAATGATGGTGGTATTTTGATAGGAATTGCATTGAATTTATAGATTGCTCTTGGCAGTATGGTCATTCTCACAATATTGATTCTACCCATTCATGACCATGGGATGTGTTTCCATTTGTTTGTGTCATCTATGATTTTTTTCAGCAGTTTTTTATAGTTTTACAACAAAGTACTAATATCCAGAATCTCCAAGGAAGTCAAACAAATCAGCAACAACAAAACAAACAATCCCATCAAAAAGTGGGCAAAAGACAGGAATAGACAATTCTCAAAAGAAGATATACAAATGGACAACAAACAGATGAAAAAATGCCCAACATCACTAATTATTCTGGGAAATTCAAATAACCACAATTCAATATGACTTCACTCCTGCAAGAATGATCATAATAAAAAAATCAAAAAATAATAGTTGTTGGCTTGGATGTGGTGAAAATGGAACACTTATACACCGTTGGTGGGAATGTAAACTAGTACAACCACTATGGAAAACAGTGTGAAAATTCCTTAAAAGCACATCTACCATTTGATCCAGCAATCCCACTCCTGGGTATCTACACAGAGGAAAATATGTGGTATATGGGTATATATATATACACACATATATATAGTATGTATAGATGTATATATAGTATATATACACATATATATAGTATGTATAGATGTATATATAGTATATATACACATATACATACACGTATATATACACACACACGTATATATATACACATATCTATATACCATGGAATACTACTCAACCATAAAAAGGAACAAAATAATGGCATTTGTACCAACCTGGATGGAATTGGAGACCATTATTCTAAATGAAGTAACTCAGGAATGAAAAACCTAACATTGTGTGTTATCAGTCATAAGTGGAAACTAAGCTATGAGGATGCAAAAGCATAAAAATGATACAATGGACTCTGGGGACTCAATGTAAAGTGTGGGAGCCAGGGTGAGGGATAAAAGACTATACATTGGGTACAGTGTGCACTGCTCAGGTGATGGGTGCACCAAAATTTCAGAACTCACCTCTAAAGAAGTTATTCATGTAACCAAACACCACCTGTCCCCCCCCCAAAACTATTGAAATAAAAAATTAAATTTTAAGAAATAAAAATAAAAACAAATAAAATAAAATAATCTTAATGGTTTACCATTTAATCCTTGAAACAATCCTGGGAGGTAGAATTTTTTTCAGGAGTGTTACACCTTTATCTTTCTGTATGGTTATAAACAAGTCTGATTTTTTTTCATCAAATAGAGATGAGTGGCAAAAAAAGAGAGAAAGAAACAATACTTTATTCCAAACTAATATTTATATGTTCTCTAATTCTAGATTTTACTGAACAACTCTTTCCAAATCAGTGCACAGCTGCCACTTAGCTCAAGAAATATTAAAAGAAGTGTGTAATACACAGTTACAAGGTTTTGGAGAATAAAATGTCTTCATCTCAAGTGAAAATTAAATGAGATAGTCACATATCATGGGTCAGTTATCCATGGGGGTCACATTTCTACACATCTTGCAAGCAGAGACACTGACAGCTTTCATTCTGAGCTCTGTTTTCAAGGATTACAAATAATTAAAAATATAGAAAGTACATTCATTTAGGGCAGAGGGCAGATTTGTTTACTCTCTAGTGTAATGCAGATAATTACTCCAGTGTAACAAAGATAATGAATCTGACCCAGTTGTCCCATCAAGCTGATGTTTATAGTTTCTTTGAATAAATATAGATATTGTTCCTCCCAGTCTTAAAACTTTAGAAATTCTAGTTACATTCATTTTATCTGAGTTCCTTTCTCAGGAAACCAACCAACAGGCTTCAGAGATAGCAAGGAGCTGAAACTCACCAGTTCACTGCATTTGGACAATGAGATGTCAGACCCCTCACCCATCATGATAGCCTAAATGACCACCTGCTCTCTGTTGACCAACCCCTCTCTTATCCTTCTCTAATTCCTGTTTCCCTACGCATGGTTACATTTCTTTCCTGGCATATAAACTCCTCATTTTAATTGGTCAGGAAGATGGATTTGAGACTGATCTCTCATCTCTTTAGCTGCAGCACCCAATTAAAGCCTTCTTACTTGGCAATACTCATTTTTTCAGTGATTGACTTTCTGTGCAGCAAACAGCAGTATGTAGCCCAAACACCTGGTGTTTCAGTCACAATAATTTGCCTAGCTTCAGGAAAAAGAGCAAGTTCACTTACAGATCCATATAAAAGACTCAAGTTTTCTAAACTTAAGTTCTCTCTTCTGTAACACAATTCATTGCAGGTGCAGGCTTCACCTGATGATTTCAGGATGATCAGATCTTCTTGTGGGAACTGAGGCTCAGGCAATAAGGGTAGGAAAATGGTGGTACTCCCATTACTGCTATTTCTATGAGGAATTACTCCCCTTTGTCTCTGATCCAGAAATATTTTGTATTCTTTTAGTATTCATGACATTGTGACAAGCTATCTTGTTAGTTTGCAGGTATTATAAAATCTCAGGTGTTTGTAGTTCTTGATATAACCTATACTTTATAGATTTATAATTAAGTACAACACGTAATTTTCTACTATTGTAGACATCTTTAAACTACATTCCTAAAATAACAGTAAATGGATACTTAAATATGTTTTGTAAAAATGATGAAGACATTAATTTGAATTATATAATGGTCTCATAGAATACATGATTAAGGAAGTATGTAATGTATAATTTTTATACCACTTTTGATGAATATATTTAAACATCTTAAATAAAATAGATTTAGAGGAACTAAAGGAAATTTTCTCTAAAACATAAGTTGAGCATGTTAGAAAAATCAACACAGTTGTCTTATACTTGGATGAAATATATACCTTTTATTTCCTACTTGGAAAGTAATTATGACAAAACTTTCATAAAACGTTTCTCCACATGTGAAATATTAGCTACTTTTTTTGCGTGGAGATCCCCAATGCTCTATTGTGCCTCTGACAATGTCCCTTTAATCTGATGAATGTGTTTGTGTTCAATGCAAAGTAGTTGAAATAACCTAAAATGCCTTATCCTCCTGATGTGATATGAATTTACAGAAGGTTCTAAAGAAAATACTGCTTGGGGCTGAGAACATTATGAATATTTCAGTGAAACTGAAACTGTCAAAATATAGAAGTAAATGCCTGTTGGTTATGTAGAATAAATGAATGGAAAGATGACAGTTGAAAATTATAATACATCCTTCCCAACAGATTTGTTCTGTATTGGAGACCTTACTGGGAAATTGAAATGGAAGAACTATAATAAATTTGAGAAATAACAGTGATTTAAAGTTATATAATAAATTCATTAACCTATGATGAACAGAGATATTATTAAACTTGAAGAGATAACTACTAGTAGCCATTATGATATTGTAAATAATGGTCTGCTAGAAAAAAAGGTCCATTTTAAATTTCTTGTTGCATAGAGGGGATTTTACATTATAGTAATATAGAAACAAGAGAAAATTTGTATTGTATAAAATGAAAGTTTTAATTATCTATCCATTCATTTTGCATTCAACATTTATTTGGCATTTACTTTTTGTCAGCCATTGAGGGATTAGGGATAGTAATTAGAGATAGTAATTACCATTAAAGTTAAAAAAGAAGAATAGAATTTAAGAATATAAGGATATATGTGAGGTCTAAAGGGTAGATAAGTTAACATTTAAGTATATTCTATGTAATAAGTACTAGATAATATTAATCTCATATGGCATAAAAGACACACTGAGAAAGGCAGCTATGGTTTGAATGTGTCCCCCAAAGTTTGTGTTACAAACTTAACCCCCAGTGCAACAATATTAGTAAGTGGAAACTTTGAGATAATTAGGGTCATGAGGCTCTGCTCTCATGAATTGATTAATGTAGTTATTGTAGGAATGGGTTCCTTATGAAAGTGAATTGAAGCCAAGTATAGTGGTATATGCCTGTAGCCTCAGCTACTCAAGAGGCTGAGGCAGGAGGGTTTATTGTTCTCAAGAGTTTGAGGCCAGCCTTGAAAACTTAGAAACAGCCTATCTCTAAAAAAAATAAAAATAGAAATAGAGTGAGCTGGGCCCTCTTTTGCTGTCTTGAATGTATTGCCTCACCACTTAATGCTTTCCACTGTCTCCTGATGCAGCAAGAAGGCCCTCCCCAGATCCAGACCCTTGATCTTGGACTTCCCAGCCTTCAGAACTGTGAGGAATCAATCTCTGTTCTTTATAAATTACCCAGTCTGTTATTTATACTGTATTCTGTGCTAGCAGCACAAAATGGACTAAGACTGATGTCCTAACCCAGAATAAGTTATTAGAGATATCCTGAAGTAAGCCTTATAGGGCAAGTAGGGCCCATGTGAACCCAATAGAGTAGAGGGCCATGACAATGTATAGGCAAAGAAAAGAAAAAAACGAAAGACATAATCCAAATTTGAGAACTGCAAGTAGTTCATTGTAGTGACACTATAGAGTACAGATGGCCATAAAATCAACTCTGGTCCAAACCCTGTCTCTTACTTTTTTTTTTTTTTTTTTTTTTTTGAGACGGAGTCTCGCTCTGTTGCCCAGGCTGGAGTGCAGTGGCGCGATCTCAACTCACTCACTGCAAGCTCCGCCTCCCGGGTTCACGCCATTCTCCTGCCTCAGCCTCCCTAATAGCTGGGACTACAGGCGCCCACCACGACGCCCGGCTAATTTTTTGTGTTTTTAGTAGAGACGGGGTTTCTCCGTGTTAACCAGGATGGTCTCAATCTCCTGACCTTGTGATCCGCCTGCCTCGGCCTCCCAAAGTGCTGGGATTACAGGCGTGAGCCACCGCGCCCAGCCCGTCTCTTACTTTTAACAAGTTACTTGCTTTATCTAGTGTCCTCTTGTCCTTATATAAAAAATACTGTAGGTAAACAAGTTCTTTAACTTTTTTTCAAATTATAATTATTTATGATCCTATGGATTTCAAAACATTTGCTTGAAATTCTACTATGGACTAAAAACTTTTTCTAAAATGCTGTTAATATCGTATTATCTGTGAAGTTAATCAACCTACGCAAAATTTTAAGACCAGTGGAGATCATTTTATCAGCTTTCTCATATCTTTACTCAGTTTAATTCCTGAAGCCTAAACTGTGTTATCCAAAAAACATTTTATGAAACTTTATTTGGCATATCCATTAAAAGCAGGAAATCCAAATCCTGCATCCAGTCGTGTGTTATTTCTTACCTACCAAAGTTACTTGTTCAATAAACTATATTTATACATTTTTACTAAGCAATATAACAAGTTAATTCATAATGAAAAAATCAATCAATCAATCAATCAGTTATCCTAAATAGAATTTCTTTTCCAATTTTATTTTGCAGATTATTGCTGGAATGAGCTTTGGTTTAATCCAGATACACATATTACAGATGGTGGAGTGAGGTCACAGTAATAAGTACTGAAAAAAAATTGGTGGTTAGAACCTTTTAATAGCTTCCATGAAAGCGTTCTTCTACCTACCTAGGCATAAGGAAAATCCTCATGTCCTTAACATTAGCCAGGTGCAGACATAACTCTGTGGGTTTTGGGTTTAAACATAAGAAAGACAGAAGAAAATAGGCCAGAGAATTAGAAGACTTCGTTAGTGCTGTTTTTCTCCTATTTAGTAGCAGTGTCCCTAAGTAATCCATTTACCTTCCAGAACTTTAGTTCTCTCTTCTTTTAGCACGTAGAACATAACTACCTTTAGTTCTGTTGTAATAATCGAATGAAGAAATATATTTGAAAGCTCTTTATAAAGTCTGTAGATAAGAAAAGTGAATGAGGTGGAATAGATAAGGAAGTGGATGAGGTGAAGGTCATAACTTTGAGGAACGGAGAGAAAACTTTGAGGGTCACGTGGGGCAGTCAGGAGAGTTTATTTGAAGGTAAAGGTGACTGGTTATTTAAAGGGTTCCATGAATTGATGAATTGTGTATTTTTCAGTTGCCAGGTATTATAACTTAGATTACTGTAAATAATACAATTTTATGAATATGTTTTAATTGCATCTAACTCTTGCTAGGAGCACAGGTGTGACATCACCCTGATGATATCCTCCACCTCCAAGATTTATTTTCCATACTCATCCAGGATATGAAAATGGTCGGAAAAGAGCTGGCAAAGAGGATATAGACATAGCCCCACACATACCACAAGGCTGCACCACCTCCATTCATTCCTGAAAATTATTTGGTTATCTGAGGACCACTCCATCCCTAACACTGTCAAGACATTTATTTACCCTCTCAAAAACCACAATATTAAAATAAGCCCAGCATCTGTTTCACCTTTTTGTGTTCTAGTTGCAACTAATTCTTTATTTAAATTTTACTTAAGCCCATTTATGGTGTTACTTACAACTTGGACTACCTTGAATAAAACTTTTACTAAAAAGGCCTTGGAATCCAAATTGCAATATCATGGGCACTCTTTTTAGTATTCACAAGAATCCCCTTTATTGTAAAGAACTTAGCAATATTCTGTTATTCCTCCTGTAGTCTCTGGGTTACCCATGATGACCAAAAATGGTCCATTGGTTCTAAGCAAGAAATTACCTGCCTCAGCTTCACACTATATGCTATTAGAGTGACAATTGGTGATCGCATATTTTGATCACCTGGAAATAGAGTCTCTCACAGGCCCTTAGCCTGTAACCCTCCATTTCCAGATGTCCATTATGCCTTGGTTTATAGAAGCTTTATTCTATGGCTAGGCACAGCCAAAAGCCTTGTTGTTGAAAAGAAAATTGTACCTATAAGCTAGAACCAGTACTGGACAGTTTGGTGTATCATATTTAGTCCATTGCCAAATGACATGATGCTGGAGAAGGCCACTCATCTCTTAGATCTCTTGACTACTTGGGACATTTCCTGTGAATTTCAAAGGGAAATTGTACGTTTATGGATGACAGTGCCACCATTACATGTCATGAAGCTTGTTGGGGAGCTACTGTTTTTCACCGCTTAACTGAAATACCTGATAAATGATGAGGCCCAAGGGTTAGCACAATTACCTGAACTTCGAGTAGTCATCTTAACAATGAATTTTCTTGAAAATAATAAGCCCTGTCAGAACACTTTTTACAGACTCTTGGGCAATGGCCATTTATTTGACTGTCTGATATAGCCAATGGAAACCACAATTTCTTATTCTAGTGTATTCCTTTAGGGCAAAGAATTCTGGAGTCTCATACTGCACAGATTTTGAACATGTGTACTACAAATCAAAGACACACATGTCTCTACACATACTAAAGCTACAATGTAAGTCCCCACAAACATGCTCCTTTCCCCTTCAGAATTGGTCATTATTATTTTGAGTAATGTTATTCGAATTACATAATTCCTCTTTAGGCATTATTAAAATGAATGGTCAAAGCATTCAGTTTATTACTTAAAATACATAATGCTGGGCTTTTGAACAAGATGTTCAATGGAACTTCTGGCTTCTTTATCAACCTGAGGCTACAGGCCTCATAGAATATCCCAATGATTTATCTAAACAGTTTCAAATGCAAGTAAATGAAGCAAGCAATTTCAATCATCACTTAAACATCAAAAGTAAATTATAATAAAGCATTTTACTCTAATTTTGATGATTGACTTCTGATATCTTTCAATCCCCATTTCCCCTTTCTTTCCCACAGCTGGGAATGCTGATAAGAAAGCCTGCATGCTCTCTTATTTGGTGACGGTAGGAAGCTGAAACCTGGCTCTTGTGAGGCACCCTTTAGCGCAGCTTTATCCCTTCACCACTATAAAACCCCAAGCCAGTCACTCCTCTCTGATATTTTGGCTCTATCTGCACTTACTTGGAATTATGTGAGAGCCTTTCCCATATTCTTTCCTCAAAACCTTCTTATATGAGTAAGAAATCTGTTTATGCCCTCTTGGTGCATGTGTGGTATCACCAGTCTATATATCTACATCAAATATGGGGTTAGGTGGTCCCTCTCCTTACTGTTAAATGACAGCAATGACTTACCTGTAATTTCAGCCTACCTTTCAAAAAGATAGTCCCATGTGGCTATTTTTTAAATGAAGTGAATGTGTAACTTTGAGATCCAAGCATGTAGTAGCTGGTGTGTCTCTTTCATATCTCATTTTCCCTGCTACGTATCCATGGGACCGTGTTTTACAGTTGATTTAACTAGGTCTTGAGACTAAGAAAAGATACCTGATCTTCATCAGACTATAAAGAGTGACAAATATACTTTTATAGTTAAGTCGCTGAAATTTTTTTTACCTGTCTATTAGGACAGCTAGAGTAAATTACCTTAATGCACAAGATGGTGTTTTTTGCTTCACATATTCTCACTCTATTCCATGCTTGGACCCGCCTGAATGTTATTCCAGCCCTCTGTATAGTGTGAGCAGATAGGCACTTCGCTACTGTGTCAGGAAAAACTTCTTAAAAGTTTTCTGCTAACAGTCACTGAGTGTGAATTTCCTTGTTTTTGGTAGTTTTGTGTGATGAAAAACTATCTGGTAACTCAGATCCAGCACTTAGTTGTAGAATGACTTAGACAAAGGTGATAATACAGGGTTTATATAGATATGAAATAATAAAGGTGGTATCACAGTTTTGAGGAGGACTCCAAAGAGGATGAAAAATGTCCATCTAAGGGTGATACTGTAAAGTGATGATGAGGTGAAGTGCCAGTTGGCTATTCATTGAATGTTGCTTTTGCCTCCTTCCCCAGCAGACATGCCAGCTACATGCAATCAGAACACCTTGCAGAATTTTCAGAATTCCTCATTTTGAGCCTCTCAGGAGATCCAGAACTGCAGCCCCTTCTTGGGCTGTTTCTGTCCATGAACCTGGTCACAGTGCTTGGAAACCTGCTCATTATCCTGGCCATCAGTTCTGACTCCCACCTCCACAAGCCTATGTACTTCTTACTCTCCAAATTGTCCATGGCTGCCATTTGTTTTGTCTTCACCATGATCCAAAAGATGATGGTAAACCTCAGGGCACAGAGCAAAGACATCTTTACTCAGCCAAGTGGTAGTCCAATTCCATTCTAAATGTGTAGTCTTATCAGATTTCTTCTAATTTAGCAGAAATCTGTTGTTTTAATCTTCGAATACTCACTGGTTCTAATTCTCCTATTTGAATCTGAAGATGTAAACTAATTATTCTTTTGTATGAGCCTTTCAAAATAATTGAAGACAGTTATGTCCTTTTCTTGATAATCACCATACTTTCTTCACACTAATTGATACACAATTGTTAATAAGTCATGGATTTTCTACTCAAACAACCTTTATTCTATCATCTTATGCTTCTGGTTATGTAACAGTTGACTCTCAATGCTTTATTTATTTTTTAAACATGATGATTACTATTAACCTCTTTGTAAGATTTAAAAATATCTTTATGCACAGTAGTATCTCAATAAATTACAACTATTATTTTAAAAAATAAAATAAAGGTGGTATCTATGAGATATATGAGATGATGTTTGTAAATAAAGTCAGTTTACATGTACATGGTTTTATATGTGATAAATTTACATGTAAAAGGCTGCTGTCCATTTCAAGAACCCTGACATTTTATTTATTTTCATTATCGCAGTTATCATTGTTATTTTTTCTTGTGTTAAATCAGTTCCTAATCCAGAAACAACTTAGCTATAAATGTTTATTTGATAAGTTCCTAGGATAACCTTGATTGAATGAGGTATAGCTTTATTTTGCTGTTATGGAGAGTAAATTGAAAAAGAAGAACCTCTTGATTTGGATTTTTTTTTCTTGTAGACAAAACCACAGTCAACATGAATTCCAAGTGGTAACACTTAGTGTCCTGGGATGGAGTGCTGAGAGAAATCCGGAGGATTCAGGTGAGAAAACATTAAGATGATAGTAATTTGTAGTATATATAACTTAGATTGGCATTTGTAGCCTTTATCTGTATATCTACTTTTGTTTCCTATAATTCTGTAAAGTGTTCTATTATTCTATTATTATTTTTTATAGAAAAGCCAAATGAAGCTCAGGCAGGTTATATGACTTAGATAAAATTTGTTGGTTCATGAATAATGAAGCTGAGTCTTCGATTCCAGAAGCTGTACATTTCTTCTTTTGAAGAATAAAAACCTTCTTAAAAGTTTTGCTCATATGTTGTGTGTGGTGTATAAATGAGATGCATCAATTTTACTTAGAAAAATACAAATTTCCTACACTTTAGTCCTCCTGTTGTTCCTTTGTCTGAAACAGAATGGTAAGTAGTTAGAAAAATCAGCATGCAAGCATGAAATTGGAAATGGCAGGCTAACACTCTTAAATTTTATTAGAGGATGAAAAAAAATAAAATAACCCAAAACCTCTTACACAAAATGTTTGATGTATGTGGCCTACTCCCCAATTTTTAAATACTGGGTATTTCTATTTCATTTTTCAAAAATATGACTGCCATACAGAACCAATTCTGCATTGTTTAAGGTAATAAGAGATGAAAGTGTTGCTCTGTAGATGGTATGCGGAACTACCTATGGTGTCATGCATTATTCTATCAGACATGAAGTGCCTGGGTACAATGATCATGGGGACTAACAAGTCTTTGGTTTTTATTTATAAGTACAATTAACACTATGGGTTATCTTCTAGCCTGTTTTGTTCATGAATTAATCAATTCCTCCTTTGCCACGGTCACACCATGTCAGCCAACATGATATGCTAAATGTTGGAGCTATCTACTAGGCTAGTGTCACTTTTCCATTTCTGCATTTCAATGTCTTAATGATCGGTGAAATTACATCTTCATTTTAAGCTCCCTTGTTATTGAAAACACAAGACTTTCTATTAATTGAAGCAAAATAAGAGCTAAATAACCTATTTAGCACTTTCAGACTAACCATGTTACTCTGAAACCTCTGTATCAGCTCCTCCCTAACTGAAGTTGTCAGTGATAAGAATGAGAAAATAGAAGCAACTAATTCAGTAAGAATATTTTTTAAATTATGAATTTTAAAATTGTTAGTGTTGGCAGTGTATCCAAATGTATCATTATGCAAATGTCCTTTATCTTCTGAAGCATTAGGAGACTTCAGTCGTAGTTTTATCTTTTATAGACTAATGACACCTACGATGATAGTAAAGGAGTTGGGACACAAAAAATTTATTTATATGAGACTCTTACATATGGTGGGCCATGAATCAGAGGATAGGCCTTAAAGGTAAAGTTGAATCTACAATAATAATATAGATAAAGTTTGTCACTATCCTCAAAATCTTATAGCACAGCCAGGTCATTTCAATGACTGTCTTTAGTCAGTTGTAATAGAATAAAATGAGGATTAGAATTAATGGAAGAAAAATGTTTGTCTTTAAAGAAAATTTACTTAGTGCTAGCCATGCAGGAACACATTCATATTGCCAAATATCTTGATATCACTAAATAACTTATAAATATAGAATTTTATGTGAAATCTCCTAACTAAAAAACATTGATGACAGAGTAATGATAGAATTTTTAAAAAGAAAACAATAGAAAATAAAATTTTTTTAAAAAAATATCTAGCTCTAAAGCCTAAGATTCCATTTTTTGCCACCTCAGCTTAGGTTAGTGCATTGGATTTTTATAATTCCAAACAAAAGACATATATCTTTTCATCAATAATATACTGTCACTGAGTCCTGAGAGGTAGTAAAGTAAGATGTTTTTGAGGAATAAACTTGACACTCAAATGCTGAAAATCTGTACAAGTATTAAATTGCTCAGTTGATAGTTACCTTGTATACTGCAATGAGCTACTACTTGTTGGAACGTAGAAAACTCCCTTAAGGAAATTTAAGTTTTATTCTGTATATGAAAGGCTCTGAAAATCAATTTAACTACCAATGATGGCTCCCAGCTATCACATAGGATTTATACACAAAAGCATAAAATAGAATACAAAGTGAATGTTTATATTTGTGAATAGCTTTGAAGAAACATATCATGAATGTCACTAGTCTAATATGATTAGATCATGTAAAATATCATTAAGGTAATAAATGTTTATGGTGATTAGCTATGTAAAAAGAGCAATGTAAGGATTACCAGAAATCCTTATCAATTAAAAATCAATTCTACGTAACGCATAACATGTAAAACATATATGCAGCCGAAAATCTTAATGAAACTTTGACACATTCTTGGGCTACTGTTTAGTGTGTGGTCTTAAGATCATCCGTTTTTCTGTCTCTATAAATATGCCATACTCTATTTTAAGTTTTCAATGTCATTTGAATAGAGCATTATTGCTTTGAGACAGCAAATCAGATATTCTCATAAAGGGTGCATTTCTAAAAAACAGGCTTATTCCAGGTTACTACAAGTCAAATTGACAAACCAACAGGTACTTCCTGAAAACTTGTTTAGTGGATCACCTGCTAAAATCCATTATGGATATTAGCGAGACATGGTTTAGGAACTCAGAATCTGATGTGTAATAAAGATACTCAGTCATAAATAATTAGAGGACAATATAAAAAGTGTAGAATAAATGCTCTGTTATTTCAAGGGGGAGAAAAGTCCATGTTACTTGGATAATCAGCAGGGCTTTAATGGAGTACATGTGGCTAAGCCAGATCTTGAAAGAGAAGTAGAATTTTAGCAAGTGGGAAGAGCATAAAGAGCCATCAATAAATGTAGGCTATTCTCTATCTCATGGGATGAACATCAGACTATTACATTAGAATTTGTTCTTGGAACATAACTTAGGCATTAGTTTACCTCAGCATACCAGGTTTCTTTGATAACGAACTACTCTGTGACAAGGACAGATTTTTTTTTTAAGCATTTAGTAGCTGGCATATGCCAGTAAGGGCACATTTTTGTTAATGAAGAGAAACATTATATATCTTGGCATTTTATAGCATGGTATGTGTATCAGTCAGAGTTCTCTAAAGAAAGAAAACCAATAAAATACATGTGTTTGTACTAAGAAATTTATCTTAAGGAATTGGTTCATGTGACGGGGAGCTGGCAAGTTTGAAATCTATAATACAGGCAAGTCCTAAATTTTTAGTACATGCTGGCATGCTGGAAACTCAAACAGGAGATGATTCTTCAATCTTGAGGCAGAATTTCTTCTCCTGGAATACTGTTTTCATCCTTAAGTCATTTCAACAATTGGATGAGGATCATCACATTATCAGAGGTATCTGTTTAACTTAAAGTCAACTGATTATAGATATTAAGCACATCTACAAAATACTCTCCCAACAACACCTAGGTTAGTGTCTTTTTACATAACTGAATAGCCTATTCGAGTGAATCAACAAAACTAAGCACAATAGTGTGTATTCAGGCTGTGGATTCTGGAGTCAGACATCTTGGAAATGGACCTAGATACCACCAGCATGTGAAGTTGGGCGTCTCAGACAGTCTGCTTCTCAACTATTTCTTGAAAATAAGGATGAATATAAGATAAGCTATATCATGAGGAGGGTTTGAGTGTAAATATGCTAATATATGGTAAGCGCTTGGAAAAGTCATTGGTACAGAGTAAGCGTTGAGTAAGCATTAGCTCTTACTGGCATCAGGGTATATAATCCTGTGTAGGGATAACTTGACAGCAACAGAATTTGAGATGTGATATCTTGTTTGTACTCTCTCATAATCTTAGTAGAAAATATTAGTGTTATAAGAAAAAACAACAACAAAAACTAGGGACACAAATAGATGGAGTACTAATGTAGTTTTTTAAAATCCCAAAATCCTTCTCTCTGTTAAAAAAAAAAAACTTTACATCAAGTTGTCATTTGTTTGTTTAGTTATTTCTTTATTTTAGCTATGCAGCATTTGGTTGTAACCATGATTTATGATTCACAGGTGAACTTAGCCAAATATCTGAAAACATCTGCACTTGATCCATATGTTTACATCTAACTACCAGATGTTAAACATGTCAGAAGTTTATATTTATTTTCATTGTCTCAATACTTTTGTGAATTAGCCAATTCACAAAACTGCAGTAAACTAAAAGAACAAACCAGAAAATAACTAGAAATAAGTTTTTAATAAAATTGAAAATATTCAAGAGTCATGAGCATTCCAAAATACACTTCAGGATTTTGAGCATAATCTGCCACTAGAATATGAGATAAGAAATAAAATTCATCTTACACAAAAGTTTTGTTGTTGATTTTACTTCAAGGAAAAACCATTTAACATATTGATAAACATAGAGCTAAACAGAAAATTATAATTTGAAATATGTTGATAGACATTCTGTTAAAAAATAGGATTCTGAATTCTACACCTCTAAAGTTTCAAAAGGCATATCATCCCAGTGAAGTCCCCAAAAATTCCTATAGTAAGAAAGAAAGCAGTTTTAAATTCCATGTTCATAAAACATAGTTGATCACAGGGTTTGTGACCTCTTTGCCATAGGATCCTAGTTCATTGATTCTGAATTATTGGTTGAGGGTAAAGACCCATTTAAGACCTATCATTTCTGTTTTAAACACACTTCCCAGGTAAGTGTTCTGTCCATTGACGTTTATGAAACATACACCAGGCTGGGTGTGGTGGTGCACACCTGCAATCCCAACACTTTGGGAGCCTGCGGCAGGCAGATCACCTGAGATCGGGAGCTCTAGACCAGCCTGACCAATATGGAGAACCCCATCTCTACTAAAAATGCAAAATTAGCCAGGCGTGGTGGTGCATGCCTGTAATCCCTGCTACTCAGGAGGCTGAGGCAGGAGAATCACTTGAACCCAGGAGGTGGAGGTTGCGGTGAGCCGAGATTGAGTCATTGCACTCCAGCCTGGGCCACAAAAGTGAAACTCTGTCTTAAAAAAGCAAAACAACAAAAAACATCCACCTAAGCTATGACACAGGAAGTAGGAAAGCTGGAGCTGTGGAAGGGAAATATTAGATAATATCTGTTGGGCTGGCCTCATAGAAGAAAACAAAACAACACTAACTCTCCACACCAAATAATTTTGTAGACTCCCAAGAGAACCACTGTGAAAATATACCATCCATTTGTGATAGTTCCTTGAATTTAATGATTCATTTCTTGAGGTAGGAAGATAATCTCTTTAATCTATAAATTTGCTAAAATAACTATCGAGTATCACCCTAATGTGACTCTCTGAAAGGGTGACAGACTTTGCACTATAATGCAGTTATAGTCCACCTGTTATTAGTTCTCCTTTTGCATTTCTGACACCTATATGTTTAAATTGCATTACTCTTCAAGATTCCAGTTTGGTTTCTCCAACCATGTTCAGATGAGATATCTGAATACTTTCCTTCACTTTATTCTCTGTGCTTGTGAATGTGACAGGTATGTATGCATGCAAACAAACCTTTTTCTACAGATATTCTAGGTTCAAAAACCTTGATTAATTAGGATAGATGCTAAGCCAAAACCTACCAAAACAAAAAGAAATATTAAGATACTATAAAGAAGCAAATTTAAAAATTGTTTCTTTTGAAACATGCTCTAAAAGGTTATGAACAATATAGGAATCTGCTAACACTTGTTCCTTGAATACTGTCTTCATAAAAGTGCAAAATAATTCATTGTTCCAATAAATTTTACCTGAACATACCACCTTTTTTTGACATGTTATCTGCTCCTTGAGTTTGTTACTAGGTAGAAAGCAAGCAAGCAAACACGTGTTCAGGAAAGTTATCTTTTCATGGTTTCTTTAGCAGCTTGGGTGAGTTAAAAAGTAGTTTAAATTATGTTTTCTGAACCTTAACAGAGGTGAAAGAAAGACTTCTGGAGAGAAAAATATTTTAAAAATAATTTCACTTTTTTAAATACTTAAATCTTTTAAAAACAAAGTAAATGAAAATGTAGATGCATATTTCTAAATTTATTATTCTTTCTTTTCTGAGCAATCTATGATCCTACAACTTCTGGTGCATGCTTCACTTATTTTTAATCATTACTGAGCAAATTGGCAATCCTAGCTGTACGTTTCCATTATTTATACTGTCACTGTGATGGCAGTAGAACTTAACATGCCATTTGTTTATGATGCGCCCATGTAATACAGTGGCTGAAACCTTGAATTCCTGTTGTATTAATGTGTTTGTATTTATGCAGAACTTAGAATATCATCGTTTTAAATATTTAAAGTGTCAGGTTTAAATACTGGTAAGTTAGCTAAAATAAAAATATTTCAATATGTATAGTAGGAAATACACAATAGAACATACATACACAATATAATAAAATACATGTATATATTCTTTTTTATTATACTTTAAGTTCTGGGATACATGTGCAGAATGTGCAGGTTTGTTACATAGGTTTATATATGTCATGGTGGTATGCTGCACCCATCAACCCATCATTTAGGTTTTAAGCCCCATATACATTAGGTACTTGCCCTAATGTTCTCCCTCCCCTTGCCCCTCACCCCCTGACAGACCCCCGGTGTGTGATGTTCCCCTCCCTGTGTCCATGTGTTCTCATTGTTCAGCTCCAACTTATGAGTGAGAACATGTGGTGTTTGGTTTTCTGTTCCTGTGTTAGTTTGCTGAGAATGACGGTTTCCAGCTTCATCCATTTCCCTGCAAAGGACATGAACTCTTTCTTTTTTATGGCTGAATAGCATTCCATGGTCTATATGTGCCACATTTTCTTTGTCCAGTCTATCATTGGTGGGCATTTGGGTTGGTTCCAAGTATTTGCTATTGTGAATAGTGCTGCAGTAAACATACATGTGCATGTGTCTTTATAGTAGAATGATTTATAATCCCTTGGGTATATATCCAGTAATGGGATTTCTGGGTCAAATGGTATTTCTGGTTCTAGATCCTTGAGGAATCGCCACACTGTCTTCCCCAATGGTTGAACTAATTTACACTCCCACCAATAGTGTAAAAGCGTTCCTATTTCTCCACATCCTCTCCAGCATCTGTTGTTTCCTGAATTTTTAATGTTTGCTATTCTAAATGGCGTGAGATGGTATTTCATTGTGGTTTTGATTTGCATTTTTCTAATGACCAGTAATGATGAGCTTTTATTCATATGTTTGTTGGCTGCATAAATGTCTTCTTGAAGTGTCTGTTCATATCCTTCACCCACTTTTTGATGGGGTTGTTTGTTGTTTGCTTGTAAATTTGTTTAAATTCTCTTGTAGATTCTGGATATTAGCCCTTTGTCAGATGAATAGTTTGCAAACATTTTCTCCCATTCTGTAGGTTGCCTGTCCACTCTGATAATATTTTCTTTTGCTGTGCAGAAGCTCTTTAGTTTAATTAGATCCCATTTGTCAATTCTGGCTTTTGTTGCAATTGCTTTTGGTGTTTTAGTCATGAAGTCTTTGTCCATGCCTATATCCTGAACAGTATTACCTAGGTTTTCTTCTAAGGTTTTTATGGTTTTTGGCTTTACATTTAAGTCTTTAATCCATCTTGAGTTAGTTTTTGTATAAGGTATAAGGAAGGGGTCCAGTTTCACTTTTCTGCTTATGGCTAGCCAGACATAATCATCAGATTCTCCAAGGTTTAAACGAAGGAAAAAATGTTAAGGGCAGCTATGGAGAAAGGTCAGGTTACCTATAGAGGGAAGTCCATCAGACTAATAGCAGATCTCTCTGCAGAAACCCTACAAGCCAGAAGAGAGTGGGGGCCAATATTCAACATTCTTATTGTTAAATAAGATGTCTGGTACGTGGCTGTTATGTCACAGGATCCTTGCGGTGTTGCTTTTCTGGCTGGAAACCTCTGTGGCCAGTGACACCTTTGCCCAAGTTTTCTTGGGCCCACTGGCCTTGTTACATCTGGCCTGGCAGGCAGTGCTTAGCTCAAACTACCAGCCTGGATTTCATGTCTGCCAAGGATGAGCCTAGCACTGACCAGTGAGGGATGTGTGAGCAAGCGAGCATGCGGTCCAGCCACTGTGCAGAGCCAGGCATGCTGGCTTCTGCTGGGTAGGCAGCTACAGGTGCTGGCATAGGTACTGGCTCCTTGCAAAGCTGTGACCAGGTGTACCACAAGCAGCTTCCATGGCTGGCACTGAGGAATGTGGTGGCACCTGGAAGCTTGGAGATGCCAGGAACGGCATAGAGGGTGTCACAGCCCTGGCTCAGGGAGTTCCTAAGTCTGAGTTCCCCAGCAGGTCACAGATCTTCTCTCCTTCTCTTTTGTCTACTTCTAATCACCTGCACTGTGACAAGCAAGGGGTCTGTTTCAGCCCTGTTCATGTTACAGCTCTTTCAGCCTCACCATTCAGTTGTTCCTGAGTTCTTGCCCCACATCCAGGAAGAATAAGGCACATGGACATGTGGAAAGTAAGCAAGGTGAAGAGGTACTTTATTGAGCAATAGAACAGCTCAGAGGAGACTGACAGTTAGTAGCTCCTCTCTGCAGACAGGGCATCCCAGTGAGTGTTCAGCTCTTAGCAGAGAGGAGACCCACAGTGGGTAGCTCCTCTCTGCAGGCAGGTTGTCGCAGGGAGTCTGGCTGAGTCCAGGGTTATTATGGGCTTCAGAGGAGAGGAAGTGCCTGCTAACTGGACCATGGACAGACATGGGCAGGCCCAGAAAAAGCACCATCAATTCTCACTCTGATCCATGGAACTGGAAGCCTGCCCTCAGGCTTCAGGCCATCTCAGACCTGAAAGTGGGGCTTCCCCCACTTTCAGCCTGCACAAACAGCAGGCTGTTTGTGTTGAGGGGCACCTGCAGGCTGGTGCCAAGCCACCCTCAGCACCCCCTTGGCCTTCCTCCCATGGTCATTGGTGCTCAAAGTCCCAAGGAGGCTGAGGTGGCAGGGGACTGGTGTGTCAGCACTGCCCTGAGGACGTGCACACCCAGCCAGTTGCAACAGTGCTAGGGCTCACCCTCAACTTTGCTCTGAAATCTCAGTGGGCACCAGGAGTGGGGACAGGCTGGGCAGAGGGAATAGGCATTTCCAAGCCTGCAGGGGCAGGGGCAACTTCTGGGAGTCCAAGAGCACAGGAATGCCCAAGTCCACAGCCGTGGCTGGGTAGCTGCAGCTGTATCCAAACCTGGGAGAATGGGGCTCCCAACCCTCCAACTCAGAAGAGGTGAGCTTCTGCCAGTTCCTGGCTCCCTCTGGTTCTGTGAATCACACAGCCCAGGTATGCCTTCCCTGCTGCAGCTGGCATCTTAGCAGTGGTTACTCCGGATGGGCCATGGCTGCCATCATTACATCACTGTTAAGGTTCAGGTGAAATAATAACCCTGGTGAGGGGATGGATATTAACCTTAGGAAAGTAATACACCTCTTCAGATGCTAGATAATATTTATTATCAGTAACTGTGTTTGTTTCATTCTTAGCCTGAACTATTGAAATGTTACAGGATATATTTTATTTGGTTACTTGCCTAGAAAAATTCAAATACATCTTTGTCTAAGGAAACAGCCCATTCAGAGTTTCCAAAATGTGCCTTCAAAAACCTGAAACCAAATATGTTGATATTCAGCCAAAAAACATAAGACATGGGGAGTTTCATGACAAATTCTTTTCTGCTTTTCTTAGGCAGAATGTATTAAATACATTAAAATGTATCATTGCATTTGAATCATAGATTTGTATAATGGGAGAGCTCTTTAAAGATATTCTGGTTCAACCAACCAGGAAGTTGCTCCAGGAAGCCAGGAATGGTGGATGACTCCCTGCACTGAAAAAATCGGGCTGGGTTTATGAATGATGCTAGGGACACTGCACTGTAGTTTTATTCCAAGCAAGGGAGAAAAACTGGCCCATCCTGCGTATCCTTAACAGGCTCAGGGGTGTTAAAATTACACCTTTGGCCGGGCACAGTGGCTCACGCCTGTAATCCCAGCACTTTGGGAGGCCAAGGTGGGTGGATCACAAGGTCAGGAGATCGAGACCATCCTGGCTAACATGGTGAAACCCCATCTCTACTAAAAATACAAAAAAAAAAAAAAAAAAAAATTAGCCAGGCATGGTGGCGGGTGCCTGTAGTCCCAGCTACTGGGGAGGCTGAGGCAGGAGAATGGCGTGAACCCAGGAGGCGGAGCTTGCAGTGAGCCAAGATCTCATGCCACTGCACTCCAGCCTGGGCAACTAAGCAAGACTCCGTCTCAAAAAAAAAAAAAAAATTACACCTTTATATATCACAACGATGACATAAAATGGCTTTTAGGCCCACAATCTTATTAGTGAAGAAAATAAGTGGTACAAACTACTGCTTTGGAATGTTATATATGAATGAGTTGTGGTGTCAGCATCATTTCAACAATCCTCTTCAGTTAATATTTTTACTTTTTAAATTTGTGCTTATTTTTGGATATTCTTTAAGTGCCTCTAGACCTGTGCTATCCATTAGAGTAGCCACCCAGAACTTCTGGCTATTGAGCATTTTAAATATGACTATGGCTACTAGTAATCTGAATATTTAATTTCCTTTAATATAAATTTAAATTTAAAGACATATTTATTCCAATTATGACAAAACTTTTAAGTAACTTTGAAACAGTTGGATATAGGGCTCTACTTTTTAAAGTAAATTTATATTTATATTTAATTTGAGGTTAAGTATTTCTGATGAAAATGTAGCACCTGAATTCAAATATACATTATATTTCAAGTATTTCATATGAAAAAATTATGAAATTATCTCATTACTCTATCTAATAATATTTATTACATTTTGAAATAACATTTAGGATATATTTATTTAAATAAAATATACTATAGTGATAGTATTTATAGCATCTGTTTCTTTGTACTTTTTGAATATGACTAATTGTAAATTTAAAATTACATATGTAGCCCACAATATATTTCTATCAAAGAGCCTTGCCCCAGATCATGGTTCATAAATCTGACCCTAACCCCCGTAACACCTATGGTATAACCACCTATCCCCAATTCCATACTGATGACAGAGTTTTTCCTTAGTAACTTGAAGGTATAAAGAGATAAATAATATTGTGTGTCCCTAAATGCTGATTCTGTTTATATGAAATTTTGGAATCGAGAGTGTTCCAGAGTTAGTGAAAAAGTTCAAGATACTTTACCAAGTTACATTTCAGTATCAGATATAACATTTATATTTTATATAACAAAAATTAAATATAGCAATATTTTAGTACAAATGTGTATCTTGCAATATAATATGTCTCATGCAATATTTCAATTCATTTAGAACATACTTGTACTAAAAAAATTTGTTGTTTATCTGAAATTTGAATGTAACTGGGAGCCCTGTATTTTATGTGACATCTCTAGAAATTGGGTATGATTCAGAGTAGGGAAAAAATATCATTTTCAATAAGTGATAGAAAATTAAAAATCAGTATGGGAAAAAAAGAACCTTGATAAATGTTGCAAACTATACTATAAAAAATGGTTCTAAAATGTGCAGATCTCAATGTGGGAAGTAAAATAGGAAAATATTTAGTTGATAAAATAGTTGATTATCTTCATGACTTTATGGTAGGGAAAGTCTTGTTAACTTTGTTAATAAAGCATTAACCCAAAAGGAAAAGATTGATCAGCTAGATTTCAATAACGAACTTCTATTTATTTTTTAAAAGGGATTTTAACTTTTTATTTTTATTTTTTATCTTTTTCAACTTCTTTAAGCTCAGGGGTACATGTGCAGTCTGTTGCACAGGTAAACTTGTGTCATGGTTGTTTGTTGTACAGATTATTTTATCACTCAGATACTTAAACTAGTACCCATTAGTTACTTTTCCTGATCCTCTCCCTCCTACTACCATCCATCCTCTGATAGACCCCAGTGTGTGTTGTTGCCTTCTATGTGTCCATGTGTTTTAATCATTTAGGGCCCACTTATAAGTAAGAACATGCAGTATTTGGTTTTCTGTCCCTGTGTTAGTTTTCTAAGGATAATGGTCTCCAGCTCCATGCACGTCCCTGAAAAGGACATGATCTCATTCTTTCTTATGGCTGTGTAGTATTCCATGGTGTTTTGTACCACCTTTTTGTTATGAAGTCTATCATGGATGGGCATTTATGTTGATTCCCTGTCTTTGCTATTGTGAATAGTGCTATAATGAACATATGCATGCATGTCTCTTTGTAATAGAATGATTTACACTCTTTTGGTATATACCCAGTAATGGGATTGCTGAGTTGAATGACATTTCTGTCTTTAGGTCTTTGAGGAATTGCCACACTGTCTTTCACAATGGTTGAACTAATATACACTCCCATCAACAGTGTGTAAGTGTCCCATTTTCTTCACAGCCTCACCAGCATCTGTTATTCTTTGACTTTTTAATGATAACTATTCTGACTGGAGTGAGATGGTATCTCATTGTGATTTTTATTTACATTTCTCTAATGATCAGTGAGGTTGAACTTTTTTTCATGTGATTTTTGGCCACATGTATGTCTTTTGAAAAGCCGGGTTGTGGTGGTTCATGCCTGTAATCCCAGCACTTTGGGAGGCCTAGGCAGGCGGATCACGGGGTCAAGAGATCAAGACCATCTCCTTGCCAACATGGCGAAACCCTGTTTCTACTAAAACTACAAAAATTAGCTGGGTTTGATGGTGCTCGCCTGTAGTCCCAGCCACTCAGGAGGCTGAGGCAGGAGAATCACTTGGACCAGGGAGGCGGAGGTTGCAGTGAGCCAAGATCACGCCACTGAACTCCAGCCTGGGTGACAGAGCAAAACTCCATCTCAAAAAAAAAAAAAAAAAAAAAAAAAAAAATTAGCACTTTCTAGCTGTCAGAAGGCAGCAACTTAATATAATTACAACATTTTAGTCTGAGACAGTAGCGGAGAGTATTGAGGTTTCTCCCTTGGATGTTTGAGACAGGGAGGCAATCCAACTCTAAGTCCCTTTAGATTCACAATCAAAATTGAACTGTGTAGTTCCTATACTCAGCTCCTTCAAGGTGTTTAATAATAAATGACAAATTTTTGATGACATGAACTGTATATATACGTTGAGTAATAAGAGTAATCATTTATGTGGATATACAGATGACATACTTTTTTATATGTTTATTTTCAAATAACTGAAAGTTATTTGAAACTCAATTAGCAGGAAGGAAGCAGCTGTCCATTATTTTAATGTATTCCCAGTTCTATATAAAGTTCATTTTTACCTTTACAATTTCAGTTCATGGATTTTTTTTTAAGAAAATACACATTGTTTTTCAAAATCTGGCAATGAAAAACAATATTGTAAGACTCTGGCATTTTCTTTGTTAAGTTTTATTTTTAATTGGAAAATAATAATTACATGGATTTATGGGATACAACATGATGTTTCAATATATGTATATATTGTGAAGTAATCAAATTCATGTTGAGAAAAGTAACATTGAAGCATTCAGTTTCTATTCAGAGACATAAGTATAGGCCTGTTTGAGGAAGGCCATTTTACTAATATATTCAAACTCTTATCACTTTGCTATTTCAATTTAGGTAAATAGATAAATAAATAGATTTGTGGGGAATGCTGTAGTCAAAATATCACAAACTTGAAGTGCTCAGATATGATATTCAACAGGAGAGAGAAAAATGACTTGAAAACATTATAATTGAAAATTATATTGATAGTTAAAGCTGATAAAAAATTAGAAATAAAATTCAATTATTTTAGCACTGTCAGTACATCATACTTAATGTTGAGAAACCCAAAGCTTTTCCATTAAGAATAGGAACGAGACAAAGATGTCAACCACTCATCTTAAAAGCATACCCAAAGTCTTGTCTTAATGAAATAAGACAATAAAATAAAATAAAATGGTAGAAAGGAAGAAATAAAACTCTTTGTTCCTTGAAGACTTGATCATCTATGCAGAAAATCCAGAAAAATCAGCAGCAACAACAAAAACCTCACCTGGAACAAGTAGTTATAGTAAGGTTGAATGATACAACAGTAATACACAGAAGTCAGATGCTTTTGTATATACAAGTAATGAACAAATAGAATCTGAAAATAAAAAGTTAATATCATTTACACTAGCTTCCCCCAAAATAAAATGCTTAGGTAAAAATTTAACAAAATATGTATATATCATATGCGAGAAAAACTACAAAATTCAAATAAAAAAATCAAAGAATAACTAAATAAGAGATACTCCATGTTAATGGATAGAAAATTTAATATTGTGAAGTTTTCAATTCTTACCAACTGGATCTACAAATTCAACATAATCCCAATCAAAACCCTAGCAAGTTATTTTGTAGATTTCAACAACCTGATTGTAGAGTTTATATAGAGAGGTAAAAGACACAGTGTAGCCAACACAACATTGAAAGAGAAGAAAAAAGCTGAACGGCTGACACTACTTGACTTCAAGACTTACTATAAAGCTACAGTAATTGAGACAGTGTGACATCAGTTAACAAAACAAGACAAATAGATTAATGGAACAGGATAAAGAGCCCATAAATAAATCAACATAAATACAGTAAACCAATATTTGAAAAAGGAGCAAGTGCAATACAACAGATCCGAGTTGCTTTTGTTGTTGTTTTCAACGAATGGTGCTGGAAAAACTGGGCATCTGCATGCAAACATATTAATCTAGGTACAGACCATACACCTTCAAGAAAATGAATTCAAAATTGATCATAGAGCTCAAGGTAAAACAAAAAACTATACAACTCCCAGAAGATAATACAGGAGAAAAGCTAGATAGCTTTGGGTTTGACAATGACATTTAAATCATAACACCAAAGACATGATCTATGAAAAACAGAGCTGATAAGCTCTACTTCATTAAAATAAAAAAAAATTCTGCTCTAAGAAAGAGAATAAAAAGTCAAGACACAGACTTAAAGAAATTATTTTCAAAAGGCATATCAGATAAAGGACTCTTATCCCCAATACACAAAAGAGTCTTAAAATTCAGTAATAAGAAAAAAAAAATGAAAAATTTGCTAAAGACATTGACAGACACCTCACCAAAGAAAATATACAGAATAAGGATATGAAAAGATGCTCCTTATCCTAGTTCATCAAGGAAATGCAAATTAAATGGTATATCACTGCACACCTATTAGAATGGCCAAAATTCAGAACACTGACAGTATAAAATGTTGATGAGGATGTGCAGCACTGGAACTCTCATCTATTGCTGGTGGGAATACAAAATGATGCAGCCACTTTGGAAGACAGTTTGGTGGTTTCTTGCAAAACCAAACATACTCTTAGTATGCCGTATAGACAACACATTTCTTGATATTCACCCAAGATAATTGAAAAATTGAAGATGTATGTCCACAAAAAAACTTCAGCTTTATTAATAGTTGCCCCAAATTGGAAGCAGCTAAGATGCCCATCAGTAGGAGAATAGATTAATAAACTACGGTGCACCCAGACAATGTAATATTATTTTGTGCTAAAAAGAAAGAAGTAATTAAGTCATAAAAAGGCTAGGAGGAAGTTTAAATGCATATTATTAAATGAAAGAAGCCAATTTGAAAATATCATGTACTATATGATTCCAACTATATGACATTCTGGAAAAGGCAAAACTATGGAGACAGTAAAAAGATTCAGTGATTGTCAGGGGTTGGGAGAGAGACAGGTGAGTAGATGGAGCACAGAGGATTTTTAGGGCAATGTAACTGTTCTGTATAATAATATAATGCAACACACACATCATTGTACTTTTGTACAAACTCATAAAATGTACAACACCAAGAGTGAAACTTAATGTAAATTATGGACACTGAGTAATAAAGATGTGTCAATATAGGTTCATCAGTTGTAACAAATGCACCATTCTGGTGGGAGATGCTAATAATGAGGGACTATGCTTGTGTGGGAGACTGAGGTATATAGGAAATTGTTGTACCTTCTTAATTTCTCTCTGAACCTAAAACTGCTTTAAAAATAAAATCTGTTATAAAATTAAAATAGCATATCAAATTGCATTTTTGTTATTAATCATTATGAATAACAAATGTCCTTTGACAGTGGTTTGAGAAGACCAGGTATTTTGGACAAGCTGTTAGCTGACTTTTCCAAGGCAAAAACAAAACACAAATGGAAGAGTGTATTATATAGTTCCTTTCTCCATGTTACCCTCTTCTTAGAACCTACATAAATCTGAATGGGAACAATGCCAGACCTCAACAAAGACAATTGTCAATATGCATACTGGATATAAAAGTTTGTATTTATGGCACAGGGGGATAGATGGAAACGGTGATTGGGGTGCTCTGGATAGCCTAGCTTTGGGAATATGTATATTGACACAATAAGTATATATGTCGAGTAACTTTATTAATGGTTTCAGAGAATGACCAGATGAAGGCTACTGCAATCTTGGTCACCCTTCACAGTTAAGCATGGACATGGTTATACAGGAGAGTGGGTTTTTACATTACAGAAAAAAAAAATCTTGTGGTACAAGGGAGGGATTTTCTTCCTGGCCTTCTCCAATGACCAAGACTATAAAGCTCATTAATGTGTTTCATTCATTAGATTTTTTTTACCAAATTTGCAGCTGCTCCACAATTTATTAAAAGAATGTGCTTGACTAGCTCTACAAGGTATATGTTATTGTCTCAAAAGAACTGTATTACTAAAAATAAACAACTTATTATGAATCATATATGCAGGGCCATTTCTAAGTTTGACTTCTATTATAATTTTATATTTTGTTCAAAATATGTGTTGTTTGTGATGATTGCTTTGTCTGATTCAAAAGTAAATTTTAAAAGTAAAATGTTCAAATTAAATTTTTTGACATTTTAAAATGTATAAATTTGTATATTAGGTATGAATATACAGTTATGTGTTTAAATTGTATCTGTAAAAATAATACAATTTTGTGATTTTATATTTATCTAATTTCTAACTATCTGCATCACTTGAAAATAAAGTGCAAAGTATCTTTTGTGAACAGTTTGAATAAAGGGTTTTTTTCTAAGAGAGAACACACTATCAAAAAGTTCAATTTATAAACTGTTTAGAAAGATAAAAATGTATGGATATGCAGGGGAAAAAATGTATTGCAGCTGTGTAAAGTAGACTTTAGATATAGACAGACATGAACATGGGAAAAGGGTTATCCAAGACGCAGTAACTAGGAAAAAAAAGAACCAAACTGGGCTAAGAAGAATGTCAGAATTTGAGGGTAACAAAGCAGAGTAACAAAATACCCCATCAAAACTAGAGAATTCAGAGCAGTTATGAGACTGGGCTTGGAGAGAATCCTTGAGCTGCACATACAAATGCACATACATACAGTCTTAGGAGTAGGTGAATTGGAGCTCCTAATGGTGTCAAGGTTGTTCACACACACACGCACACACACACACACAGACAAAATAGCATAGAAGAATTTGGAGGGATTTCAGAGAAGAGAAGATAAATTGTGACTAGTTCAAGGAATTATTTCGTTTTATTTTTCAATTCATTATGCAATCATCCAACAGCTATTTTTAAGTAAACAAATTCAAACACCTTTCAATAAGCCAAATATATAAGATGAAGAATATATGCCACCATTTATGACCTACTTATTTAGTTGTAATTGATAAAGTAATTGTATATATTTATGGTGAACAACATGTTTTTTTTATTATGCTTTAAGTTCTGGGATACATGTGCAGAACGTGCAAGTTTGTTACATAGGTGTACACGTGCCATGGTGGTTTGCTGCACCCATCAACCTGTCACCTACCTTAGTTATTTCTCCTAATGTTATCCCTCCCCTAGCCCCCCACCCCACAATAGGCCCGGGTGTGTGATGTTCCCCTCCATGTGTCCATGTGTTCTCATTGTTCAGCTACCACTTATGAGTGAGAACATGCAGTGTTTGGTTTTCTGTCCTTGTGTTAGTTTGCTGAAAATGAGGGTTTCCAGTGTCTTCCGTGTCCCTGCAAAGGACATGAACTCATCATTTTTTATGGCTGCATAGTATTCCATGGTGTATATGTGCCACATTTTCTTTATCCAGTCTATCATTGATGGGCATTTGGGTTGGTTCCATGCCTTTGCTATTGTGAACAGTGCCTCAATAAACATATTTGTGCATGTGTCTTTATAGCAGCATGATTTATAATCCTTTGGGTATATACCCAGTAATGGGATTGCTGGGTCAAATGGTATTTCTAGTTGTAGATCCTTGAGGAATTGCCACACTGTATTCCACAATGGTGGAACTAATTTACACTCCCACTATGATGTTTTGAAATAAGTATACATTGTAAAATGACTAAATCAAGCTAATTAACATATTCATTTTCTCACATACTTATTTGTCTGTGGTGAGAACGCTAAAAATTTACTCTGTTAATGATTTCCAAGTATACAATAAATTGTTATTAATTACAGTCACGATTTTGTACAATAGAACTATGGGAGAGCGTACAATATTCAAAAATCAAGCAGTGATGTAAGTGTTAGGAATGGAGGGACACATAGTAAGGATATTCTATAAAGATATTTTAAATAACCAAAGAGAAAAAACAGAACAGACAAGATTATAAATATTTTCAAATGCTCAGATTCAGTTTTCTGAACAATTTGGTCAAGTATGGATCAATCGAATGTGAGTACTTCCAGAAATTTTGAAATAGAATACTTGACCTTTAGTTTTTTAATTATTTGCACCTAGGTCTGAAAGACTTAGTCAAAATGTTTTTTCTAATTACACAAAATCTTTAATTACAAAAATAAGCAGGGGCATAGCAAATTAATCTAATTCATCACAACTATTAGTTGGGAAGAATGAAACATAGCTGTCTCTTTTCTTGCACCCAGAATGACTAAAATGTAGTCCAATCTTCATATGATGGCTCTGGAATATAGCATTAGAACAAAAGCCTGCTGGAAGGAAAAAGTGTGGAAGATTATTTATAAGCCATAAATTCAGAGCCATTCTCTGCTCCAAATATGCATTGTTCATGATGATTGCTTTGTCCAATTCAAAATTTCAGATAGGGTTGCAAAACAGAAAGAGGAACCTAAATATATAAATAGTACAAATGGCTAGTTACATAATCATTTTTCATGATTATCTGGGTAACAGTATTTACCATGACTATGAATCATGAAACTGTTCTTGTAAACATTTCCAAATTAAAGTTATTGGAAAAAGAATTATTTTTGAAGATAATAAACTTCACAAATGTAGTTTGGGATTGCTAAAAATATTATAACTCCTTATATATTTAAAATGCAATTAAAGCACTATAATCTATATGAAAATATTATTTTTATTAAACTGTACTCTTACTTTAAGATAAAGTTATTGCATGTATAAAAATAAAATTTTAGAGTGATTTTACAATTAAATTATTACCTAATATATTTCCAAATCTTTTATTGTTGTTTTTATTTTATTTTTTATACCCCAACTGTATGTTTAATTAAATTCTTGTCAAGTAAAGCAGTATTTACATGAGTTTAATGGAGACTTATAATACCTGCTGACAAACCAGATATGTACTTGCATATTTCTAAAGTGGAAATCAGGCTAAGTAAAAATTATTTTACATTGCTTTGGCCTCATAAAATAAGTTAGGGAGGAGTCCCTGCTTTTCAATTGTTTGGAATAGTTTCAGTAGAAATGGTACCAGCTCTTCTTTGTACCTCTGGTAGAATTCAGCTGTAAATCCGTCTGGTACTCAGCTTTTTTTGCTTGGTAGGTGATATTGTTAGGCTTTGTGTCCCCACACAGATCTCATCTTGACTTGTAATCCCCATAATCCCCACAAGTCAAGGGAGAGACAAGGTGTAGTTAATTGAATCATGGGGCTGGTTTGCCCCATGCTATTCTCATAATAGTGAGTGAGTTCTTACAAGATCTGATAGATTCATAAGGGGCTCTTCCCCCTTTACTGGGCACTTCTTCTTCCTGCTGCCCTGCAAGAAGGTGCCTTGCTTTCCTTTCAACTTATTTCATGATTGTAAGTTTTCTGAGGCCTCCTCAGCCATGCTGAACTGTGAGTCAATTGAACCTCTTTTCCTTTCTAAGTTACCCAGTAATTATTACAAGTAGAAAACAAACATCATCCTGATACCAAAACCTGGCAGAGATACAACCAAAAAAAAAAACTTGAGGTCAATATCTCTGATGAACATCGATGCAAAAATCCTCAATAACATACTGGCAAACTGAATCCAGCAGCACATCAAAAAACTTATCTACCACGATCAAGTTGGCTCCATCCCTGGGAAGCAAGGTTGGTTGAACATACACAAATCAATAAATGTAATTCATCACATAAACAGAACTAAAGACAAAGACTACATGATTATCTCAAAGGACACAGAAAAGGCCTTCAATAAAATTCAATATCCTTTCATGTTTAAAACTCTCAATAAACTAGGTGTTGAAGAAAAATACCTCAAAATAATAAGAGCCGCCTATGACAAACCCACAGCCAATATCACACTGATGGGCAAAAGCTGGAATTTCAAGCATTCCCCTTGAAAACTGGCAAAAGAAAGGATGCCCTCTCTCACCACTGCTGTTCAACATAGTATTGCAAGTTCTGGACAGGGCAATTAGGCAAGAGAAATAAATAAAGGCTTTTCAAATCAAAAGAGAGAAAGTCAAATTATCTTTCTTTGCAAATGACATGATCCTATATCTAGAAAGGCCTGTCATCTCGGCCCAAAAGCTTCTTAAGCTGATAAGCAACTTTAGCAAAGTCTTTAGATACAAAGTCAACGTGCAAAAATCACTAGCATTCCTATACTCCGACAACAGATAAACAGATAACCAAATCATGAATGAACTCCAATTTACATTTTTTACAAAGAAAATAAAATACCTAGGAATACAGCTAACAAAAGAAGTGAATGACCTCTATGGGAGAGTTATAAACCACTGGTCAAGGAAATCAGAGAGGACACAAGCAAATGGAAAAACATTCCATGCTCATGGATAGGAAGAATCAATATTGTTAAAATGGCCATAGTGCCTAGAGTAATTTATAGATTCAATGCTATTCCCGTTAAACTATGATTTACATTCTTCACAAAATCAGAAAAAAATATTTTAAAATTCATGTGGAATCAAATAAGAGCCTGAATAGCCAAGACAGTCCTAAGCAAAAAGAGCAAAGCTGGAGGCATCACACTACCCAACTTCAAGCTATGCTACAAGGCTGTAGTAATCAAAACAGCATGGTACTGGTACAAAAACAGACACATAGACCAATGGAAGAGAATAGGGAACTCAGAAATAAGACCGCATATCTACAACCATCTGATCTTCAACATATCTGACAAAAACAAGTAATGGGGAAAGAATTCACTGTTTACTAAATGGTGCTGGGATAACTGGCTAGCCATATGCAGAAAACTGAAACTGGACCTTTTCCTTATACCTTACACAAAAATTAACTCAAGATGAATTAAAGACTTAACTGTAAAATGCAAAACTATAAAAACCCTAGAAGAATATCTAGGCAAAACAACTTAGGACATAGGCACGGGAAAAAATTTAGTGATGAAAACACCAAAAGCAATTGCAACAAAAGCAAAAATTGACTAGTGGGATCTAATTAAACTAAAGAGCTTCTGCACAGCAAAAGAAACTATCATCAGAGTGAACAGACAATCAACAGAATGAAAGACAATTTTTGCAATCTATCCATCTGACAAAGGTCTAATATCCAGAGTATACAAGGAACTTATAAAACATTTTCAGGAAAAGAAAACCCATTAAAAAGTTGGCAAAGAACATGAACAGGCACTTCTCAAAAGAAGACATTCATGTGGCCAAAAAACATGACAAAAAGCTAAGCATTAGAGAAATGCAAATCGAAGGCAAAGTGAGATACCATCTCCCACAAGTCAGAATGGCAATTATTTAAAAAGTCAAGAAACAACCGATCCTGGTGAGGTTACAGAGGAAATGAAATTCTTTTACACTGTTGTTGGGCGTGTAAATTTGTTCAACCATAGTGGAAGACAGCATGGCAATTCCTCAAAGATCTAGAAGCAGAAATACCATTTGTCCCAGCAATCCCATTACTCAGTATATACTCTAAGGAATATAAATAATTCTATTATAAAGATACATGCATGCATATATTCGTTGCAGCACTATTCACAATGGCAAAGACATGGAATCAACACAAATGCCCACCAATGATAGACTGCATACAGAAAATGTGGTACATATACAGCATGGAATACTACGCAACCATAAAAAGGAATGAGATTGTGTCCTTTGCAGGGGCATAGATGGAGCTGAAAGCCATTATCCTCAGCAAACTAACGCGGGAACAGAAAACCAAACACCACAGATTCTCACTTGTAAGTGGGAGTTGAATGATGAGAACACATGGACACATAAAGGGGAACAACACACACTGGGGCTTGTTGGGTGAGTGCGATGGGAGGGAGAGCATCAGGAAAAATAGTTAATGCATGCTGGGCTTAATAACTAGGTGGTGGGTTGATCTGTGCAGCAAACCAACATGGCACACATTTACCTATGTAACAAACCTGCACATCCTGCACTTGTAACCTAGAACTTTAAAGTTGAAGAAAATAAATTGTTTGGTATACGTGCTATGGTTTGAATGTCCCTGCCAAAACTCATGTTGAAATTTAATTGCCACTGTAGCAATATTAAGAGGTGAGGCCTTTAAGAGGTGCTTAGGCAATAAAGTTGCACCATTGTGAATGGATTAATGCTATTATTGTGTGGGTGGATTAGTTGTTCTGGGAGTTTGGCCCCGTCTTTTCTCTGTCTTATGTGTGCACTTCTACCTTCTTCTCTTTCACCATGGGATTACCCTTGCCAGCTGCTGGCTCCTAACCTCCAGAACTGTGAGAAATATTTTTTAATAAATTATCCAGTTTGTGTTATTCTGTTATAGCAGCAAAAGACAGACTAAAACAGTACATTGGTACCAAGGAGTGGGGCTGTTGCTATAACAAATAACTAAAATATGAAAGTGGCTTTGGAACTGAATAATGGGTCGAGGCTAGAAGAATTTGGAGGGGCAGCATGGAAAATGCTTTGTTGTCATCAATAGACATTTAATGGTGATTCTGTTGACGGCTCAGATGACCAGAGCTGTAGGGAAAGTCTGAATCTTCTTAGAGATTACCTAAGTGGCCATGACCAGTATGTTAGTAAAAATATGGACAGTGGAAGGCCATTATGATAAGGTCTAAGATGGAAATGAGAAACAAGGTATAAAAACCTGGAGTTAAGGTCAATATTATTATAAAGTAGCAAAGAGCCTGGCAAAATTATGGTATCTCCTAGGGCTTTTTGGAATGCATAACTTAAGAGTGATGAACAAAGAACTGCCTAAGAAATATTTAAGCAGCAAAGCACTCAGTCTGCTTTTTAGCTAGTTTTAAGTGTGTACAGTGAGACACGAGGGCAGAAAAAATGACTTAAAGATGGAATCTATAATTAAAAGGAAAGCAGAGTAGAAAGGCTTGGAAAATTTGCAGCCTGGCCATGCAAAGAGTGCAAAAAATATGTTCAGCAGACCATATTAAGAGTGTTTGTAAGGGACCACTGGCTAATGAGATTACTATGGATAAAAGAATCCAGGTCAAGATAATGAGAGAAAGAAAGACCCCAAAGGTATTTTAGAGATCTTCAGGCTTCCCCTTTCATCACAGGCCCAGTGCTCTAGAAGGGTGAGTGGTTTGAAAGGATGGTCCTGGGGCACCCTCCATGCCCTTGCTAGTCAAAAGCATCTTGGGTCTCTGCTCCTGGAATTCCCACACAGTGATCCCTGGATGCCTCAGCTGTGGGTCAAGAGGCCCAGGTGTGGCTAGACCCACTCTTCTGCAAAGTACAGACCATATATACCTTGGTAGCATCAATCTGATATTTAGTCGGCAGGTATGCATTATGCAAGAGCTGTGGAGGCTGTGACTTCCTTCAGTTATATTTCAAAAGATGCCACAGACCACCTGGAAGCCCAGGCAGAAACCTGCTGCAATGAAACTGGGGCAATGTCTACTGGAGCTGTGGGAGTGGGGAAGCACCTGAGATCCCAGAATTGTAGGGTGGCACCAGCATCCAATTCCAACCTGAGAGAGCTGAAGCATAGACTGAGCCCAGCAAAGCCAAGGGAGGCCTAGGGACTCAAACCCAGTGTATGCAGAAAGTGGCACATGGAATCAAGAGATTATTCTTCAGCTTTGATATTTAATGTTGTTTTCTCTGCTTGGTTTTGGACTTACCTAATACCAGTTCTATGTCTTTTCTTGCTTATGTCTTCCTTTTGGAATGGGTTTATCTATTCTACCCCTGTCCCATCATTGCATTTTGGAAGTAGATACCTGTTTTGAATTTACAGCTGGAGGGAATTTGCCTCAAAAGGAATTGTGCCTTGAGTCTCACCTATATCTTATTTAGATGAGACTCTGAACTTTGGACTTTTGAGTTGATGCTGGAACAAGTTAGGACTTTTGGAACTATTGGGAGTGAATGAATATATTTTGTATGTGAGAATGACATGTTTTGGGGGCCAGGGGTAGAATCCTGTGCTTTGAATATCCTCATTCAAAACTCATGTTGAAATTTGATTGTCATTGTAACTGTATTAAAAGGTGAGGCCCTAGCGGGGCATGGTGGTGCATGCCTGTAATCCCAGCATTTGGGGAGGCCAAGGCAGGAGGATCACTTGAGCTCAAGAGTTCAAGACTGGCCTGGGCAACAGAGTGAGGCCCCATCTCTACAAAAATAAATTAACTGGGCATGATGGTGCACACCTGTGGTCCCAGCTAGTTGGCAGGCTGAGGTGAGAGGATCACTTGAACCCAGGAGTTTGAGGCTGCAGTGAGCCATGATCATTCCATTGCACTCCAGCCTAAGTTTCCAAAGGGGTGGGAGGGGAGGGGAGATCTGAGGCCTTTTAGAAGTGATTAGGTCATGAGGGCTCTGCCCTCATAAATACATTAATGCTGTAATCGTGGGACTGGCTTAGTTATCATGAGTTTGCCTCCTTTTTCCTCTTTCTCTCATGTACTCACTTCTACCTTCCATCATTCCACCATGGGATGACCCTCACCATATGCTGGCATCTGTGCTTTTGGGCTTCCCAGCCTCCAGAATAATGAAAAATAAATTTCTTTTTTTTTTAATAAGTTACCCAGTCTGTGGTGCTCTGTTATGACAGGAAAAAAAAAAAAAGGACTAGGACAAAATGCTGTAAGATTCTTTTGAAATTATTATTGGGCACATTTTATTATCACTGTTTTCTCCATAAATTCTATTACAAATTTTCTAAACGAAATGAAACCAAACCAAAACAAAAAGCTTATTTTGCCCATCAAAAGGTTTTCCTAATATATATTGAACTTAGAAATAAATTATCCCATTCTACTAGACAGAATTATCTTGACAGTGTTTTTAAGTAATTATGACACTGCTTTATACTTTCTAGACTTCTGAAGCATTTTCTAGTTTATATGGCAGCAATACTTTATTTCATTTGAGGAACCCAGTTGACATCCTTCTTCCTTTTCCTTAAAACTGACTGCATGAGTTGTAACTTAAAATTATCACTTTTCTTCCTCAAATTATATTTTTTTTCCTCCTTTAAATTCTGGACAAGGCTTCTTTCTCCCCCTTCTGGCTCTAGTTTGTTCTGATTTAGTTACTCTAGTAACCTTCCTGTTCTTCATTCATTCTACCTGTCTCCAATGCTCAGAGTTTACATAGGGGTATGTGTAAGAAATAAGCAAGAGTTATCTCACATTTCAAAACACCGTCATGCCTTCCCAACAGTCCTCCAAAGTTTTAACTCATTCCAGCATTAACTCAAAGTCCCAGTCTAAAGTCTCATCTGAGTCAATACAAGTCCCTTCCCCCTAACAAACCTGTAAAATCAAAAACAAGTCAGTTACTATCAAGATACAATGGGGGTACAAGCATTTGGTAAATGCTTCCATTCCAAGGGGAGAAATTGGCCAAAATAAAAGTGCTACAGGCCCCATGCAAGTCCAAAATCCAGCAGGGCAGTCTTTAAATCTTAAACCTCTGAAATAATCTCCTTTGACACCCTGTCTTACATCCAGCACACGCTGATCCAATGAGTGAGCTCCCAAGGCCATGAGCAGCTCTGCCCCAGGGGCTTTGTGAGGTACACCCCCCATGGCTGCTTTCATGGGTTGACATTGAGTTTTTGAGGCTTTTCCAGGCTCACGGTGCAAACTGTCAATGGATCTACCATTCTGGGGTCTAGAGGACGGTGGCCCTCTTCTTGCAGCTCCACTAGGCAGTGCTCTGGTGGGGACTCATGTAGGAGATCCAACCCTACATTTCCCCCTGCATGGCTCTAGTAAAGATTCTCCATGAAGGTTGCACCCCTACAGCAGACTTCTGCCTGGAGGCGTTTCCATACATCCACTGAAATCTAAGTGAAAGCTCCCAAGCCTCAACTCTTGTTTCTTCATACCTGCAAACCCAATACCATGTGGAAGCGACCAAAGCTTGGAACTTGCCTCCTCTGAAGCCACAGCCTGAACTACACCTTGGCTCCTTTTAGCCATGGCTGGAGCTGAAGCTGCTAGGACGCAGGGTACCAGGTCCTGAGGCTGCACAGAGCAGCGGGGTCCTGGACCTGGCCCAGGAAACCACTTTTCCCTATTAGGCCTCTGGGCCTGTGATTAAAGTGGCTGCCATGAAGGTCTCTAAAATGCCTTTGAAACATTTTCCCCATTGTCTTGGCTATTAACATTTGGCTTCTCTTTACTTATGCAAATTTCTTCAGCCTTAAATTCCTCCCCAGAAAATGGGTTTTTCTTTTCTGCCAAATGGTCAAGCTGCAAATTTTTCAAACTTTTTTGCTCTGCTTCCCGTTTAAATATAAGTTCCAATTTCAGATCATCTCTTTGTGAATGCATATGAGTTGTTAAAAGCAGCCAGGCCACATCTTGTACACTTTGCTGCTTAAAAATTTCTTCCACCAGATCCTCTAAATTATCACTGTCAAATTCAAAGTTCCACAGATTTCTAGGGCAGGGGCAAAATGCCGCCAGTCTCTCTGCTAAAGCAAGCAAAAGTGGCATCTACTTTAGTTTCCAATAAGTTCCTCATCTCCATCTGAGATTACCTCAGCATGGACTTCACTGTGTGAGAAAACATTTTAAATTGTCCATTTTCAAAGCATGATAAATCCAAGTAATGGCAGCCAGCCTGCAGATGTGACAAACCGCACAGCTCATGCACCTAAGCAAACCAAGTGTAGAGGAGGGGTCAGCCTATAAAAGGGAAGACAGTTTCATTATTGGGAAATCGAAAACTAAGCAGTGAAGTGGACTGGGATATAACCTTATAAGGGGGATAATGAAACTTAGGTGACATCCAGGTACTCGACTAATGAGGAACTGGGGGAGGGACTTGCATGTTAGGAGATAAATTACCTGCTGTAACTGCCGAGGGTGTGCCTGCCTACCAGACACCCAATCTTGCGAGACCACAATTAAAAGTCTTGCTTCTATTGTTCTTTGTGTCTCTGGGCCCATTCTTTGGGTTTGCATGGGTGAGTGTGTTTCTCACAACTGTCCATGTTACTTTGTCACAACCATTTGACAAGTCTCTAGGAAGTTCAGAACTTTCCCTCTTCTTCTTATCTTCTTCTGAGCCCTCCAAACAGTTCCAACCTATGCCCATTACCCAGTTCCAAAGCTGCTTCCACATTTTCAGGTGTCTTTATAGGAATGCCCCTCTTCTCTTGTACCAATTTTCTGTATTTGCCCATTCTCACAATGTTATAAAGAACTACCTGAGACTGGGTAATTTACAAAGAAAAGAATTTTAATTGACTCATAGATCCATAGGCATACAGGAAACATGGCCTGCAGGCCTCAGAAAACTTACAATCATGGCAGATGGTGAAGGGAAAAAAAGCATGTCTTACCATGGCAGAGTAGGAGGAGAGCAAAGGGTGAAGTGTTAAACACTTTTAAACAACCAGATCTTGTGAGAACTCACTCACTATCATGAGAACAGCAATCATCTCCCACTTGAACTCTCCTCCAATATTAGGGATTACAATTTGACACGAGGTTTGGGTAGGGAAACAGAGCTAAACCATATCAGCATTGCAGTGGAGACCTAGGGCTGTAAGTATGGTGAATCTGTTTACTTACGTTATTTACATATATATTACAATATATATGTTATATACTATGTTATATATAATATAAACCTCATAAGCATACATATTATATATATCTCATGAATAAATGATGTATTATATATCAAATATGATACATAAAACATTTATATTTTATAAGCAAATGGATATATATGAGATATATAATTTCATATATATCATGTGTATGTATATATGTGTGTGTGCATATATTTGTGTGTGTGTGTGTCTCCTAAGTAAGCAAAGTCACCCTACTTCCAACGCTATGCCTTACTGCAATAACTTTTTTATCTACCTAGGCATGTATACAAAATGTGAGTAGTTATACTTTAAGTTTCACTGAAGGTAACGACCAGATACATTTTAAAATTTTCTGAGAGAATTTTAAAATGCATTTTCTTGACTCTTCTAATTATAGGTAACAATTGTAACTAACATGCAATTTGGGTAAGCTGTATTATTATAAAAGCACAATTTGCTCTAAGTTATCCATATGTATTCATGAAAAGCTTTGAAAGGAATGTGAAAAAAGATTGTGACAATGCCAATTACAGATCAATTATTTATACTACTTTGGGCAGAAGCAGGTCAGATATGAATTATACTCATTATTTTTCCAGATTACCATAGGCCCCCATCAGTAAATATTCATTAGATCATTCTTAACGTGTGAATTCCCCTAAACCCTGCATTCACATTTTCAAGTCAAAAATGCTTCATTTAGTTATTTCTCTCAACTATTTATCGTTAAGTAAATGGAGTTTATGAAAAGTTCTACCTAGAAAACTGGAAAATGGAAGCATGCTTATCCAAGCCTTTCTGAGATGAGGTCCACGAGAGAATTAAACCCTAAAGCTCTAAGACATCTACTGTATGTGGTGAATTAACTTCTCTCCCATGTATACAGAATGGTACTAGTTATAACACATCTTTTAAGTAATTGAGAATATCATCACATACATTATTTTCTTATATTATGAATCAGATGAGATTCCTGCTTGAGAAAGTTTTACATTCAAATGCAGAGAGAGACCTGGTAGCTAAATTATGTGAATAAAGAAAAACATATATAGGAAAAATAACTCAGAAAGTAAGATGTTAAATAGAAAATTTTCTAGATTTAGTAGTAAGAATGGAATAGTGGCCAAATTTAGGAAGACTCCTGTTTAAAAGAGACAGCTTCTACTCAACTACCGTTGTTATTATGTGGGACAGTTAGTCCAATGTTAGTAGGTTTGCTTTTCTTTTTGAAGAGAACCTTGAAATCTTAGTTTTTTTCATAAAAAATTTCTTGGTTTTGAAATCTTGGCAAATCATTTCAAAATTTTGAAGTATTATCCTGGGAAACACACTTCTGTAAGTTATAACCATCCCCAGGCTGCCCATTAGTGAAGACCTCGGTATTACAAAAGCTATCTGAATAGGAAGCTCTCAAGAAACATTTAATATCTACCTCCCAAAGTTTCATTTGCATAGCTCTAGCTGAAAAAAATATTTTAAAATTCATTTTATAGAGAGTACTTAATCTGTGTAGTCTTGAATCTAGTAGCATGTTAAGTAGCGCCAAACTGTATTCAACTTGGCCTGTTTGTTATACCTTACTTTTTTTTTTAATTGGCAAATTGGTGGGGTGTGTATTTAATCTACCTATTATATTAACCATGTAGGAAACACTTTTCTAGTCACTAAATTATCCTAATACGGGATGCGGAATTCCTGTATTTTCAATCCAACACACCATATTCTATAAAATCTTCAGAAGGAACAGCATTAAAATCGCAAAGTTTCATTTTTTTCTCTTCATGGTTTTCAATTTTTATATGACTTTCATGTAAGTTCTTGTTTGGATTTTTTTTTCTTAGTGAGGAGTTCATATTTTGTTTTTGTTTTTATTTCTATCTAAAGTTCATTATCTAACCAACATTTCCATTGAGAATTCCTGCTACAGTTCCATCTACAAACATTTCTACAGTAAAACATTGTCATTTGAATGTTTAATCTTATCTTTTGAGAGTCTCCCTCCCACTTAGTGCTCTAACTTTACTGAACAGCCTGATATTCCCTGAAGCACCATTCTTTTTATGCCTCTGACTGTACGTACTCTGCTCTGTTTAGGATGTTCTGTCTTGTCTGCTTGTTTAACTCCATAGTCATCCTTGAAAACAGCCTTGAGGTTTCCTCCTCCAAGAAGCTGTCCTCGTTTCTTCTAACACTCTTGCCATTCTAGGAGCTTACCCAGATACATACTTCCAAGCTGCTGCTAGTGAGCTGCACAATGTTGCAATTTATTTCTTTTAATGTGTGATTTCCTTCTGAGATAATGACCTCCTTGTCTGATCAGGGGCTACAATATATTCATGTCTGTGTTCTCACACTCTCATACACAGCCTGCCCCATGGAAGTTGATCAAATAAGGCTGGATCAATTTAATGAAATATTGAATATTTCTCCATAGGCGCCCACTATTGGTGTTTTATTTTAATCTTAATTATACTTATTTACCAGTTTAAAATTAAAAAAAAAATGTAGAGGATTTGAAATCCTAACCAACATCACCACAACAGATGCCAACTTCTTTTTGTTTAATTTTCAATTTTTGCTGATTGAGAAATAGTCAAGAGAAACAAAAGTGTATTAGTGACAGCGGATTTGCCAAGGTATCCATAATGGAGAAATGCTTTCTGTGATACACCGAAATGTCAAAGAAAGTTCATAATTAGTGGATCCTTAGAGAGATTTGTATCCAAACACACAGCTGACTCTTCAGCAAGTTCTAGATTCAGAGGTTCTTATTTTCTAAATCTTCAGGGGGCATGATAGCCTCTCTTAGGGAGGAAGATTACTAGTTGCGCCTAGTATTTTTTGACCTAGAGGCCCTGTAAACCCAAAGGGTAGGGCTGCCTGATAGCTGCAGCCGCTGCCTAGCCAAAGACAACAAGGGAATCCAGGGGGGAGTTTCTGTGGAGACAGGAGGATCCTGAGATGATGGAGACTTTTCCCCATTCCCAGGACCACCAAGGCACAGGTAAAAGATGGCACCGGACCAAGGGAGAGATAGAACAGCAAGTTTCCCTCAGGAAGGGTTATAACAGCTTCCAGTATCAGCTATTACAAAGACAAATAACAGACTAAACCGATTGTGGAGACCTTTGAATGTCTTTCTGCCACTCCCTTTCTTTGAGTAGGGAATGTAAGCAGGTGCTCTGAGTTTAAAAGGGAGGTCCTTAGTGGCTACTTTTATTCATAATTGTTTCTCCTCCGGGAAACTTGCGTGAGAACAGTTTCCTTCACTTCCCCAGGAGGAGAATTCACGAAGGCCAGGAAAGAATGATATAGATACAAAGTTCCTAATGGCACTTCTGTCAACACTTGTTTCCGGAACCATCATGAGCTAGGGTTGTCGTCCACAACCCATGCTGAGTGGGCGAACGGCTAACAGGTTCACGTGTGTATTTGTACTTTCCAGATTGAGCTGTGCACGGAACAATAAACGTCCTCTTCCTTACCCCTCCCTGCCCTGTTTCACTCCACCTCAGAGGCATGAGAGTGCGTGTGAGCGTGTGTGCTGAGCCAAGACACTTGGAAGACAGTACCCTTCTTGCAGCCCCACTCCCAGCTCTCCAAAGCATTCCTTGGGCCGGACGCGTCTGTAATCTGTCCCCAGCGGAGGTGCCCACTCCATGCGAATGCAGACAGTCTCAGGGCTGACACCATGGACTGAGGCTTTGGTACTCCACGAAGGAGATTTAACTCTCTCTTGGAGCCCCAGGTGCCTGCGAGTGTGAGTGTGCGTGTCTGCGACTGTTTCTTTTTCTCCCAGCACTGGGTAGGCAGCGCCTGCAACAGGATACGTCCGCAGCCTCCACCCTTTCAGTCCAGCGAGTGGCTGTTTTTGTTTTGTTTTGTTTTGTTTCTTCCCTCATTTCTCTGTGAGGAAGGGGGAAGGACCAGTGACATCCCTGAGCCCAACTGCAGAGGCCGTTGTCATCTCCAGTGCACAAGGGGGGTCCTCTAAAAAGAAACCTGAGCCCCAGGGAGGTGGCGCAGAGTGACCCTGGCAGGGGCAGGGCAGGCACCAATCGCGAGGGAGGGACATCTCCAGGGACTCGGAAGAGCTCAGCCATCACGGATCCTCCAAACTTGTTCTGGGAGTGCCTGCTCCACGCAATTCACGCGTTTTACTGACTTCTCCCCTTCGCTCTATCTTCCTTGAACAGAACTTTTCTGTCAAGAGAAGGTGCTGAAGTTGGTGCTTACAGGACGTTCCCAGGCACCCAATATGCGCTCCATCAGAAAGAGGTGGATGATGTGCTCAAGTCTGCTCCTGATCTTAAGACAAAATAAATAGCAAGAACAGAGGGACAGAGGGGAATGCAACTCATGGGGTAATTTAAGATATGACAAAAAGTTAAGCAATAAATGAAATGAGAGACTATAGACGGTAGCGTGAAAATTGAGACAGTGTGTGTGATCCTGTGAGCTTTTGTGTGTTCAGATTCATGAATTAAACAACAAAGGCTGTTGTGCTGTGTGGGCTTCTTTAAGCTGTTCCCAGTACAAGCTCAACTTTCTCAAGTGCAGCGGTGTTGACAGTTGTCCTGGCGCCGATGACTCCTATGACAAAAGAAGAGTCACTGCAGAAGTGTCAACAAAAACGTGTACCTTTGTTCCTTTAATCGGTGGGCAGACCCTAAGCGAGATGTCAGTATTCATCATCCTGTTGACCTTCCTATTTTCTCTGCCCCAACGCTCTAAAAAGATGCTAGAGAATGCTGGTTTCCCAAAAGGCTTAAGTTAAAGCTCTGAAAGCAGAGATGCCTTCCTCCTGTTTCTTACCTTTTTCTTGGCTACAGTAGATTTATGTATTGAATCAGAAACGACAGTACTATTAAGGAAACCACATTATTTGCCTTGTCTTGGAATAAAGATTTTTATAGACTTGAGTGTACATGTAGAAACTGGTTATTTCATACATCAACTTATCTAATAAACTTTCCCTTGTGTTTACCCAGGTAGAGTTTTTAGTTTAATAAACATCACCTTAGTGATTTTGAAATTTACCAGGAAGTGGCTATAATTTTGTTGTGTGGACATAGCTTGGAACTATTTCTAAGGATATGAACCTGGTTATAAACTCATTTAATAGTCCATTTCTAGAAATTCTAACTCTCTTTATATGAGAAAGTTGACATGCCAAAAAGTAAAGGTGTAGGTGCTTGTCCTAATGTAAATAAATTCCCCTTATCCTTCATACTTTCTTTGTTCTTTTCATCTGCTATCCTTAAAAATATGTACAATAAATAGAATTTTAATTTATTTTAGCTATTAATAAAAGTAAATGATGTCTTATGCTTCTTAAAATTCATTTTGTTTTCATGGAGATGACATTTTTGTGTGTTCCATTTCACAGATGAACTCTGAATTGATCTTTCGTTAATACTTCTTCAATCTTTTTGTGCTCTGGAAAGTTGCACAATGAACTTTGCATCATGTTATGGAATGCCTTTGCTTGAGCAACATATTGAACACTGATTTATACTTTAAATATGGATATTTTAATAAGAGAGCACAAGCTCAATTTAACAATGGTCAGTGAATGACGTGAATTCATAAACATGATTGGCATGTTAAGGGATCCGCTTGTGAGTTTCAAATACATAGTCTTCACGCAGATACATTAAGATGCTTAATAAAGTAATTATACTTAGCATCTTATTATTTCTGTACTTAATGGTCTTCCAGGGAGGATCTAAATTTATATGTTCCTATTTAAAAAAAAAAAGAGATGTCTTCTGATGGGAACATGTTCCCATAATAAACTAGATGGAAAACTGAATTGAAATAAATTTTAAGAAGATATGTTTTCCGATGGGAAATGTTCTTATAATAAGCTAGATAAAACATTGAATTAAAATTGAAATAAAACAATCAGGAGATACTTTAAATATTTATTAGTTTATCTTTAAAGATTAAATGATGCTTATGTTTATGTCCTACATCAATGAAATATTTAACAATGACTGTTGACTGTGTATAGGCCTCTTTGGACAAAATCCCTACTAAAGGGAGTAATTGGAAAATAAAACAGTGAATTATATTAGGTACTAGAAGAAATAAAAATGCAATGGGGTTAAAAGGAAGGACAGTTTACTATTTCATTATGCCAGAAGAATTTGCCTCATCTAATAGAGAAAATGAAACATAAATTACTCTCTATGAATAAACAGAATTTTGACACATAAAAATTGGAGAAAAGGGGAAAAGGCATAGAGGACATGCTAAGACATTGTTCAGAAACTAGTTTGAATAGAACTTTATGTGTCAGAAAATAGAAGAAAAAGTGTCAAAAAGTGTTGAAAGTAAGTAGAAGAAATAAGTTGTACAAACCTGGCTTTCACTCTCATGACTTTGGCCTAATACTTCCCAAGAAGCACTTCCCTGTATGCTCTAATAAGAGAGCAGAAAGCACTATCAAAAGAATTAATAGCACATGACCCTAATAAAAAAATAGTCTTATGGAGAACCATTTGGCAGTCAGCTGTCCCTACCCTAAGGAAAGAGGAAAGTGACTTGAAGCCATTCGTCAGTTCATGGGAGATGGGGTAGTTAGTGTTGGTCACTAAAAAATATGGAGAAAAGGGAAAAGGAAAAAATGCCTATTCCTGGCCTTAATATTGTTTCCTTAATGCTAATTGATGTTGAAAAAAAGGTAAAAGTCTGTAGTTTTCTTTTAAGTATCAAGAAGTAAAATTTAAACTGTTGCGTTTCTCAGTCTCCAACCTTATGAACAAAAATGTTTAATTTTGACTTCCTTGCTCTGGATATCAAAATGCCTATAGCATGGACAGTTTGTGTCAAAATGGTCTATATATGGGAAATGGTATGTGAAAAGAGGAAAAGACTAAAGACCTTGGGACATACCTCTTTAGAGACTGGGTGAAAGAAGAGGTTGTGGAGATATGAGATTTCTAGTAGAGGTATACAACGTCATTTAAATGCAGGTAGGTAAACAAAGTTTTTGCAGCCATAACTAACAGAAGCATTAAAAGTAATCTCAAGTTTATGCCCTGTTTATCAAGGTACTCTGAAACATTAAGATTAATCCTTTATAACATATCATATTAGGAAATATATATTAATATCTATATTCATTCAGATTTTATTATGTTCTTGCTATAGGCATGGCACTGTTTTGAATCAAGGGTCATTTTCTAAGTACAGTTTTAGAAACTCATTAATTACTAATTATTTTGAGGGTTTATTTTTGTAGTTAGAAGTAGTAAAGGTGATTTTTTTTCTTCATAGTTAGACCCTCCCAGTAATTTTAAAATATCATAACTTGACATAATATTATTTTGGCCCCAGCATACATATAGCTAAAGTTTTATTGTCACAGCTATTAAAATACTGCAAGAGTTTAGGAAAATCTTTTGTTAAAGTTTAAGCATAATTATAGAATAATAGTTCAGAAATGATTAATTAATGTTTTGCTTCTGCTACTAGTGGCACATTTAAATTCAATCACTAAGATATACATGTATATATATATATATTATTTTTCTAATAATGTAGTTTCCCCATGAATTAATGAAATAAATCTTTGTAAAAAATGCAAGCTAAATTGACAGTCCTTTGAAAATACAAAATATGGACTGAATATCTTTATTTCTCAGCACATAGTATACTGTCTTAGAGTTAGTATATCAAATACTAACTACTCAATAATTACCTACTAATCAATAAAATAACTACACATGGAAATATTTTAACTTAAAAATTACTAAATAGAGAATATTGATTTATCTGCACAGGTATATTTATTTATCTATCTCTGAATATAAGTTATTTGCAAACAGAGATTGTTATTCTTAAACTAGCCATTTAGTTTATACAATCAGAATGGAAGTAAGTTGGAAGATTCATTGTCCTCCAGTAATTATAAAAATTTTCTTTCATCTAAAACAAACACACATTCATTCCTTGATCCCACACATCTCATCTTATTAAAGTTCTAGTGTGCATGCACTGTCATTTCTTTTGACCTCACTTTCATTCTTAAATTAACTGGCCCTGCTCCCAGCATTTGACTGACAATGCTATGTTGTCAGTAATATCTTTTTTTAAGTTCTTTTATACAGTTTATAATTTCAACTTTTATTATAGATTTGGGGGTAGTTTACCCCCTATATACCCCATATACCATGTAACAAACTGTGTAGGTTTGTTACATGGGTATATTGTGTGATGCTGAGGTTTGGGGTATGACTGTGCTCAGTACTGATCCCAGGTGCTGAGCATAGCACCCAATAGTTAGTTTTTCAACCCTTACCTTCTCCCTCCCTCCCCTCTCCAGTAGTCCCCAGTATCTGCTGTTCCCATCTTAATGTCCATGTGTACTCAATGTATAGTTCTCACTTATAAGTGAGAATATGCAGTATTTGATTGTCTGTCCCTGTGTTAATTCACTTAGTGCAATGGCCTCCAGCTGCATCAATGTTACTGTGAATAACATGATTTTGTTCTTTTTTATGGCTGTGTAGTATTCCATACAATATATGTACCACATTTTCTTTAGCCAATCCGTCATTGGTGGGCACCTAGGATGATTCTATGTCTTTGCTATTGTGAATAGTGAACATATCAGTGTATGTGTCTTTTTGGCAGAATGATTTATTTTATATTTTCGCTGGGTATATATATTTGTTTTAAATATATACCCAGTGATGTGATTGCTGGGTAGAATGGTAGTTTTAAGTTCTTTAAAATTTTCAAACTGCTTTCCACACTGGTTGAACTAATTTACATTTCCAACAACGGTATATAAATGTTCCCCTTTCTCTGCAGTCTTGCCTGCATCTGTTGTTTTTTGACTTTTTAATAGTATCCATTCTGCCTGGTATGAGATGATATCTCCTTGTAGTTTTGATTTGCACTTATCCAATGATTAGTGATATGGAGTATTTTTTATATGTTTCTTGGCCACTTGTATGTTTTCTTTTGAGAAGTGACTGTTCAGGTCTTTTGCTCCTTTTTTTTTTTTTTTTTTTTTTTTTTTTTGAGATGGAGTCTTGCTCTGTCACCCAGGCCACAGTGCAGTAGTGCTATTTTGGCTCTCTGCAACCTTGGCCTCCTGGGTTCAAGCAATTCTCCTGACTTCTGAGTACCTTGTATTACAGGTGTGCACCACCATGCCCAGCACCACTTATTGAATAGAGAGTTCTTTCCCCATTGTTTATTTTTATTGACTTCATCAAAGGTCAGATGGCTATAGGTGTGGTGTTTTGTTTCTGGGTTCTCTATTCTGTTCCATTGGTCTATGTGTCTGTTTTGTACCAGTACCAGGCTGTTTTGGTTACTGTGGCTTTATAGTATAAAGTCAGGTAGTGTGATGCCTCTGGCTTTGTTCGTTTTGCTTAGGATTGCTTTGCCTATTCAGGCTCTTTTTCTGGTTCCATATGAATTTTACAATAGTTTTTTTTCTAATTCTGTGAAAAATGCTGGTAATTTGATAAAAATAGTGTTGAATTTGTAGATTGCTTGGGCAGTATGACCATTTTAATGATGTTGATTCTTCCACTATATGAACATAAAATATTTTTTCATTTACTTGGACCATCTATGATTTCTTTTAGCAGTGTTTTGTAGATCTCCTTGCAGAGATCTTTCACCTTTTGGTTAGATGTATTCATAAATATAATTTTTTTGTGGCAATGATAAATAGAATTGTGTTCTTGATTTGGCTCTCAGCTTGAATTTTATTGGTGTATAGAAATGCTTCTGGTTTTTGTACATTGATTTTATGTGCTGAAACTGTACTGAAGTTGTTTATCAGTTCCAGGAGCCTTTTGGAGGAGTCTTTAGGGTTGTCTAGATATGCATATTACCTGCAGAGAGATAGAATGGGGGGTGGGGTGTGAGTGGACACCCTTGTGTTGTTCCAGTTCTCAAGGGGAATGCTTCCATTTTTGCCCATTCAATATGATATTTGCTGTGGGTTTGTCATAGATGACTCTTATTATTTTGAGGTATGTTCCTTCAATGCCTAGTTTCTTGAGGGTTTTTAAAAAATTATAATAGGGTGTTGTATTTCATCAAAAGTTTTTTCCATGTCTATTAAGATGATCATATGGTTTTTGTCCTTCATTACGTTGATATGATGTATCACATTTATTGATTTGCACATACTGAACCAACCTTGCATCCCAGAAATAAAACCTACTTGATCATGGTGAATTACATTTTTGATATGTGGCTGGTTTGGGTTTGCTAGTATTTTGCTGAGGATTTTTGCATCTATGCTCATCACTGATATTGGGCTGTTTTTTTTTTTCTTTGTGTGTGTGTCTTTGGCAGTTCTAGGTGTCAGGGTGATGCTGGCTTCCTATAATGAATTTGAGAGGAATCCCTCCTCCTCAATTTTTTGGAATAGTTTCAGCAAAATTGGTACTAGTTCTTTGTACATCTGGTAGAATTTGGCTGTGAATCTATCTGGTTGGAGGCTTTTCTTTCACCGTAAGTTTTTTTTAATTACTAATTCAATTTTAGAACTCAATATTGGTCTGTTCGGGGTTTCAAATTCTTTCTGATTCAATCGTAGGTGTGTTTCCCAGAATTTATGTATTTCCTGTAGATTTTCTAGTTTGAGTAGATAAAGTTTTTCATAATAATTTCTGAGGATCTTTTGTATTTCTGTGGGACAGGTTGCAATGTTACCTTTGTTATTTCTGATTTTGCTTATTTTGTCAGTCATATCTTATTGAAACTTTTGGCTGCAATTTGTTGTTCTGCTAACCTGCTTCTTCAAACTTGCCTTTTATTCAGTTTCTCTGACCTTTCTCTCCAGCATTTTTTCATGAGCCCTTTTTCCTCTATCTACCTCTTAAATATTATCATCTCCAAAATATCACTTATCTTCTAACTTCTGTAGTGTTCACCTGTTTTTAAAATAAATTTTTAAATAAATTTTTACTCATTAAATATATATGTATTACATATGTATAAATATATGTATGTACTATATATGTATTTTACTCATTAAATATGTCTACTCATTAAATATGCTTATATATTTTTAATGAGTAAAATCATATATTTACATATAAATGAGAAAAATTATATATATTTAATGAGTAAAATTTTAAAATGTATTTAAAATTTAAAAATTAAAATTTAACAATTTAAAAATTAAATTCAAAAAATAAAAAAAAAATTACATCTGTAATATATTCCTAGCATCTAGCAGTTTATGTGTGAATGCTCCACAGGCTTCTATACTCTAGAGAGAGTCGACATCCTATCTGGTTGATCTTATCTAGCTTCAAGGTTTTGGTACCCTTTATATGCTAATAACTATTGAGGTCACTAGATTCAGGCCAGATTTCTTCTGTGAATTTGAGGCTCTTACCTTAACATATTTAAAATCAAACATATCTCTATCCTGGTTTGAATTTTTGATTTCCAAAAACCAAATTTAAACATTTGATAGTCACCCTTACTATTCTATCCAGTCCCCATCTTCAGTCATGCAGACATCAAACCCTGATTATATTATATCTAACATACTTCCCAAATCTGTCTACAATCCTATACGACTCGAATATTTTCTTAAAACAAACATTTTACTGATTTTCAACTTCACTTCTCACCACTCTTTGCTTCAGATATTGTGCATATTTCTCCACCTAAGATACTGTCTCTCCACTTAATGCTTCATCTGAAGTTACACTTTCTCCCTTCCTCATACTTGAAGTTTTATCTCAGGCATTAGTTTCTCCAGCCACTGTTTCCTAAAATGTGGCTTGTTTTACACATTTTACCCCAGTGCTTCCAAAATGCAATTTGCAAATATTGGTCACTGCCCATCTGTATTCCTACACTGTGATTTTCCTGAGAGTATAAAATATTTTGAAATCTCTGTATTTCTAGTACCTAAAAAGTGCCTAGCACGTACTTAATATGTATTGGTTAAATTAAATGAGAAAATGGAGAAGTGTATTTGCTTAGGATTTATGTGATGGATGGTACTGTACTGTACTGTACTGTTAAGAGGCAACATGGAAAAACATTGAATCTGGAAATCAGGAAAATTATATTCTTCCATTATTAATAAGAGAAAAAAAACAAAAGAAGAAAGGAAGGAAAAGAAAAAATAGGAAGGAAGGAAAAGAGAATAAAGAAAGGAAAGAAAGAGAGCAAGAGGTAAGAGGGAGGGAAGGATAGAAGGGAGAAAAGGTGTAAGGGAGGAAGAAATGGAGGGACAAATGGAGAGAGGAAGAGAGAAAAAAGCATCAAAGGGAGAAAGAAACAAAAAACAGAAGGAGAGGCTGTGTGTGAACTTGGATATGTAACCTGAGTCTCTGGATTACGCTCATTGACAAAAATGGCACAATGAATAATCTATAGTTGGTTGTAGAGTGGAATTTTCTTTTTATACTGTGCTTTTATGTTCTATGAAAAAAATGATTTATACACAGTCCTGGACAGCTGCCAGAATCAAAATATAATACCATATTTATCAGGAAAGACTTTTATTTTTCTACATTCTCTTGAAGATGCCATAGTTTTACAACAGATGGATACTTGCTCAATCTACCTTTTGCTCTCAGGAGGTCAGGTTAAGGAAAGAGGATGGGAAAGCCTAGCTAGCAGATGATCTTCAACTGCAGATTTGTAATAGAGTCTACTTTGAGGTTACTTTTCTTGGAGTCTTGTTCTTCTCTCTTATCCATTTCCCCCTGATTTTTACTTCACCTTTATCTTTTTGGTCATATTAATTCAAGGAATGTCCTTTTAACACTTGCGTAAAGGAATGTGACATAATGTGATGACATATTTACTCTATATAGCTATGTTGAGGACATAAATCTCTGTAACATTTAAACATGCTAGAAAAGGGCTCTGCTGAAGTATGTTCGCATGTACCCACCAGCCAAATTATTAGAAGTTAAATTAGTATCTCCCTTGTACAAATTATATGGTCTAGAGGGAACTTTAAACAAGGATTTTATTTTCTAAACTTACTGAGAGCTGATACGTGTGTTGCTAAAATACCGTGTACTTACAGTGTCCAACCTGTCTACTACATCTGAAGTAGCCTCCCTCCTCTTCATTTCTCTTACTCTGCCTTATTTTCTTATCACTGAGAGGTGTTTCATATATATGTATGTGTATGTGTGTGTTTTTTATATATAATGTATGTGTGTGTGTGTATATATATATAGTGTGTGTGTGTATATATATATATGTAAGATTTTATACACTTGTCTTTCCCAATGCTTTCCTCTCTCACTAGAAGGTAAATCCAACAATGGAAGACTTTTGTCTTATTTTGTTTATTCCATTAATGAATCTTGTCTATTCACTCAATTAATGTGTTTTATTATTCATTGAGTGAATAAATAGTAAAACAACATTTGAACTGTTCATTAGAAATTTTAAATATAGGTTGTTTTTATTTTATTTGTTACCTTCGAAGGAGAACTGGGAAACTTTGCAATATCTTGTAATGCTAATTGCAACTTTTTCACTTTATCACTACTCTTCCTTTGGATGAGATGGAACCCAGTGTTTATCTATCTGCTTTAAATGTTTCTTAAATTCTTTGGGAGGCCGAGGTGGGTGGATCACAAAGTCAGGAAATCAAGACCATCCTGGCTAACACGGTGAAACCCCGTCTGTACTAAAAATACAAAAAATTAGCTGGGTGTGGTGGCGGGCGCCTGTAGTCGCAGCTACTCGGGAGGCTGAGGCAGGAGAATGGCGTAAACCCGGGAGGCAGAGCTTGCAGTGAGCCGAGAAGGCGCCACTGCACTCCAACCTGGGCGATGGAGCGAGACTCCTTCTCAAAAAATAAAAAATAAATAAATAAATAAATAAATAAATAAATAAATAAATAAAAAGTTTCTTAAATTCAGTTCCAAAAAAGAAATGCAAAGGTAGCTTGTTTTTGCTTGTTTTTATGATGTTAACTCTGGGGAAGAATAAATTCACATATTTATAGATGGCTTTCTTGAACCCTCCAGTAGAGTTATGCACTGCCTATTCTTTCCTCTATGTCCTTTCCCTGTGCATAAAGCAGTCCCAGACCACTCCCATCAACATGGACTCGTTTTCCTTAATACTCTAGATGTAATATTGTTGAACAATTTACTTGGCAGTTACTCCTGAACTTCTTTGTGACATCACTTTTATTATAGTTGGAAAATGTTATTTAACTTATAATGTTGTTTTCCTCAAATACATGTTTAACTCTTTGAAGGCAGTGGCCATTTATTCTAACTTGCCGTAGTCCATATAATAGGCATTTAATAAATGCTTATTTATATGATACACCATGACATACAATATTTAGTATCCTAATCACTGATTTGATCTTAATTTTGACTCTCATTTTAAATGTAGATTAAGATGAATCCTTTTTATTCAGATGCTATTGCTTTCAATGTAGTTAAGTAGTGAAAGAGAACTTATTAGAATTTTATTATAGTTTCTTTACAATTTTATTATAGTTTCTTAATTTAATGTAAGAATTCTGCAACAAATGCTCTTCCAATTACCAAACCTCTTGGTAGACAATGTGTCAGCATTACCAACAAGAGAATCTTAGAGAAATATATACTACAATATGAGAGAACACAATATATAAGGATTATATAATCAAACAGTGTTTCTTTTCCTAATAAACATAAATGTTTCTATGTCAGTAAATACATATTAAATTAAATCTAATATTCAATCACCTCAGATTTCTTTACCAATCAACATAAATATGCAGGTAGATATATAAATTATATGTGTATGTTTATTTTATATATATATACACGAATGTAATCTATACATACCAACATGTGTGTGTATATATATGTGTACACACACTAATACTTTAAAATTACATATGTAATATATACAATATAAATTCCAAAGCCTAGGTTTTAATCTACATATTGAAATAAAACCAGAATTTGAGAAGTATTTCAGCTTTTTCGTATTACCTAGCCTGAAGAAATTCAGCAATTGGGATGTTTATCTAGAGACAATTAAAATTTTTGTCAGAAAAAAATCATAATAGTGATAGTTATGAATCATAATAAACCTTATAGATGCATCATTTATATGCGGTTTTGGTCTTGGGAATAATACTAATAAGTTCAACACTATAACAAACTAACGAAAGCATAAAAAGAGACATAGGAACATTTTTAATACCTTCAAAACCAAGACTTATAACACAGGATTCTGTGAATGTCTTGGCTTCAAAATGACATTAGGAAATTTAATTTTCATGATAGTTAAAGGGAAATAAATTCCATAACCTGTCTTGATCCACACCATAAAATCAGAACCATCTTGCTGCATACTGGTTCTGTGATGGCTGGATAAGCAACTAGAGTTGTTTAGTATATGAAATCTTGATTAATATTGTTGATTAATTGTTTGCAAGAGAAGAATGACAAGGACATGAGTCTTTAAGGGGAAGTTTTAATCATATAACTAGAAATAAATAGACAAGCACAGCAAGTTGCAGAACCCAAAACAAACAAAAAAAAAACTGGCAAATAAAACACACTTGCATGGCATATATTCATGAGTTCATTACAGTTAATTTAATTTTTACAACTGTTACCACATACTATGCTAATTGTCATTGCAATCAGAAGTTATATGTTAAATATTGCTTAGGAGAAATAGGTGACTTTTATTTCCAAAATTTCCTATTTGTCTGACTTTTTTTGGTAAAGTCAACCAGTTCATATAGAAGTTTATTTGCTCATAAGTTATTTTTGTCCCTATGAAATGCTTTATAAATATAAAATACATTGAGACTACATATTAAAAAATAAACATTAAAAACAAATTTACCTATAAATGTATTAGCTTTATATTTTACTACTGAGACCTAAATTCTGCAGAGAATTCTGGGCTAGCAATTACACCACAAGCAGATGTATATTACTTAAATAAAATATCTGTAAATATTTATTAGGATATAATTTTTTTCAATTTTTCTACTTCAAATGTAAAGGCTATATTACTTCATTATGTGATATAAATGATTGTTGAATACTCCACAGTGAATTTTGGTGGTCCTATCTTCATATCTGGGTTTCTGAATCAGTGAGAGTGTGTGTGTGTGTGTGTGTGTGTGTGTGTATCTGTGTGTGTATTAGTCCCTTCTTGCATTGCTATAAGGAATTACCCAAGACTGGGTAATGTATGGAGAAAAGAGGTTTACTTGACTCACAGTTCCACATGGCTGGGGAGGCCTCAGGAAACTTACAATCATGGTGGAAGGCACCTCTTCACAGGGCGGCAGGAGAGAGAATGAGTGCCAGCAGGGGAAATGCCAGATGCTTATAAAAACATGAGATCTTGTGAGAACTCACGCACTATCCCAATAACATCATGGGGGAAACCACCCTCATGATTTAACTACCTCTCACTGGGTCCCTCCCACAACACATAGGGATTATGAGAATTACACTTCAAGATGAGATTTGGGTAGGGACACAGCCAAACCACCATATCAGTGTGTGTATATACATAATCTCTCTTTGTCAATCTCTATATAGATTTAAAGAGTATGAGAATATTTCTATATTTGCAAAAAACATGATGTACACTAATAAAAAATTCAAAGATATACATTTCTAGAAATTTTATGCACAATATATGTAGATATTTGTCAACTGTTTCTTAGGAGAGCAATACAGGTAACATCTGCTGCAGAAAGAACTATTTCTGAAACAAAACCTTGAAAATGGTAAAATCTGAATTCAAACTTACTTACATTTCTTGGAATTTTCTTTCTTACTGATACTCTTCTGTGTTAAATCTAAGTTATGTGAAATTTGTAATCTTAAAGGTAATGCATTGTGGTGAAAAGAAAATGAACTTAGATAGTCATATAGGCTTGAGGTTGATCTTTCATTCCAATTCCAGGGCAGCTCTTACCAGTTAGTCCTGTTAACAATGGTTGGTTCAACTCATTAATCCCAGATGCAACATCTACTATACAAAATACATGAAATTATTTTTCAATTTGTAATGAGGATTAATTTATACAAGTTGGGCATCACTAATATGAAAATCTGAAATACAAAATAATCCTAAATCCAAAACTTTTTAAACATCAGTATGACACCATATATGGTTTGATTTTATCCCCACCCAAGTCTCATTTTGAATTGTAGCTCCCACCATTTCTACATGTTGTCGGAAGGACACAGTGGGAGGTAATTGAATTATGGAGGAGGGTCTTTCCTATGCTGTTCTCATGATAGCCAATAAGTCTCATGAGATCTGATGGTTTTATAAAGACGAGTTCCCCTTGACAAGCTCTCCTTGCCTGCTGCCATGTAAGATGTCCCTTGCTCTTCTGCCATGATTGTGATGCCTCTCAGCCATGTGGAATTGAGTCAATTAAACCTCTTTCCTTTACAAATTACCTAGCCTCAGGTATATCTTTATTAGCAGCATGAGAACAGACTAATATAGTAAATTAGTACCAGGTAGCGGGGTGCTTCAGTAAAGATACCCAAAAATATGGAAGTGATTTGGAACTGAGTAATAGACAGAGGTTGGAACTTTTTGAAAGGCTCAGAGGAAGATAAGAAAGTGTGGGAAAGTTTGGAACTTCCCAGATACTTGGAGGGCTCAGAATACAGAAAGATGTCGGAAACTTGGGAATTCCTGAAGACTTGTTGAATGGCTTTGACCAAAATGCTGTTAGTGATATGGACAATAAGGTCCAGGCTGAGGTGGTCTCAGATGGAGATGAGGAACTTGATGGAAACTGGAGCAAACGTGACTCTTGTTATGCTTTAGCAAAAATACCGGCAGGATTTTGTCCCTGCCCTAGAGATCTGTGGAATTTTGAACTTGAGAGAGATGATTTAGAGAATCTGACACAAGAAATTTCTAAATGGTAAAGCATTCAAGAGGAAACAGAACATAAGTTTGGAAAATTGGCAGCCTGACAAAGTGATAGAAAATAAAATCCCGTTTTCTGGGGAGAAATTCAAGCCAGGAGCAGAAATTTTCATAAGTAACAGGGAGCCCAATGTTAAGCAACAAGACGAAAGGAAAAATGTCTCCAAGGGCATGTTGGAGACATGGCAGCACCTCCTATCACAGGCCCAGAAGCCTGTGAGAAAAGAATGATTTCCAGGCCTGGCCCAGGACCCCCTGCTGTGTGCAGCCTCAGGACATGGTCTCCTGCATCCCAACTGCTCCAGCCATCCTAAAAGGGGCCAAGGTACAGCTCAGCTGTGGCCTCAGAGGATGCAAGCTGCAAGGCCTGGCAGGTTCCACGTGGTGTTGAGCCTGCAGGTGCACAAACATCAACAATTGAGGTTTCAAAACCTCCAGCTAGATTTCAGAGGATGTATGGAAAAATGTAGATGTCTAGGCAAAAGTTTGCTCCTGGGGTGGGGCCCTCATGGAGAACCTCTGCTAGGGCAGTGTAGAAGGGAAATGTACAGTTGGAGTCCCCACACAGAGTCTGCACTGGTGCACTGCCTAGTGGAGCTGTGAGAAGAGCTGTACCTTACTCCCTTTTAGCATGGCTAGAGCAGCTGGGATGTAGGACACCATGTCCTGAGACTACACACAGCAGGAGGACCCTGGGCCTGGCCCAAGAAACCATTTTTTCCTTATAGGCCTCTGGGCCTGTGATGGGAGGTGCTGTCAGATCCCAGAATGGTAGATCCACCAACAGCTTGCACTTTGCACTGTGCACTAGGAAAAGCTGCAGACACTCAATGCCAGTCTGTGAAAGCAGCTGGGAGAGGGGCTGTATCCTGTAAAGCCACAGCAGCGGAGCTGTCCAAGGCTATGGGAGCCCACCTCTTCCGTTAGCATGACCTGGATGTGAGACATGAAGTCAGATATCATTTTGAAGCTTTAAAATTTGACTGCCCTGCTGGATTTTGGACTGGCTTTGCCCCTTTGTTTCCAATTTCTCCCATTTGGAATGGGTGTATGTACCCAATGCCTGTATCCCCATTGTATCTAGGAAGTAACTTACTTGCTTTTAATTTTACAGGCTCATAGGAGAAAGGGGCTTGCCTTTTCTTAGATGAGACTTTGGACTGTAGACTTTTGAGTTAATGCTGAAATGAGTTAAGACTTTGGGGGACTGTTGGGAAGGCATGACTGGTTTTGATATGTGAGGACATGAGATTTGGGAGGGACCAGGGGCAGAATTATATGGTTTGGTTGTGTCCCCATCCAAATTTCATCTTGAATTGTAGCTCCTACAATTCCCATGTGTTGTGGGAGGGACCCGGGGGGAAGTAATTGAATCATGGGGGCAGGTCTTTCCTGTGCTGTTCTAGTGATAGTGAATAAGTCTCATGAGATGTGCTGGTTTTATAAAGGAGAGTTCCCCTGCACTAGCTCTCTCTTGCCTGCCACCATGTAAGACATCCCTTGCTCTCCCACCATGATTGTGAGGCCTCTCCAGCTGCGTGGAACTGTGAGTCAATTAAACCTCTTTTCTTTATAAATTACCCAGTCTTAGTTATGTCTTTATTCACAATGTGAGTACAGACTGATACACCACCACAAGTAGAAAATTTCACAGCTGATATCATATGATGGGTCACACTCAAACACAGTAAAAACTGTTTTATTCACAAAATTATTTAAATTTTTCTATAAAATTACATTCAGGTTGTGTGTATAAGGTATATATGAAACACAAATGAATATTGTGCTTAGGTTTGTGTTTCATTCCCAAAATATATCATGTACAGGCAAATATTCCGAAATTCAAAGAAAAAATTAAAATCTCAAACACTTTCAGTCTCAAGCATTTCGGATAAGGAATATTCAATCTGTATGATGTATTTGAATTGACTTGATAGTAACTTCCTCACTCAGACTTAAAATTATTTTCTCTCTTTCTTTCATGATGCTTCAGTTGAAAGTTAGAAAGGTGTTATTGGTGGAAATCACATGCATTATTATATACTTTTTTTTTTGAGAGGTGTCTTGCTCTGTCACCCAGGCTGGAGTGCAGTGGAGCGATCTCAGCTCACTACAACCTCTGCCTCCTGGGTTCAAGCTATTCTCATACCTCAGCCTCCTGAGTAGCTGGGATTACAGGCATGTGCTACCATGCCCAGATAATTTTTGTATTTTTAGTCGAGACCAGTTTCACCATGTTGGTCAGGCTGGTCTTGAACTCGTGAACTCGTGATCCATCCACCTTGGCCTCCCAAAGTGCTGGGATTACAGGCATGAGCCACCACGCCTGGCTGCATTATCATATTTAAGAGTAAGAAAGAAACATATTTAAACTTGTACATGAGGCTCTATTTTATCATTATTATTTTTTGTTCTGAAGGTACATCAGAAGGCTCTATTTTGTTAAATATTTTTCCCATGAAGTGTATTAATACATAAGCAGCTGGCTGTTCACCTAGTTATTCACCTGTTTCTTTTGTTTTGAAGTAGATTCATGATGAGTTTCACTTCCTCCAGTAGGCCGTTAGGTAACACTTACAAAATATTTTCTTCTGCCCTTTGATATGCTCATCAGACAATCTCTAGTTTCCTTTAAAAATTATAGGTTTTCTTGAAGAGTTTTTTTGTAGGTTTTGGTTTTACATTTAAGTCTTTAATTCATCATGAGATGATTTTTGTATATGTTTATTGCAACACTAATCATAATAGCAAAGACATAAAATCAACCTAAATACCCATCAACTGTGGACTGGGTGATAAAAATATTGTACGTAATCACCATGGAATACTATACAACCATAAAAAATGATATTATGTACTTTGCAGCAATATGAATGAACCTGGAGAACATTATCCTAAGTAAGCAAACATAGGAACAGAAAAACCAAATACCGCATGTTGTCGCTTATAACTGGGAGGCAAACACTGAGTACACATGGACATAAAAAAGAGAACAACAGACACTTGGGCCTACTTGAGGGTGGAGGGTGGAAGGAGGATGAGGATTGAAAAACTACCTATTGGGTACGATGCTTATTACCTGGGTGATGAAATAATACGTACACCAAATCCCCGTGACATGCAATTTGTTTATAGAACCAACCTGCACATGTACCTCAGAAACTAAAGTAAAAGTTAATACATAAATAAAGTGAATTTTTACTACCAGCAACTGGGCAAGAGGACTTGTCTCATAACCTTATGATTCTAAAAAGAAGACTTCCTTAAGTTGTAATTTATAGAGAAATATGGATAAGAATATTTTACACTTAATTATGTAATTCTGTATACATATATCTCTATATTAAAAGTGCAAAGTATGAAGATAAAACTATGATCCTTGTAGATTTAAAAACAATACTTTAGAGCAATAATTTAATAAACCAAAAGGCCTACCTTAAACAAATTGAAAACACAAATACTAAATTCTAACCTGTGCCCTTTCCTATCATTAAATATGCAGATTTTATCTTTTCACATATTTTCACAAATGTAAAGCTTTCAGTATAAGAGTATAATCATCATTAGATTTATACCTAAAAAGTTTAAAGAACTTTAACTTTAAATATGTATATTCTTATATGTGTACATTGTCCTAAATATACATATTTCTATATTATATGTATTCCTAAATATATATATGATGTATATATGGTACTTGTAAATACTTATAGAACATGAAAGTGTCCTTTAAAATTTGTTTCTGAAAAATTAGCTAAAGTCAACTTTCAATTACTTATTTGTTTTGTAAGACTGTTCTACAGATAATAAAAAAAGTTACACTTTTTTTTATCATTCATCTGATTTCCTGAGTGCAGACTAAAATTCATTCATCTTTGTCTCCCAAACACTTAATAGGGTGATTTGCTCATAGTCATTAGTCAAAAATCATATTTACATTCAGTTGATTTTCAAGAATATATTCTTGAATACATTTGATTAGCATACATATTCTAATCAAATGGATAATCTTTGTCTTAAATTTATAAAAAGAATGTCAACACTGCTATTATTGAATTGGCTGTAAGTGAAAGGAATCACTACCTGATCAAGATATTTATGAAATTTTTGTTTCTCAGTGTCCTTTTATCTCATGATTTTTTTCTTTTTTACTTCTTGCTGACATTGGTAAAAGCTAATGACTTTTATTAAATTTTAGTTAAGATAGTATTTGTTTTTCTTTATATGTACTGAGACTGCAGTGAGTATAAACTCTTACAAATATTTTGTTTAGTTCAGGTCATATTAATAACATTAATTTTAACAGAGAAAAGCTAAGGTAGTATGAACACAATGGATTTGGTCAAAGGGTGACTGTATCATATGACCACTTCCTTTTGTCTGATTTATATTTAATATTTCCACATATATTGATTTCAGGCAATGTTCTTTTGCCTTGGCAAAGAAGTCTGTGTTCATCCAAATATGAGTTTTATCAATTTTTAAAAAATTTTTAGGAACTGTTGACTGTCTTTATTAATTAGACTTACTATTTTATTATTTTCTGGTTTGTGCTAAGAAAATATTGATTTAAGCTTAGAGGAAAGCTATATGATTATTGTTAAAGAGAGCTGCTTTTCAATTTTCAAGATATAGTTTGATTATATGTCACATAAGAAAATAATAGGTTCTGTTTTCATCTAACTGACGGGTTAAATGTTTTTCTAACCCTCTTGTAAAGATATCCTAGCAGGCTACTTTTATATAAAATATAATTTTAAATATTATGAATGGATTTATGTTCACAGAGCCCATTAAAGGTCTCAAATTATATTTTTTCTATATTTTAATAAATATATTTCAGATATAAAGAACATCAATTTATCATTAATATTATTTTAGTCTATTTATATCAATATTGTATTAGCAATGAAAAGTAGTGATTTAAATGTTTTGGTATAAACTAAGAACAGCACAAAGATTGGTGCTGGGTAATTTTGAAGGAAGAGAGAAGTATACAAAAAAATATAAGATTACATATGTAAAAAATAACAATAAGAGATGAAACATAATACCATCATAGTGTATTTAAATAGAAACCTAGAATAGGCAATATAATTGATCTACTATAACATCTTCACATTTCAAATAAGCAAATTCAGGTCTTGTGAAGACAAATGACTTACCCATTACATAAATATTGGTGATCTATCTGTAAGCCTAGTGCTCTTTTCACTATACCATGCTGCAGGTAATGAGAGAATAAAATTTTTATGTAAATTTTTTGCCTAAAAACTAACTCCTCAGCTCATATATTTGATGTATAAGTACAGTTTACCCTTGAAAAATGCAAAGTTTGAGGTGCAAATCCTCTGCACAGCTGACTATCTGCATGTAACTTTTGAGTCCCTAAAGACTTAACTACTAATAGCCTATCATTGACCTGAAGCCTTACCAGTAGCATAAATAGCAAATTAATACATATTTTGTGTGTTATATATATACTATATTCTTGCAAAAAAACATACTGAGAAGCTGTAATTATTCTCTGTATTCACTGAATATATACTTCTAGAAATATACAAATCATTTTATAACAATATACAAATCATTTTATAACAATATACTATATTATATATTTTATATATTATATATACAATATTACAACATATTTGTCGTTAATTGCAATATGTATGTTTAAAAAACTATTTCTGTCTTTCTCTATTTCTCTTTCTATCTTGAAAGCTTAATGCTTCTTGGAATTGATGTATTTAATTTAGTCTTCTTTATCAAAATTATCAGTGTACCATTTAAAAACTATATTTTTGTGCAAATCTTGAAATATAATGCCTCTTTCCCTCTTATCCCAGCACATAAATACTCCTTTTGCATTTTTGTATTGGTATCTAATTTTACTAAAAATAACACAAATATTAAGTTACATTTTAAATATATTATCAAAAACAAACAATAATGGAAATAATGTCATTACTAATTGTTGAAGGACTCATCTAGAATCAAGACATATTTTACAGCTTTAACCAAATATTTTGTTAAGAATTGTTGCTCAAAAGTATTTACTTCAGATTCAGAACTGAGTTCAGAATTTTATGTTTATTTACCTTAAATAAGCTGACTTGTCAATCTGCTTATTAAAAGATAGAAAAATATGACTTCTTATAGCATAAAGTAATGGGACAGATTGCAATAAATATTTCAAAGATGAGTAATATAGATATACATATAACAATATATAATGTATATTTAGCAGATATTTGTATTATTTAAATGATTGCTGTTCATTCATAGAAAATTTATTTTCAATTTATCCTTAGGCAAATATGTAATTATTTACAATGTCTTAAATTGATTAAAGATATCTTTTATTCAGTAAGGTTCCTATATATTTTTCCCATTGTGGAAATTATTTTTCCACTGTTCTTGAGAATTTCATTTCATAGTTAATAAAAATTTTCAATTCGTAAACCAGCAGTTTGATAAATTCATAATAAATATATTATTCCATGGAAAACACATACCTACTTTTAAGAGAATTAAAATAAGTATGTTGAGAGATGTGTTCACTCCCATTGTAAGGAAAATGGCAGTGCTTCAGTCAGAAGTGGGCTAAGGCAGTGGTACAGTATGACACAGCAGATTTGGAGCACAGGCACACAATCCCACGCACTATGTAATCACATTTATGTAGCCATTTCATATAACCTGTTTGTGTGAGCTCATACCTGGCTTTGAGCCACTGTTGTCTGTGAAAAATATAACTGCACTGCTGACTCTGTAGGAGGGGAGAGAATAAAGCCATGTCCAAACTGCCTACAGTCTCTTGAGTATGCTTTTTTTTTTTTTTTTTTTTTTTTTTTGAGACCGAGTCTCGCTCTGTCGCCCAGGCTGGAGTGCAGTGGCGTGATCTCCGCTCACTGCAAGCTTGCCTCCTGGGGTCATGCCATTCTCCTGCCTTAGCCTCTCGAGTAGCTGGGACTACAGGCGCCAGCCCCCATGCCCGGCTAATTTTTTGTATTTTTAGTAGAGACGGGGTTTCACTGTGTTAGCCAGGATGGTCTTGATCTCCTGACCTCGTGATCTGCCCGCCTCAGCCTCCCAAAGTGCTGGGATTACAGATATAAGCCATCACGCCTGGCCTCTTTTGAGTATTCTTTCAGCTACCTGCCACCTGTCCACCAGCTTCTCTCGGACCCCAGCTTGGGTTGGAACCTGACAATTGGCATAGTCGGCAGGATCCCAAGGTGTGTGAGCCCTTGGCCCCCAGTGATCCTGGGTAGGCCATGTGGCCCCAGCATGGATTATGGTATCTAGTGGCTGCCATGTTGCTAGGATGTGTCCTGATGTAATTATGGGTGGCAGTGGACGGGTCCCCCATGAACATGGAGAAGGCACTGAAGCACCTGGATGCACAGCAAATAAAGAAGGAGCACACCTTTGCCAGCAGAGTTGGATGGACGTTTTTGATTGTGCTACAGGAAGCGCAGTGTACACTCAGTCCCTGTGGGATGCAGGGCAGGTAAAACACCTCCAGGTGCAAGTAGAATGCCTGGAGGCCCCGAAACAAAGCTTGGAATGAGAATTAGGGGCAACAGTTAGTGTGGGTCTGAGCCCACCATCCCAGTCAGAGACTCCTGCTTGGTCTGATACCCAGGAGGAAGAACCTCTGTTGCAGGCTTGCCCAGTGGTCCATTAGAAAATAGAGCATGAACACCCATTGGGTCCCCAGGGATGGGTTCAGGGATCCCCTACCATGATAGAACACATGTAATACACTGCCCATATCCCAACTGAGTTGTGGGAATTAGGTAAACAGTGTTGGCAGTGCTTGCGGGAACCCCTACCCACCTGGATGCTTCACCTTTGGGATGAGGGAGCTGACAATATTGTCTGCTCTGCCTCTGAAATAGAAAAGTTGGCCTCCATTATGACCCATTCCTCCCTCTATCAGTGATTGCAGGTGAGCGGGTGGTTAGCACACGGGCAAGTTGACCACACCCTGATTAAATGGCTGATAGCAGCCATATGAACAGTATGGAACGATCCTGGAGAAATATCTGAAACTGTAAGTAAGTGGCAGTTGTACATAAATCTGGTGCGAGTAATTTGGGTGACGGGTATGTGGCAGGCTATGTTCAATCTGAATACCCAAGGGCCAGATGATGAATGCTTTACCTCCTACATGAGGGACCTTGTGTTGGGCTCTGTGATCCCAAGTTCCTTCAGCTCCCTGGCTGCTGTCTTCATTCTGTGTGTGAGGTGCCACATACATGAGGTGACTACTGACATGGTAGCCCTCATGAAAGCAGAGGGCCGTAGATGGGACTGGAGAGTCTGCACCATAAAAAAGAGGAAGACAAAAGGAGACCCGAGCAGGTGACACGCACATAGATGTAGATTGATTTGATTTTGGCTGGGATTGACCAGGAAAAAATTAATAGGCAACCCAATGAAGTGCTGTTAACTTTATGGAGGCAATCGTCCCAAGAGCAGCAATTCCAGAAAATGTCCCAAAGTGGGCAGGATGATGCTGCTCAACCCAGTCCCACCTGGACACTCCAGCTCAAGGACTACTTGCAGATGGGTGGAGGTATAGAGTCTTTTGTGTTTAATTAGGAAACTGGCCAAGGTGCCCAGCTTGGGAGAGACACCAGACAACCAGAGGCCACATGTGGAATTGACAACCCACTGGTCCTACACCAATGTACAGAAAGTGCTGGTGCTGGTTGACACTGGCACAGATTGTAGCATCGTCTATGGAAACCTAGATAAGTTTCAGGAAAGACTGAATATATAGACGGCTATCGAGGACAGTCAGTCAAAGTAAAACCACCTTGGCATTGGCTGCTTGGCTCCCTTCTTATACACTGTGTATGTCTTGCCCATACCTAAATACATTCCAGGGGTAGATATTTTACGTGGCTTGGCTTTACAAACCACGACCAGAGAATTTAGACTCTGAGTACATGTGGTTAAGGGGTACTCCATGAACACATGCATTACTGTCCCCAAATCCTGCCACAACCCTGACGGGTTACTTCCACCTGCCAATACTGCTTGCCAGGTGGGCATATGGAGATAACTGAGACTACTAAGAAGTTAGAGGAGGTGCAGATAGTGTGTGACACCCACAGCCCCTACAATTCTCTTGTATGGTCAGTCAGAAAGCCTGACGGAACTTGGCGGATGACGGTGGATTATCGAGAACTAAATAAAGTATCACCCCTTTACATGCAGCAGTGCCATCTATCAGTGAATTTGCTGGACCGCTGAATGATGAAATTGGGACAGTACCACTATGTGGTGGCCTCGGCCAATGCATTCTTCTCAATTGACATGCTCCAGAGAGCCAGGAACAGTTTGCCTTCATATGGGAAGGGCAACAGTGGACTTTCACAGTGTTGCTGCAGGACTATGTGCATAGCCCCACCATATGTCATGGTCTTGCAGCCACCTGGAAATATCCAAAGGGGGTCCACCTATTTCATTATATTGATGAGAATCTCAGATTCTCTTGCAGATTTAGAAGTGGTGGCACCTCTCTTGCGACAGCATTTGGCAGCATGTGGTTGGGCTGTCAGTGAATCCAAGTTCCAAGTGCCTGGGTTGTCTGCCAAGTTCTTGGGAGTTATCTGGTCAAGTAAGACAAAGGCCATACCAGAGGCCATCATTGATAAAATTCAGGCATATCTCCAGCCCACAACGATGAGGCAGCTACAGACTTTTATGGGCCTCTTAGGATATTGGCAGGCATTTGATTCACGTCCCATTTGGCTTAGGTGATATAACCATTTTATCAGTTGACAAAAAAAGGAACTACCTGGGATTAGAACGATGAGGCTGAGATGGCTTTTCTAGCAGCCAAGAAAGCCATACAGCAAGCACAAGCCCTACGAGTAATTGACCTGGGGTGCCCATTTGAACTTGATGTGCATGTGACCACAGATGGTTTTGGCTGGGCCTATGGCGGTGCATGAAGCACTTTAGAACAAAGTTGAGCTTTTGGTCCCAACTTTGGAAGGGAGCTGTGATCTGGTATTCATTAATAGAAAAGCAATTAGCAGCTACATATGCCACACTCCAGGCTTGTGAGAGCCTGATGGGATGGGCTATATTTGTCATGTGGACAACTTACCCAATAATGGGGTGGATACCTTCATAGATAACAACTCCACAGACTGGGACGGCAAAGACATCCACCTTAGCAAAATGGGGCACCTACTTATAAGAGCATTGTACCCTGAGTACAAGCCCCTTAGCAGCAGAATTACAAGAAGTCTTAGGACCTGTAGTCCTAATGCAAGATAAGGCATGGGTCTGCCTGAGGCCCCCTTAAACCCTGAGTCATTATCATTTAAAGAAGGGGGCCCCCCAGTTCCCAATGGGTCATGATATACAGATGGGTCCAGCTGGGGTGCTACTGCTGCCTGGACCACGATATGGTCAAAATAGTCAATGAGCTGAACTCAGGGCAGTGTGGATAGTGATCACCAAGGAGGAAACACCTATGGTGATCTGCACCTATAGCTGGGCAGTTTATGAAGGTCTACCTTGTGGTTAACTACCTGGAAGTTACAGAACTGATTAGTTGGCCACCAACCCATTTGGAGCTAAGCCATGTGGCAAGACCTATGGGAAATGGGACACCAAAAGAATGTAACTATTTATCATATGTCAGGCCTTATGCCTTTGGCTGCCCCTGGAAATAACGAGACAAATGCCTTGGCCAAGGTTCAGTGGTTGAAGTCAGCAGCTACACAAGATATAGCCCTATGGCTGCATCTAAAATTGGGCTATGCAGGGGGTAAACTAATGCATTAGGTCAATAAGCATTGGGGTCTGTCTGTGCCAACGCCAGATATCTGGGGGTCCTGCCAGAGGTGCCCAGCATGCGCACAGGAGTACCCCTGTCAGAGACTGCTGCCCAAGGTGGCAGCTGTGCTCTTTTGGGAATGCAATGTTGTATCTTCATCCCTGACAATCAACTAAACATAGTAACAGCTTTGCAAGGAGTTTCCCAGGAAATCAAGGCAGTTGAAAACCTTACTGACAACCCCCTACAGACATGATGGGCGTCTCTGGGCTCTGGCCTGTGCTGGACCCTAATAATTATGGGCAGCATAGTGGCAATATTAATAGTGAGTTGTTGCTCCCAGTATTGCTGCTGTGGCCTTTGGCTCCAGAGTTCTGCCCTGTGGGCATGTCTCCCCACTAAGAGAGCTCCCTTGACCTAGGGTGTGGAGTGTAAGGAAAATGGCTGTGCTTTAGTCAGAAGTAGGCTGAGGCAGCCATAGGTACAGTATGAGACAGTGGGTTTGGAGCACAGGTGCACAATCCCACATACTATGTAATCACATTTATGTAGCCATTTGACGTAACTTGTTTGTGTAAGTTCATACCTGGCTTTGAGCCACCGTTGTCTGCGAAAACTATAACTGTACTGCTGACTTTGTAGGGGAAGAAAGAATAAATCCATGTCCCAACTGCCTACAGTCCCTTGACTGTTCTTTCAGCTACCCGACACCCATCCAGCAGCTTCCTTCGGACCCCAGCTTGGGTTGCAACCTGGCACCCATGTTCACTGCAGCATTATTTATAATAGGCAAGATTTGGAAACAATCTAAGTGCACATCAATGGATGAATAGAAAAAGAAAATGTGTTACATACACACAATAAAATACTATCAGTCTTAAAAAAGAAAATTTTGTAATTTGTGACAACATGGATGAATTTGGAAGACCTTTTGCCAGTGAAATAAACTAGACACAGGAAGACAAATACCACATGATCTTAATTATGTGGAATCTAAAATAAGCCAAAATCATATAAACAGAGAGTAAACTGGTGATTATCAGGGAATGGAGTTGGGGAGCTATTGGTCAAAGATTACAAAATTTCAGTTAGATAAAAGGAATAAGTTCAAGAAATCTATTACCAATCATAGTGAGTGTACTTAATAGCAACATATTGTATTTTTAAATTAAAAAAAATTTTGTGGGTACATAGTAGGTATACATGTTTATTGGTTACATGAGGTATTTTGATACAGATGTGTAATGTGTAATAATCACATCATGGTAAATGGATGGGTAAATGGAGTATCCATCACATCAAGCGTTTATCCTTTATGTTACAAACAATCCAATTATATTCTTTTAGTTAAGTTAAAATATAGATTTAAATTATTGTAATTTGAAAATTGCTAAAAGTAGATTGTAAATGTTCTCACCACAAAAAATGATAAGTATATGAGGAAAGATATGTTAATAAGCTTGATTTAGCCATCCTGCAATGTGTATATATATCAAAAGTGATGTTTTATACCATAAATATATACAATTTTTGCTGTCAATTAAAAAAGGCAAACTATAAAATTAAACATACAATTAAAATGCTTTGGATTATATTATTCTATATGTCAGGCCATATGCCTTTGGCTGCCCCCGGAAATATGCTAAATAGGGATTTTATATTGCATTATTTTTATAGATATGACAATAATAACATATTGTAGCTTTTTTCTTAGCACTTATACTATCTAAAATGGCATTAGTTTTTAAAGTGGTCAATAATATATTAGAAAGTTAAGAATTTTATAATTTTACAACTTATGCTGTCATCACTGCCTTTCTTCAGATACCTTTATAAAATAATTTCCTCAGGATAAATTCCTAGAAGTAAATTATTGGAACAGATATTATGAACATTCAAATCCATTGTTTTTCAAGTTGTGACCTGTAATCAGTTTACTAATTTCTACTTCCACTAAAAAAATGAAAGTTCCTGTTATCCTGCAGCATTTCCAATATTCAGAATCCAACTCCTGATGTCTAATATGATATATATTTCCTAATCCACTAGCAAGTTGTAATTTCCAGGAATGTTCATTGATGATTTATTCTTTAATTTCTTCCTTATTTGATAGTTGTTCTCTGTATACTCAAATAAGTGTCTCATGGAATATAAAAATCTTGAGTTTTATATAGTTTCACCCAGGACTCAGAGACATTGCTTTGTTGTTTGGAATAGGGTATTAAATTAATCTTTTACCGTATTTTTGCCATTTATATTATCTTGGCTAAAATGTGTCTAGTAGCTTTGTTTTTGTTTTTGTTTCATTTTCCAAGAAGGACTTCTGCATGTATAAGGATGCCTGTCTGTTACACATTGAAATAAAAAACAGATTACCTGGGTCTAATATCCCAAGTCACATTTTATTTCTAAATTTCAGAGACTATTTTATGTCTGGATACAGCAATGCTATAAAGAAGTCTGAGGACAGTTTAACTTTTTCCTTTTGTAGGTGACTTGATTTTTCTGTCTGAATGATTAAAGAACTTGTATCTTTTTATCTTTAAAATCCAATTACTTATCCAAGATAAATTTTGCAGGTAAGAATACTGGAATTAATTTTTCTTTAAAAAGAATGTGTACTTTAGTTTTCTAGATTCAAATCTTAATTCTGAGGATTTTTTCTTTAATTGCATGTTACCTTTTTGCATACAGTTGATCCCTATGAAAAATCATATTTATCTTTTGTTGGGAAATAAAACTTTCCTGTATTTTCCAGTGCTCTTATAAAAGCTCCTAATTCTCTTCACATACCATAAGGATTAAATTTATAGCCATTCCTCCATTTAATTGTTCTGATCCCTGAGGGCCAAATGGTTATAGCCCTAATAAGATCCTTAGGTTAAGTCCGAGGGTGAGAGGGAGATTAAAATATTATCTCCCTAGAAGGAAAAAGGGATAAAACTCCAGTAATTGACGAGTGTTTAGGTCATTAAAGGTCAAGAAAAGCCTTCTGGCTCTTGGAGAGGTTTTATTACCATATCAAATGGTTTATAGGAGGAAAAGTATCAGCTTCCTCCTTCTTCCTTTTAGTGAGAAAAAAAATTAAATAATTTTTCTTGTCCCTTATCTTTGGATTGTCAGGTTACTTTTAATGAGATATTTGACCTTTCTTTGATCATGTTATTTTACAGATAAGGCCTGTACTGAGAGTAGGCAAATATACTTATTATCTACTGTGAAGTAGTTGATTACTTATCTATCTCTAATCTAGAACAACTTGTGTCCACATGTATGATAAATTAGTACAGATGAATATTAAAATCCTGATATTTGTACTCCATGTACTGAATTGGAAGTACTTTTAATAACTATACCTTGCCTGTGGACTGATAAATGGATAAGGAGTGTAAAATGTCCAGTTCTTTTCCTGTCTGTGTAACTAGATAGGTGGTGTATCAGTCTGTTCCCGCATTGCTAAAAGGAACTACCTCAGACTGAGTAATTTATAGAGAAAAGAGGTTATTGGCTCATGGTTCCACAGCCTGTACAGAAAGCATGGCTGAGGAGGCCCCAGGAAACTGACAGTCATGGCAGAAGGTGAAGGGGAAGCAAGCATGTCTTACATGGCTGGAGTAGGAGGAAGGGAGTGAAGGAGTAGGTTTTCCAGACTTTTAACAACCAGATCTGGTGAGAACTCACTCATTATCACAAGAATAGCAAGAGGAAGTTAGCCCCCATGATCCAATTACCTCCCACCAGACCCCTCCTCCAAAACTGGGGATTAAAATTTGACCTGAGATTTGGGTGGGGACACAAATCTAAACCATATGAGGTGAGTAGGTCTTAGACCAGCATCCTGAACTGATTTCTAGTAGGGGCCTGCCAAGCAGTTACTGAGATGGCTGCCTGAAGTGTAATGCCTGCTACACATCTACTGAAGCCCAGAGAAAGCACCAGAGAGTAGCAGGATTTAACACATAGACCCCACCTAGCAAGTTTGGACAAGGACATTAGGATCTCACTCACTAATCAGAGAAATCACTCTTTTATTTGTTGGGAAGCCAGGAAACAGTAGTCATGTTACAGGATTCCTTCAGGGCTCCTTCACAAGCCTGAAATCTCTGTGGCCACCACGACTTCTGCCTGGGGCCTCACTTGGGGCTTGCTCCATCTGTTCATCCCGGCAGGCTGCATTCTGCTTCTGCCTCGGCCCAGGTCCCATGCCCACCACAGGATCCACACTCAGCCCACAGCTGGACCAGGCATGTAATGAGTGGCTTCCGCATTGGGCACCAGTGCCTAGATTAGGAGAATGCAGTAGTGCCCGAAAATTCGGAGAGGCCAGCCGTTGCAAAGCCCCAAGGGTTGTCACAGCTCTTGCTCAGGGAGTCTGGAAGTCTGAGCACATAAGGAATGTTGCAGCTCTTTATTCCCGTAGCTCGGTGAGCAGGTGCATGTCACAATTCTTTTATTCCCATCTTCCACAGCTCCAAGAGTCAGCCAGGAGTGTCACAGCTCTTTTATTCCTGCCACCTGTAGCTCAGCCAGTCAGCCAAGAGCATCACAGCTCTTTTTGCACCCACCATTCGTCAGGTCCGGGTTCTTGTACCAAGACCAAGAGGAATGAGTTACACTAGAGAGTGAGCAAGGCAGAGAACAATTTTATTGAGTAACAGAAAAGCTCTCGACAATGAGATTGGACCTAAGGTGGGTAGCCCTCTGTATGAGAGGGGGTCCGAAAGTGGGTAGACATCTGTGAGGCTGTATTCAGGATTTTTATGGACTTAGAATGGGGGACTGCATCCTGAATGGGTCATGGCTGGGTTTGGAAAAGGCACCATTTGATTAGGTAAAAGGCGTTGAGAAAGTTCTCACTCCAGCTGTGGGCTCTACCTGGAACTGGCAGCTGAGTTTTCAGGCTTAAAAGATCGGGTTTCACTGGGGACCCATTTCTGTCTGCCTAGGAGTTTGTTTGTCCCCTGTTGCTATCAGAGAAAAAGACAGAATTTTTCTATGGAAAATACTCTTTTTATAATGAAACAAGAATGCAAAGAAGATAGTGAAAACAATATGTCTTACATCTTATTATATATTGTGTTCATTCTAATTGCTTTACTCTTTGGCTATGCGCCATTACTTTTCAAATTTTATGGCAAGGTGCTGTATCTCTTTTCCTGATGAATTGCTCTGGTGAAAAAAATATTCTGGTGTATGCACAGTGACCATCTCAAGTCTTTATTTCATTCCAGAATTTTGATTATTTTGCTCTATCATTTCTGATGCATATTGTTTCTAATGTACTTCTCACATCTTTTATTGTATTGTTTGATACTTATTTGTTTTCTTAGATCAGCATATGTCTTTTCATCTCATTGTGTTGATTTAACATTTTACCTTTTTGTTCATTTTTGTTTGTATTGGGTTTAGGTTTACCTTAGATGTTTTGCTAGTGAGAGGTACTCAGAGAATATTTTTTCCTTTTGTGTTTTTTTTTAAGCCAAAATCTTCATCTTTTTTTTTTGTGATTCTTCCACCCTTCACTTGCTACCTCCTGTATTTACCTACAATAACACAATTATTGCATAGATATTATACCATTTCTCTCCATCTTTCTCATGCTTGAAAGTTTCAATTCCCACTTTTTGTCTGTTACATATTTTGGGTGAAGTGTTCTTGCCTCCCTTGTTATCTTTTTCATTCCTTCAGTGGATATTTATCAAGCACTAGCTATGTCCCAGTGTTCTAGGTACAAATTATTTAAGGACACAATGGATGATCAGAGAAAGTCTCTTTTATTATGTGTCATTTGAGCTGGGACTGGGATGATAAAAATGAGTCAGCCATATGATGATCTTGGGAAGAAAAATAAGGGCTCAGGTGCTGGTCTTGGAGGGCTGGTTGGAATGTTTCAGGGGGAAAAATGAAAGAAGAAAACAGAGGGACACAGTGAATCAAAAGAGAATTATTTAGATGTAGATCATATAAGTTCTTATGAACCAGTATATTTGTCTACTAGGGCTGCCATAATCAAACAACACAGACCCAGTGGCTTAAACAATACAACTTTGTTTCTTATAGTTCTGGAGGTTGGAAGTCTAAGATGAAAGTGTTGGCAGATTTGTTTTCTCTTGAGGATTCTCTCCTTGGTTTGAAAACTGAATTAGAGGCCTAGACCTCTGATGGTTTAGTCTACTTCCTCAGACTCTCTCTCCCTAACAGCTGATATCACTCCCCTACTCAGCAAAAGAAGAAAAATGAAAGTAAGAAAGATTTCTGCAGAGTGATGGGTGAAGAATAAATGACACTGAACACTCCATGTACTTCTCAGCCGCCACCTTCAGCAGTCCACTTTCTTAGAAAGTCTCCTGGTTTCTGTGCTTCTTATTTATTGCTCACAATAATTATCTAGACAGATACATGATAATTTTATTTCTTCAATCCACATTTCTTTCATCCTGAATAGACAAAATAGATGAAACTGTCTCCTGGAATGTTTTTCTGCTTTAACTGAAACCCCACTTTAATGATTTCCTTCCTAACTTTTTCTAGATATTACTTCAGTGTGCCATGTCCTGCATTTGTGAGTGCTGCTGGACATTCTCAGAATTTTCTGAACACATTTTCTGCCCTCCTACGTATTTTCTTGGAAAGGACTGAATCAGTACACAAACATGTCAGAATTTTTACATGGCTTCCTTTGCACCATTACTTTTCAAATTTTATGGCAATATGCTGTATCTCTTTTCCTGATAAATTGCTTCTGGTGAAAAACTATCCTGGTATATGGAGTCTCCCAGTGGTATCTTGTGGGGACTGGTCTCAGGACCTCTCTCAGGTACCAAAATCCATGGAAGCTGAAGTCTCTGATATAAAAAGATGTTGTATTGCTATATAACCTATGGACATCTTTCTGTATACTTTAAATCCCCTTTAGATTAATTATAATACCTAATACAGTATAAATACTATGTAAATAATTGTTATAGTGCAATGTTTAGGGAATAATGACATGAAAAAGTCTGTACATGTTCATTATAGACACAATTTTTAAAATATCTCAATATCAATCTGCAGTTGGTTGAATCCATGGATGTGAAACCCATGGATATGAAGGGCTGTCTGTTATTATTATTATTACTATTATTTTGTTTGATATTGGTAGAGGCAAAAATTAGTCATCCGGTTTCAGTCTGCCCTAAAGTCTCTCTTTACATCTTTTATACTGTATATTCCTGCAATTGGTTCACATTTCGTTTTGCACTTAAGGATTTAGCTACATGGCAGCCACTTACTCTCCTTAATTTTAGAGTGACTTCACTTGTTATTTTTTAATTAAAAGTGTATATACTGCTGGATTTGTGTTTTTTAATCATGAAAATGACATAGAGCAATTAGTTGCTCGAAATTATAGGCAAACTAAACCACAAACTTCTCAGCATGCATTGATTCTCCACTGACTTCTTTTGCATTCTAAGTGAAGAAGGGAACTCGTAAAAGACTCTGCTGTGAACAGAGCAGACTGAGATAAGACAAGCTCAGACACACCAAAGCTAATTACCTATAGTAACTGATTTGAAGCAGGACCGGTAAGAGATTGGGGAATAGGCATATTAAAGCCACTATAATAGAAGACATGCAATAAGACAAAAGAAATAAGGGATGGAAATGTAATGCATGCAAAGAAATTCATACAGAAGATTAAGAAAATTACATAGCTATCGTTTTTTATTCTGATTAAAGTGAATGACCTTCACTGGCAATGATTTTGAATGCAGTATTTATGAAAGAAGAGACTTGTTCGGTAGCTGATGGCATACAGGTTGATGGCATAAAGGACACATCCTTTTTGTCCTCCCAGCCCCACCTTTTCTTCTTATCCCTCCCTTCATTGCAAAGATAATTAGATACACGGCAGAAAATTATGTGGATGTGTCAACTCAAAGAGCACGGATGCTGTGGGCTATGCTTATCTAGCTGAAGGCAGGATTTTCCCAATGTCATATCCTCTTCATCAGTCACAAAACTGCTGGGCATATATATTAATAATTCTTCACTTGATAAAAGGATGTGCTGTCAGAGGACATTTTTCTAACTTGCATTGAATTGCTATTCCCAGTAGGCCTCTCCCTCAGGTGGCTGGATGTTTCTATATTGGTGTAAAGCCATTTTTTCAATATCTTATTATAATATTCTAATAAATATGAATAATATGTCTTATTATCCCTGTGACAAGGTTGCAGTGGGCCATATGGGTGGGTGGAAAAATGGAAAGTAAGTTGGGCAACAACTTGGACTGTGTACTTTTCCCTTGGGTAAGAGGCTTGTGGTAATATCCACAGCATTGTAATAAATATGTACTTGACTTATAAAGGAGGAATGGAGAGACAGGTAAAAATCTCATAACCATTTGTTAATTGGTAAAAGTAAGATAAAAAAAGAGACTAGTAAATTAATCCAGTCAGATAATTTAACATTGTAGTTTTATAGAGAGAAGACTCTGGTCAAATAGTTTTTAAGCTATTATACCATGATATGACTCAGTCATTTTAGCAAAATTATAAAGCTTAAACATTTATAAGTATTGGCAAATTTAATATTTTAGGATTCTATTGTAAGACCACTAATTACATAAATACAGAGATGTTTTCCAATGCTTTGAGATTAATATAGCAATAGCGTTACACTGGAGAGGGTTTACTTTCCCAGAAAAACATACACTTTTGCTGTTTTAAACAGAAAAGGATTATTATTATTGTTACACAATACTGAATGACTTAAAGAAGTATTAGGCAAGCTGATAAAATATACTTCATGCTGAATAAACAGAAATAAACTTTCAGGTCACGTCATAGACCTGAGAAGCCAAGGGAGCCCATGATGAGGACGGTGTCTTTTGAGTAAGAAATCTGTGCTCAGCTGATGCTCTGGGGCATTGCTGACTCTGCCATCATTCACACCAGGAAAGTGGCACCTCACTGTTTCTCTTCCCACTTAACTCAGTTCTGAATTTTAGTTTCAGAATGCCTCTGATTGGTGAACCTAAATCACATTTAGAACTCCATATTTAAAGGAGTCTGGAAAAGAAACATTTAGGTTTTCAGCTCATGAAGAACAGAGAAAACACTAGAGTTAAGTATCTGTTGAATGAGTTAACCTAGTATTTGTAATTTTATACTATGGGTGTATCACAAAGATCCGTTGCATTTCTATTGCACTCGTTATATTTCAACGCACCTTCAGAGTTTTCAGTGCATGTCATTACCACAAGATAATAATAATTATAGGCATGTATAGGTAGATATGACAATTTTTTCATACTTGAAAACAGTTTGTGAAAATACTTCTAAGACATTTATTTGCCTTTGAGTAATATATTTCAGTGGCATCAAAGAATTACATGACAAATGCATCCCAAGGTATTTAACAATATGCTATTTAGATACATTTATTTAATTTCCTATCTTCTTCCACTGTAAGTAACACTGCAATAAATATCACTGGCCATATATTTTTGTATGCTATTATTTTTTTCTTTTGCCCTATCAAAGGATGTGTGACTTATCTCTTAACCATTTTTATCTTCTTTCTTAGCCATATACCCCCTAAATATTAGCTGAGCATATATTTTTGTTATGGATAGAAGGGGCTATGTAAGTAAGTAATGTAAGCACAATTTATAGAAAATTCCCTTAAAAGGAAAGAATGATCCCTTTTATGCATTTCTCTTCATATACTAACTGAAATTTAAATGTGATGGCTGGAACACAATTATCCACCTTGAGTCATGAGATGTAACCTATGGGTTAAGGTGGTAGCTATGGACAGGACCCTGATGACTATATGGAGTGTTATATTAGTCAGGGTTCTCCAGAGGGACAGAAGTAACAGGATATATATCTATATATAGATATATATCTATACACACACACATGGATATAAGTATGTGTGTGTGTGTGTGTATATATATATGTGTGTGTGTATATATATGTGTGTAATAGTGTGAGCCAATTCTCCCTAATAAACTGCTCTGTCTACCTACCTACCTACCTACCTATATCACTAATAGGATATAAGTATGTGTGTGTGTAAGTAGGTAGGTAGGTAGACAGAGCAGTTTATTAGGGAGAATTGGCTCACACTATTACAAGACAAAGTCCCACAATAGGCCCTCAGAAGCTGAGGAAGAGAGAAGCTGGTAGTCTGAAAGCCTCAAACCAGGGAAGCTGACAGTGTAGCCTTCACTCTGTGGCCAAAGGCCCAAGAGTCCCCAGCAAACCACTGGTGCAAGTCCCAGAGTCCAAAGGCTGAAGAACCTCAAGTCTGATGTCCAAGGGCAGAAGGAGAAGGAGGAAGCATCCAGCACTGGAGAAAGAAGGCAGCTAGAAGACTCAGCAAGGCAGCTTAATCCCACTTTCTTCTGCTTGCTTTTGTTCTAGCCATGTTGGCAGCCAGTTGGATGGTGCCCACCCATATTGGGGTTGGGTCTTCATCTTCCAGTCCACTGACTCAAATGTCAATCTCCTCGGGCCACACCCTCACAGACAAACCCACAAACAGTACTTTACCAGCCATCTAGGCATCCTTCAGTCCAATCAAGTTGACACCTAACATTCACAAGTGTCCTAACCAGATTGACTACTTCCAGTCTTCTTTTAATTGAGAGAGAAACTTTTACAGTGATGCGTCACATAACAACATTTTCTATCAACAACTGTCTGTATATACAATTGTGGTCCCAATAAGATCACAATAGAATTGAAAAATTTCTATCATCTAGTGTTTACTATACTATATTTTTATTGTTATTTTAGAGTGTACTCTGTGTGTGTGTGTGTGTATTTAATTATAAAACAGCCTCAGTTGCGTTTTTCAGGAGGTACTCCAGAAGAAAGCATTTTTATCATAGGAATTGCAGCTCCATGAAGGTCTCCCTGAAGACCTTCCAGTGGGACAAGATGTGGAGGTGGAAGACAGTTATACTGATGATCCTGACCCTGTGTAGAGCTAGGCTGATGTATGTCCTTGACTTACTTTCTAACCAAATAAAATTTAAAAAGAAAAAAAGAAGTGCTTATAGAGTGTGAATCTGAAGAAATAATATTTTTGTACAGTTGTACAATGTGTTTATGCTTTATATTAAAAGTTGCAAAAGAGTTAAAAAGCTTAAGAAATTTGAAAGTTTATAAAGTAAAAATTATAATACACTAAGGTTAATTTATTATTGAAGAAAAATTATTTTCATAAATTTAGTGTAGCCTAAGTGTACTGTGTTCATAAAATCTATGATAGTGTACCATAATGTCCTAAGTCTTCATATTCACTGACCACTCACTCACTGACTTAACCCAGACAATCTTCCAGTACTGCCAGCTCCATTCATGGTTAAGTGTCCTATGCAGGTGCACCATTTCTTATCTTTTATACCATATTTTCATTATGCCTTCTTTATGGTTAGATATGTTTAGATACACAAATACCATTGTGTTACAATTGACTACAGTATTAAGTACAATAATATACTGTGCAGGATTTTAGCCTAGGAGCCACCACATAGTCTAGGTGCATAGTAGGCTATACCATCTAGGTTTGTGTAAGTACACTGTGTGATATTCACACAACAAAGAAATCACCTAATGATGCATTTCTCAGAACATGTCCTCATCATTAAGTGAAGCATGACTGCGTTTTATTTTACCACTGCCGTATTAGACTTCTGTTACTTACAGCCATATGTCTTTTCATTGTAATCATCAAATTGTGTCCAAAAAGGATGTAAACTTATTTCCATTAACAGTAAATAAAAGCATCGTTTTTCTATATTATGGCTTGTTTTTTGCCAATTAAATTAGATTAAAAAATTAGTGTTCATTTATTTTAAATTTCCATAGTATTGTGTTTGAGCGTGTTTTATGTGTATTTGGCCATTTGGATCTGCTATTTTATGAATTTTCATATCAGATTGATATGTCTTTTATCCTTACTATTAATACTTAATAGCATTTCAATACTATTAACTACTTAATAGCAATTTGGCAGATTTCTTCAAGTCTCCCTTAACGTGTACTACTAAGAACTATAATAATAAAGTATATAAAAATGCCAATAAAATATATTTTGCAAATTTTCCCAAGATGAATTCAACGTAACTACCCAAAATACCAATCATGCCAACTGGTGTTAACCTACTAGCTGAGTGCTTAAAAGAAATTGGGCTACATAAGTCTAATACCATTAAAAAAAAAGAGAATGTTTATTTGATCTTTTTAATCACAATCAACCACTATTCTGTCATTACATTTAAAAAAACAAACAAAAAATTTTTAATAATCCTAAACATGTTTCAAGTTTACAGTTAATAATTAAGAGCACATGATCCTAGAAAAATAAGTGTGAACATTTTTCCTGGTCTCCTTGTAAAACTTCACTATACTTGCCTCCCAGAGAAACTCATTAGTTTCTCTCACCAACCTAGTAAAATTGTCCTCCTGCCTTTTGTGTCACCTGTGAACACTGACATTTGATTATGCACTCACCCTATGGTGAACAATATGACAGTTCCCAGGAATTCAGACATTGTAATGTAAATCTGCATCCAGGCCATCTTCATCTGTTGCAATTCCAGATTCCTCTTGTGTACTCTCTCACCCAATCTATTTTCTCAGCATTCTTCACCAACAGTGTAATGGGAAGAGAAAAAAGATAGAGAAAATATTTTTCACAGTTCTGCATCATGGTTTTCCTGACAGGCAGAGAAAAATGGCATCTGTTGTTTCCTCTTACTTCTAACTCACATTCTATTTCTTCTTTCTCTCTCAACTACCATCTAAAGTCCCTGTATAATGTGTGTGTGTGGTGTGTTTTAATATCCACGCTCCCCAGCAACATGCCAGCCTCAATGTCTTGACATAAGGTCTTCAATAAGCTTAAATGATTATCACACTTCTTTAAGGCTCATCTTCAAGCAGATTTTGTGCTTATTTTTATAGTGTAAGGAGAAAAGTGGTAAGGATGTGGCCACCTGAATGAAATGGGGGATGAAGAGAGGGAGGAGAAGGAAAATACGTGAGAAAAACACATAAATGTATTTGTTTATCCTCAGACAAAAGTATTTGGAAATTCTAATTCTAATGAAATCAGTACCTCAAAGAGATATTTGCACTCCCATGTTTGTTGCAGCGTTACTCACAATAGCCAAGATATGGAAACAACCAATGTATTCATCAGTGGATAAATGGATAAAGGAAATGTGATATATTTACACAATAGAATACTACTCAATCTTAAAACAGATAAAAATTTCATCATTTGTGACAACATAGATGAACCTAGAAGACATTTTCCTAAGTGAAATAATCCAGACACAGAAAAAAAAGTATTATGTGACCTCACTTATCTGTAAAATGTAAAAAAAAAAAAAAAATTGAATTCATAGAGGATTTGAATATTATAATCCTAATCCTGGGAGGAAAAATAAAATTATTTTTGTATAAAAATTATTTTATGACACTGGCAATTCTATTAAATTTCTCATAAACAGACAAACCTGACTTGCAATAGATATTCTGCAGAATTAAAAACTTAAGAAAAAAATATTAAGAAATATAGATTTAAACTAGAATGTTATTTTTCAAACTTTAATATACCCTTTAAGAAAAACAAAGTTCTTTACTAAAATAAACTACTATGCTTTATCCATAAAAATAAGAATGACTTTTTTTTAAAAAAAATTATCTTATAACTGCAAGTTTGTGCATTGTGACCAACTCCTCACTCTTTCCCCCATACCAAACCCCTGGTAACCACCTTTCAACTCTCTGTTTCTACGAATTCAATTTTTTTTCTACATTCTACAGATAAGTGAGGTCACATAATATTTTTCTTCCTGTGTGTAATGCTTCCAGCTTTGTTCTTCTTGCCTAGGATTGTTTTGGTGATTCAGGCTCCTTTTTGGTTCCATATGAATTTTAAAATAGTTTTTTTTCTAATTCTTTTTTTAAAAAAAGATGTTAGTAGTTTGAAAGGAATAGCTTTGAATCTGAAAACTGATTTGAGTAGTGTGGCCATTTTAACAATATTGATTCTTTCTGTCCATAAGCATGGAACCTTTTTCCATTTGTATCGTCTCTGATTTCTTGCAGCAGTGTTTTCTAATTCTGGTTTTAGAGATCTTTCACCTCCTTGGTAAGCTGTATTCCTAGCTATTTTATTCTTTTTTTTTTTTTTTTTGGTTATTGTAAATGGAATTGCAGTCTTAATTTGGCTGTGAACTTAGACATTATTAGTATATAGAAATGCTACTGATGTTTCTACATTGATTTTGTATCCTGAAACATTACTGAAGTGATTTATCAGTTCTGGGAACCTTCTGTTGGAGTCTGTGGGGGTTTTCTAAGTATAGAATTATATAGTTTGACTATAATAGAGCTTGGAGAAATTTTATTTTGGTTGAAAGTGACAAGAGTTTTAAACTTTATGTACTTGGATGTCTATATTTTTCCAAAAATTGGCGAAGCTTTTAACTACTATTTCTTTAAATAAGATTTCTCAAAATATCTAGGAATACAGCTAACCAGGGAGATGAAAGACCTCTAAAACCGGAATTACAAAACACTACTGAAAGAAATCAGAGATGACACAAACAAAATGAAAAACGTTCCATGCTTATAGATAGGAAAAATCAATATTGTTAAAATGGCCATACGGCTTGCTAAAAACAATTTACAGATACAATGCTATTTCTATTAAACTAACAAAAACATTTTTCACAGAATTAAAAAAATTCTATTTTAAAATTTATATAGAGCCAAAAAAGAGCCCAAATCACCAAAGCAAACCCAAGAAAAGACAACAAAGCCAGAGGCATTACACGATTTGACTTTAAACTATACTGCAAGGCTACCGTAACTAAAACAGCATGGTACTAGTACAAAAACAGACACATAGACTAATAGAACCTGTTAGAGAACCCAGAAACAAATCCACACACCTGATCTTCAACAAAGTTGGAAAATGTAAGCAATGGTGAAAGGACTCCCTATTCAATAAATGGTGCTGGGATAACTGGCTAGCCATATGCAGAAGATTGAAAATGGACTCATTCCTTTCCTCATATACAAAAATCAACTAAAGATAAATTAAAGACTTAAATGTAAAACCTAAAATTAGAAAAAAACCCAAAAGAAAAAACCTAGACCATACTATTCTGAACATGAAAATATTTCATGACAAAGATCCAAAAGTGTTAAAAGAAATCACAAATTGACAAATAGGTACTAATTAAATAAAAGAGCTTCTGCACAGCAAAAGAAACTATCAACAAAGTAAACAGACAACCTAAAGAATGGGAGACAATATTTGCAAACTATGCATCTGACAAAGGCATAATATCCAGAATCTATAGGGAACTTAAATTAGCAAGCAAAAACCAAACAATTTCATTTAAAAGTGAGCAAAGGACATGAACAGACATTTCTCAAAGGAAGTCATGCATCTGGCCAACAAACATATGAAATCATGCTCAACATCATTAATCATTACAGAAATGCAAATCAAAACCACAATGAGATACTATCTCACAACAGTCAGAATGGCTATTACTAAAAGTTTAGAAATAACAGATGCTGATGAGGTTGCAGGTGAAAGGGAACACATGTATACTGCTGCTGGGAATGTAAATTAGTTCAGCCACTGTGGAAAGCAGTTTGGAGATTTCTCAAAGAACTTTAAAAAAGCTACCCTTTGACCCAGCAATACCATTACTGGGTTTATACCCAAAGGAATATAACATCCTACCAAAAAACACATGGACTCATGTGTTCACTGAAGCACTATTCACAACAGCACAGACATGGAATCAACCAAGATGCCCATCAATGGTGAATTGGGTAAAGAAAATGATATATATGTGGAATACTACACAGCCATAATGAAGAGCAGAATCATGTCATTTGTGGCAATATGGATGGAGCTGGAGGCCATTATCCTAAGCAAACTAACGCATGAAAAGAAAAGCAAATAGAGTATTTTCTCACTTTAATTGGGAGCTAAAAATTGAGTATATGTGGACACAAAGAAGGGAGCAACTGACACCAGAGCCTACTTGAAGGTGAGGGAGGGAGGAGGGTGAGGATAGAAAAATGACTTCTTGGGTACTATGATTATTCCCTGGGTGATAAAATAATCTGTACACCTAACCTCACAACAGGCAATTTACCTGGTTTAATACCTCTACATGTACCAACAGAACCTAAAATAAAATTTGGAAGGAAAAAACATTGTCTTCTAAAGTTTTTATGATGAAAATTATTAGCTCTCTTGATGGTGTATTATATATCCATAGACTTACTTTACTTCTGTTGATTCTTTTTTCTTTTCTTATTAGAGTTTTCTGCAAATGACCTATCTTTGAGTTCACAGATTCTTGTTTCAACTAGATTAAGTTTGCTATGGGCACTCTTGATTGCATTTTAAAATTTTATTCATTGTATTCTTCAGCTCCAGACTTTTTTTTTTTAAATGATTTCTATCTCTTTTTTAAATGTCTTGTTTTGTTGTATTGTTTTTCTGATTTCATTGAATTGTTTATCTGTGTTCTTTTATGGCTCACTGAGCTTCCCTAAAACAATTATTTTGAATTATTTGTCAGAAATTTCATAGATTTCCATTTTCTTAGGGTTGCTTACTAATATATTTTTTGTCTTCCTTTGGTGATGTCATATTTCCTTGATTTTTCAGGTCCTTGAAGTCTTACATTATGTTTATCTGTTTGAAGAAGGAGTTACCTCCTCCTTAATGAAGTTTAATAACAGTAGATAATAAAATGGGTGCTTGCACATTGTCCACCCGATATTGTTTGGCTCTGTGTCCCCACCCAAATCTCAACTCAAATTGTAATCCTCACCTGTTGGGGGAGTGGCCTGGTGGGAGGTGATTGAGTCATGGGAGTGGACTTTCCCCTTGCTCTTCTCCTGATAGAATTCTCATGAGACCTGGTTGTTTGATACATGTGTGGTGCTTTCTTTCTCTCGCTCTCCTGCTGCCTAGTGAAGAAGGTGTTTGCTTCCCCTTCACCAACCGCCATGATTGTAAGTTTCCTGAGGCCTCCTCAGCCATGTGGAACTGTGAGTCAATCAAACCACTTTTTTAAAAATAAATTACCCAGTCTCAGGCAGTTATTTATAGCAGTGTGAAAACAGATTAATACACCACCCTAATCTCCAATTAAAATAACATTCTAGGGACAGAATATTTATATATTAAAAAATCATTTAGAAACAATATGTAAATCACATCTCCGTTTTGAGTCTCAGACCCTGAGTTGTCATATATGCTGAGTTATAGGTAAGCTAAGGGCTTCAGGGAGGTTTCTGTTTCTTACATTTTCATAATTTTCTAATAACTTAGAAAAATGTTTTGTCAATAATCTGTGAATTGAAGAACGGCTATTCTCTTATATATTTCCAGAAATATAAACAAAGCAAAAAAATACCCTTAGAAATTTTTGTAATGCATTTCTCTAGTCACAAAAATAATGGGACCCTGAAAGGGTTCCTGAAGTCATTTATTCCACCTTTGAATGAGCATCCTAATAAAAAAATTTTCCAATTAACAGAAAAAGCAGGTAATACTTGCATTATAAAATATACTACCATAATAGCAGACCCTTGTTGAGCATGTTTTTCATGCTCAACATGCTCTGCATTTGTCGATATTTTGCAAAATGCCTCTAGGAGAATTGAGCTTATTTATTCTTCAGGTACAATATTATGTTAAATTGTGTTTGCAAGCTGTTAGATCATCATTGTATTTGGTGCTAAAGTAGATTCATTGATGTTTTCTTTCATACCATCACTTTGAAACGGAGACAATTAGAAATTCTAAATTTAAAGCAAGTACAAACTGGATTGATATAAAACTTTATTTTAAACAAATTCTGTGTTTAACATATTGTCCAACTGTTGAGTGTAAAAAACTAAAATAACAAAAATAAAAGCAAAAATCCTATTAAGCTGTTTCTAATGTTCTTAATCAATATTATTGTTTAATATTTGGAAATGAAAAAGGTAGTTTTAAGAAAAAGTTATATTGTTGACATTACAATAGAACTAGGCATTTAAATATGATTTTGAATTTTGTGAAACTTAATAGTATGTTTAAGTTTGCTCTTTGAAAATTGCTGCTTGTCCTCCATGCCACACATCTAGGGGACAGTTGCATTAGGAATTCTTTCTATTTTTATAATTAAGAGTGTTGCAGGCTTTAGTAGCTAACCACTGGGTTTTTATTATTTCTTCACACGATAATTAAAATTATGTCTAATGAGTTGTATTTTTGTTAATGCATACTCAGATGTTTAAAGAGAATATAACTATTTTTGTTTTGTTTTCTACGACTTCTTTGTCAGAAGCCTGTTGAATGAATAACAACCACAGTCTCACGTGTATATTCAGAACAATCCAGTAAATTCATTCATATCCAGAGACCCTGTTTCTTTATGTTTACATATTTGTTTCAAATTATGTAATCTGCACAGAGTTCTTCTCACTCCATTTGCTTTTCCTAAGATACATTTTGTGTGCTGGATATAAGGTTTATATGACCTTGTAGTAGTGTCAGGAGACAGTAGGCAACATAATTCTCTCTGCATCATTCCTAGTCTCTGCTAAATTGTGGCTGGTCCTTTCTGTTCCTTTTACTCATTACCACTGAGGTGCAACGGAGCTCTTTGTTTCATTTAACACTTTGTGGACATCTGTTACATAGTGTAGTTTCAAACACTTCATCCCAATCCAGGTGTATGATGATTCACTGCAAGCCTTTTCCAGGACAAAAACATAATCGTTTTGAATCACTCTCATCTCCTAGTGCCACACAATGTCGTACATGCTATGCTAAATATGGCCACATCCCAGTGTCCTGCAGCATTCTCAAACTTCTAGATAATCATCTCACTGACCACCACTACTTCTTAGTGTTCTCAAGATCAACTTTTTCTAACTCGTCATTTCCACAGAAAAAATATAAGAACATGGATGTTTAAAGTTTACCATCACATTTAAATCCATTAATTCCCTTCCTTAGTGGGTGAACCCCCTACACTCTTTAAAAGAAGAGAGCTTTTCTATATCATCCTTCTCCTTTCTGACATGGCATTCACTCCATCTTTTTTTTCCTGAGGCCCAATTGCAGGTAGGAAAGAGCAAAACTGTCTTACAGCTAAGAGAACATAAATTAAGAAGTATTTTAAAAACACTATTTGTGGTTTGCACAAATCATTTTTCTTTATATTTGTAAATAAATGTCAATAAATAGGCATTTAAAGGAGTAGGTCATTTTGTTATTATAATATTAAAATATTTATTATCTGTTATCTATATTTAAATATCTTTTCTGAAATAACTACATGAGTTATGGGAAGCAAAATGTAATGATCATGTATGCTCCAGGTAAGAGAAAAGCAAAGTGAAGAAATAATTTAAGAAAACTACTTTGATGTTAACAACATTGAAGTGAAGTGTCCGATTTCTGTTTATACTATGCATAGAGTTATGCCAGCACTTCTGTTTCCCCTCTCAAAATGAACATAACTACCCTGTTGTATTTTAAACAATAATAATAACAATCATCATCATCATCATATCATTGTAATAATCATCACCATCATTTCACCATACTGTATACTGATAGAGGAAATCATATCTGAAATGGCTTTTCAAATACTGTCAGTGCCATTATGAAATAATAAACTCTCAAAACAGGAGAGTAGAAATATTTTGTGATTGCTGTTCTTTTTTTTTTTTTTTTTTTTTTGAGACGGAGTTTCGCTCTGTCGCCCAGGCTGGAGCGCATTGGCGCGATCTCGACTCACTGCAATTTCCGCCTCCCGGGTTCACGCCATTCTCCTGCCTCAGCCTCCCAAGTAGCTGGGACTACAGGCGCGCGCCACCATGCCCTGCTAATTTTTGTATTTTTAGTAGAGACGGGGTTTCACCGTGTCAGCCAGGATGGTCTCGATCTCCTGACCTCGTGATCCGCCCGTCTCGGCCTCCCAAAGTGCTGGGATTACAGGCGTGAGCCACCGCGCCCGGCCGTGATTGCTGTTCTTGTCTTTGACATGAAACATTTGTGTTAGTGAGCTTGCCTTAGTAGCTATAATTTGCACTTATTTACTGAGTAATTATATACAGCAATGAGGTAACAAATAGCTATCTGTGGTGATAGTAAGTCAGTCACTCTTAACTATAGAATGACAGGGAGATTTATAGAATATTTAAAACTCTAAAATGTATTTTCTTTCATTAAAATAGATTCATTTAAATCTTCCTTCTTTGCAAATAGGTTTGCTGCTGAATTCTATTCCTTATTAATAGACGGAGGGCTCAATCACATTTTGCATCAATGATTATTTAGTAACAGCTGATAGTTTATATTCATTCTGATGATATCCAATACCGGATTCCCACTATTCCCATGGGTTGATTAAAGACTGGCATAATTCGTCAGCCAAATGTCAGCCTTGTCTCTTTTGTGAGAAAACAACTCCAGGATGGTTTTTAAAACTTTAAGGAGGCTTGTACACAATAACAAGGGTAAACATGCAACAAACTTATGAGCATTCTCATGACCTCTGCCCAGACAACTCTCTGACTTCAGAATGGTTTAATTCAGTGTGTTTGTGGAGGTGGTGTCAACCAGAGCAAGACATTGGGGGTGTTGAGCATTTAAGAGGTCAAAAAAGAGGTGAGCAAAGAAATCCCCATCCCTCTGTTCATCAGATGGTCTCCCTAGAAAAGTACCACACCTTCTTAAGCCCACTTTTCCGTCTTCTCACTAGCTGCACACAACCACCTAAACATGACTGGTAAAACTAAAAAAGAACACAGTGTTCTTCTAACTATCTAACTTCAAATTTATAAACAGAGATTATTTTCACTGGGCCTTTAGTACTATCTAGCAAAACTAAATACACTCTTCCACTCTCCAAGGATTTTCCATTTTCTCTTTATACCCTGAATTCAACAGGCTCTCCCTGATCCTAATTCTAAACTTATGATCTCATTTATTTCAATGAAAAATGAAATTTTTAACTATGAAAATAGTGGACTTGATGATTTATTGTCTTTAACATATGTTAAGGTAAATGTATACATAGAACTGTTTTGAAATAGTCATATCACCTAAAATAATATTATGTTCTGTCAGTTGTAGACATGTTATTTATTTTGAAACACTGATTTAGTAATAAGGAATAAATCTATTATTCTGGAAACAAATAATTATTTTTGTCATTGTAGAACAAGTAGTAGATGATTGTAACATATCATTCAAAAGGTATAAAAGGGTAGAAAGTAAAAACTAGGTCTCTCTTTTCTGTCCCTGGATTGTCCTAAGACAACCACTGTTACTAGTTTCTCATGTATAACTTCAGTGATATTTTATATTTATATAATCCAATGTGTATGTATGCCATATACTCATTGCATTTTAATTATTCTAAGCGATATGGTTTTATTCCATATTTTAGTGGGTCTAAAACTGGAAAGTATTTCATCAACAATGACATCTTGCAAACCCTGTTGACCAGGTTTTACATGATATGATTGTTATTGCTTGCACATACATAAACTTGGATTTCATTCCTCTTGGCCAATCTAGACAAATGTTTTCATTTTTAACCAATAAACTGAAATAATATGAGTTCTGGTTGTGACCTAAAACTATTCCATGACATCTTCTCACCTATACAATAAAGTACAAAGCATCAAAATGTGCAGAATGCATGTCAGTAGCAGAGGGAAATCCTAGAGAGAGAATGGACCTACATTTAAGAAATTCAGCATATTTGTCCAATTTTTAATGGGGTTGTTTATTTTTTCTTGGAAATTTGTGTAAGTTTATTATAGATGCTAGATATTAGACCTTTGACAGATGCATAGTTCGCAAAAATTTTCTCCCATTCTCTAGGTTGTCTGTTCATTCTGTTGATACTTCCTTTGCTGTGCAGAATCACTTTAGTTTAATTAGATCCCATTTATGAATTTTTGCTTTTGTTGCAATTGCTTTTGGCAACTTCATCATGAAATCTTTGCCCATTCTTTGTCCAGCATGGTATCACCTAGGTTGTCTTGCAGGGTTTTTATAGTTTTGGGTGTTACATTTAAGTCTTTATTCTGTCTCGAGTAAATTTTTGTATATGGTGTAAGTAAGAGGTCCAGCTTCAATCTTTTGCAAATGGCTGGCCACTTATATCAATACCATTTATGGAGTAGGAAAGCCTTTCCTCATTGCTTGTTTTTTTTTTCAGGTTTATTGAAAATCAGGTAATTGTAGGTTTGCTGCCTTATTTCTGGGTTCTCTATTCTGTTCTATTGGTCTATGTTTCTGTTTTTGTACCAGTACTGTGCTGTTTTGGTTACTGTAGTCCTCCAGTATAGTTTGAAGTTGGGTTGTTTGCTCAGGTTTGTTCTTTTTGGTTAGAATTGCCTTAGCTATTCAGGCTTTTAAAATTCCTGTTTAAAAGAGGACATACATGTGTCCAACATCATATGAAAAAAAGCTCAACATCACTGATCATTAGAGAAATGCAAATGAGATACCATCTCACAACATTTAAAATGGCTATAATTAAAAAGCCAAAAAATAACAAATGCTAGCAAGGCTGTGGAGGAAAGGGAATGCTTATACACTGTTGGTGGGAGTGTAAATTAGTTCAGACATCGTGAAAGACAGTGTAGTGATTCCCCAAAGACCTAGAAACAGAAATACCATTTAACCCAACAAACCCGTTACTGGGTATATACCCAAAGGGATATAAATTGTTATATTACAAAGATGCATATGTATGTTTATTGCAACTCTATTCACAATAGCAAAGACATTGAATCAACCTAAATGCCCATCAATGATAGACTGGCTAAAGAAAATGTGATAGAGATACATCATGGAATACCATGCAGCCATAAAAAAAAAAAAAAACGAGATCATGTCCTTTGTAAGAACATGGATGGAGCTGGAGGCCATTATTCCTTAGCAAACTAGCACAGGAACAGAAAACCAAATACTGCATGTTCTCACTTATAAGTGGGAGCTAAATGATGAGAACACATGGGAACATAGAGGGGAACAGCACACACTGGGCCCTATCTAAGAGTGAAGGTTGGGAGGAAGAAAAGATCAAGAAAAACAACTAATCGATACTATTCTTAATACCTAGGTGATGAAATAATCTGTACAACAAATCCCCATGACACAATTTTACCTACATAACAAAACTGCACATGTGCCCCTAAACTTAAGATGAGTTAAATTTTAAAAAAATTGTAAAGAAAAAGAAATGCAGCACGATCTATGTCCTTGAGTATGTGAAAAGACACAGAATCAATGCTTCTGAGGCAAAAGTGACTTACAAAAATAGTTCTTTAATGTTAATTTTAACATAGTTATTTCTGTATATGCAATAGTAATATATAATCAAAATCCATGCCTAAAGTATCAAAAAGCTGTTTTAGTGTGTGTTAAATGAAATTTCCAAAAGATAAGAAAGCATTATGTCATAGTTTAATTGGCAGCAATTTTTTTCTTTTTAGTGTTATATAAAATAATGACTCTCCTTATGGTATTTTAGATCTGTTGAATGTGTGTGTGTGTGCACGTGTGTGTGTTTGGGTGTGTGTGTGCATTACACAATTGGTTGAATCTTATACCCCTATTATGCACCTTGTTTTTTTTTCTTTATTTATCTGAGTAATCCGTAACACTACATATAGGATTATATAGAAATCTATGGTAAGGATGTACTATAATATATTTAATCGATATTTTGAATATCATTTTTTATTCCTAGGCTTGTGCTATTAACCACATGGTAGTTGATATACTATATATGTGTTATTTCATAGAATAATAAAACACAAATACTATAAATTTATAGAAATTAAGTTGCTGGGTCAAAAAAGGGATATACTTTAAATTTTAATACATATACAAATTTTCTATAGGTATGGTACCTATTTAAGCACCTACAAATAGTATATATGTTTGCCTAATTTCCTCTCACTTTAAACCCTAAAAACAGAATTTTACATGTCAGTTTCTAAACAGCGAATCTGATGGGTAGATAGCGGTAAGGGTGGAGAAATATATTATATGAGCAGGAATGTTTTGATTGGAAGTTGCTGAAACTTATCTTGAATACAAATAAACAAGGAAAATAAAAGAAATAAATGAAACAAAGGGATTTACTGAAATGAATTGAAGGAGCTTCACTGAATTAAATAAATATATGCTGTAAGTAAGGTATCTCTGTGGTCCCCAGGGACTGGTATCAGTAACACTGTGAAACTAGAATTCTGATTTTGATCTAATCTCTTCTTTTCTCAGAGTTCCAGATTCACTTCCACCAGCTTCTTCCTAGAAAGGAAATTTGTCTACCATAATTTCTAGGTGCTTACTCAAGTAGCTGCAATCAGGAGTGGGCAAAGAGATTCTGGGGCTATCAACTGAAGAAGAAAAATAAGAAAGGCCAGAATGTTTGAGTGTGGCTTTAGTCCCTTGCCTACCTCTTGGCAAACTTCTGTGACAGGAGAGCAACATATATTATTTATCCAGCCCAGATCATGGGTCTCCTCAATGTAGTCAGGGTAATGGGAACCACTGCCACCTCAGGTTCATTTTCATTGGTAGTAACTTTATTTTGTCCCTTAAATTAGCTACATGGGTAGAAACACCCTATCTTATTATAAGTTTGGTACTGTTTGTGTTCAGTAGCCAGAGAAAAATCAGGGCTGTGAGCTAGTGTGGGAGAATGTGTTTGAGTGATGTGAGAGTATTCGTGTGTGTGAAGCCAAGAGAAAGGAACAAATATAATAGGGAAAAAGGAGGGAAGGGGTGAGAGAGTGAGAGTAGAATGAAATGGTAGAAGGAGGTGCTAACCAGTGACGAAGGAATAGCAAGGAGAAACTGCAGCACAGCAAAGGAATAAAGAATGATAGATCAAACTGAATAAGAGAATCGTGGCAAAAATAAGACAAAAGGTAGACAAAAAAAGTTTGAAATGAAGATAAATTCCAGGTAGGGATGCTCCAAACTGATTTTTCACTCTGCAGCTTGGTGAAAACCATGTCTTCCTGAAGGGTTATGACATTACTTTGAAAGACACAGCATTAGTTAGAAAGTCCTGCATACTTGGAAGGATGGGAATAAGGTTTTACCAACATTATTTTGCAATATTGCTACCTGGCTGGATATAATTGAGAATGCTCCTTATCTTGTAACTGTGTAGTAACGTACAGAGAAATGTGTCTGAATTCAACTCCTTCAACACAGTGTATACACCTCTTAGCTATGAAGAGCAGAGCACAAGAAAATGTAATACTCTTGGCTCTAAGAACGTACAAGAAAGAGAATTGATCTATAGATCTCATTATAGGGAGATCTGAAATTTTGCTCTATGGAATCTGTGTAGAAACTATATAATACAAAATAATTACATTCAGATAAGTGAAAGAAAAAACAAACAAACAAAAGCAACAAACAGCTAGAGGTCACATCAGGCATTATTTAGTTGATTCCATTTCTACCTGTCAATGGGTTTCTTAGGAATCTCATAAAAACCAGCTTTTATGGTAGCCTATGTGAACACTTTTTATTCCTATAAAATGTATTTTCTCATAACAGACTATGGACATTCTTGTGTCATGATGGCTTTTTGAAATAAGGTAACAAATTATTTATATAGAAATACTGTAGTTTTTATTTATGCATTAATATTTTTTACAGAAAGATTCTTTTGAATATCCAATATTTATATTTTTAACCTTTTGATTCCAACAATTTAACTCCAGAATAGACACTGGTTCTCTGAGGCTGATCAATTTACATTCTAAATCCTCAAGTCTGATAGTCTGAACCCATTACTTCTTGGTTAATGGCTGATGGGTTTGCACACATAATACTGGTGTTTTTCTTAAAAGATTGAATTATTTTAATATTCTTAGAATATTCATAGGTTTTAGTTTAGTTGGTAGTAGCCAAGAGTTATCAATAGTGATTATAAAAACTTACATGTTTACTAGCATTATAGGAGAATGAAGGAAGGATGATAGAGATGTTCTGATGCTGTATATTGACAATTTTCTTATTATGATGAGATAATTTTTACAACATACAATTGGGCAATTTCTACAAACTCATGCAGGAGAGTTAAGAGTTCGGGAAACTTGAATTCAATACACTATTTCTTATAACATCTTTCTTGTATTATATAGCAAAATGGTTTAATTATTTCCATTAGCCTCTAATAAAAGTAAAATAATTGTATTTCTTATATGATTCTTGTAAATGCATATACTAAGTATGTTTGTGACCTGTGTGTTTTTAAATAACATCTGCTAAAAAATTAAAACCAGAATATTTGTCTTACAAATGATAACATGAATAAACAGAATAAAGATGTGTCATATACTGAGGTCACAATAGAAAAAAAAAACAAAGAACAAGAAAACATTAAAAGTGAAGTCATTAATCAGAAAAGCTGAAGCCAAACCTAGTGTGGTAATTATAGTAATGAAAGTATGCAGCCCAATTTTTTTTCTATCAAAAGGTAATAGTCTCACATTTGAATGTAAAAACAATCCTACAATAAGCCATTTGCAAGATCCACATTTAAGAAAAATTATCTAATAATGAAATATGTAATGCATTGAATTCAATGTTAATTGAACCAAACTGTGAAAGCATGAATGAAAAAGCATAAGATAATCATTGTGTAGTCACAAATGGAATTCATAATGCTGAATAAGATAAAATCAGATTTCTAAACAGTAAAAACTTATATAAACCTAATCTGGTAAAACACAGATATTTGCAGTCAAAAAATGACCTTGAGCCTATTACTGACCAGTTAGACAAAAATTAAGTGAGAATATGCCTGATGTATGGAAGACACTAAGTCACAGTTTATGTAGTGGATTCATAAACTATTTACCAAAACAATAGTCATTACATATTAAATCACACAAAAAAGCTTAATAAATGTATAAAATATTATTGAAATAAAATATATACATGAGGGTTCAAATTATTGGGAAACAGTAAAAATATGGTGATAAAATATAGGAAATCATATTTTAATTATATCAAATTTTTTGTTTTTTCTATTTCTAAAGGCATGTCATTGTTAAAACTTTAAATAATAGGATAATCTGATTTCCAATACTTTCTTTTTAAATTAATGTTATTTTTAATTGATAAATCATAATTTTATTATATTTATGGAGTATAATGTGATATGTTTATAAATGTATACAAACGTAGAATGAGTAAATTAAGCTAATTAATGTATTCATCACCTCACTTAACATTTTTTATTGTGATACGTTTGAAATTTACTGTCTTAGTTACTTTAAAATATACAATACATTATTCATTGTAGTCACCTTGCTGTACAATAGACCTCAAAATCAATTTCTCCTGTCTAGCTTAACTTTGTTTCTTTGAACAGCAACACCCCATTCTCTCAACTCTCCACCCCTGGCCCCAACTTGGGTAATCATTTTACTTTCTACTTCAATGAATTCAACATTTTTCAGATTCTACATATAAATGTGATTGTGTGGTGTTTGTCTTTCTGTGCCTAGTTTATTTCACTTAGCATAATATATTCTAGATTCATCCATGTTATCCCAAATGATAGAATTTTGTTTAGGCAACAATATAGATTATTAGAAAAAATAAAAATATATTTTCTTTTTTTCTATTTTATTTTTCGAGACAAGATCTTTCTCTGTCACCTAGGCTGCAGTGCAGTGGCACCATCTGGACTCACCGCAACCTTTGCCTCCTGGGCTCAAAGCAATCCTCCCTCCTCAGCCTCCTGAGTAGCTGAGACTACAGGCGTATGCCATCATGCCTGGCTAATTTTTGTATTTTTTATAGAGATGGGGTTTCATGATGTTGCCTAGGCTGGCCTCGAGCTCCTGAGCTTAAGGGATCCACCTGCCTCAGCCTCCCAAAGTGTAAAATATATTTTCATAATCAATCAAAAGCCATAATTTCCAATTATCAAGGAAGTAATAAAATTATTTAAAAATATAAGCAGATTCAAAGTTGTGTGTGTGTCTGTGTGTGTATGTATGTATTTCCACTATGGTCTGTGGAAAAGTAATTTGTTAATTTTCAAGAAGAATGAATTCTCACCCCCATTTCAGATTGGATTTAACAACAAATATCTGCTTGTTTCTAATAAAGAGCTGTAAGGACAGGAAAAATAACTCACTGAGGGAAAGTCAACACATCTTAGCTCAAACCCCATCTCCCCAGTGTTCTATATGGCTGAAACCAGGTTAAAATAAACACTAAGCACAGTCTATAAAAGGGGAGACAAATGCGTAAAATAGTCTGGCAAAACCATGTGCCAGATGTCTTCTGTTTACTTGTCTAGATCCATTCTCTACCCAAATCTACTCATTTCTACTCTTTTTTTCTCAGAGAAGATGACCAAAAAGGACTACTTCACAGGGCTCCCATGTGCTCAGCTTGCAATTGGATTCAGCCACCAGAGATCCCTGGCAAGAGAATAAAGGTGGGTAGGAAAGCAAGGATGAGCTATTTGTGTATCTATCTTCCACCTGTATGATTCCTTTGGATTGTCTATGTCTTACTTACAAAGGTTCCTGCTGTCTTCAAAGTTGTCCCTCTCCACAGAGCTTTCTTGTCTCCAATTATGGACACCACTCTCTTACCTTATCCTTTCAAGCTTCAGCTTAGTAATAGTTATTACTTACCCTGAGTTTACACAATAACCTGTATTTTACAAACATTTTGCCCACACTTAAGTAAACAGCTTTTATTTTTTGGTTAAAGTTACCTTTATTTTTTTCAAATCTGAGCATGCCGTGAATTTTTTCCTAGAATCCTATTACTCGTGAGTACAGACAATACAGCTATTCTGTTCACCACTGCACACCGAGTACCTGGAATAAGGCCAGAGAGAGTAAACATTGGATTTGTGAATGAATACATGAAGGAAGAAATGTAAAAGTAAAAACTCCCATAAAAGGCAGAAGCACCAGCTGCTTCTTTTTTGTGGTTTGATTATTGTCATTTGGTGATTTTAAGGTTGATTGTAGCTGGTCTCTGAAGTAGGCCTCCAACATTTCACCTCGACTCCTGCAATAGCTTCAATCACAATCTTTGCCTCCACTTTTGGTTTCTCTAATCTGTTCCTAATAGAGCAATCAGGCAATTTCTTTAATATGTTAATCTGACCATGTTGTTCTTTTCCAAAGCTTAACATGCTTTGATGTCACCACAGCCTTCTAGATATACTACAATCTTCGGAATAAAAAATACAAGATGCCATCACTGATGTCCACCTCCCTCGGACTCTTCTCTTATAATTCCACTCATGAAAAAGATTAAAAAGTACTCAACCAATTTCCATCTCCATATATACAATGCTTTCTCTTACCTCTGAACTTGTCTATGTCTTGCTTTATCTATTTCATCCTCTTGACAGCAGCCAGATCAGCATTTTGTATCAGTTCCTCACAGGGTAACTCAATGAGGGCCTGCATGTGCAGTGGGGTTACATTGTAAGAAAGGAATCACAAATTGTTAAGAGACAGATTTCATAGGACTACTGGCACATCTGCTCATCCTGCCCTCTAGAGTGAGAGAGTACTCATTACTTCAGTGTGTAAGCAAATCTCCTCCAAGTGGGAAGGGGAAAGGCATCTCCACATTTATTACACTGGAAACCAAGAAAATGCTTCCAGAATTTCTCTTCAATACCTGGGGATGTTTTCTGGGAAGTATATGTCTATATATAGAGATACACTGTCTCTAGTTTCCAAGATGTTTATTATTCAACCATTTCCTTTGCTCAGAATGGCCAGACCATATAGAAATGCAATAAACTCATGGATAATTTTCCCCCAACATTTATATTAACAGTTTGAATGTGAACAAATCAGATCTACAAAGATAAATGGTATTTGTCAATATCTATTGAATGTAGTGTAAAATGGCATTTGTATTTCCCCACCTGTTTCTACAGATCTTTGCATTGTTAGGCTACAGTGTCAGTTGTGTAAAGTTGATTGCATTTATTATTTTCTACAACCTAAGTGACAATGACAGCTTCTGTGAGTGACAATTTCAAAAGCATTATTCAGCATAAAATTGATATGTCCAATTTTCCCAATTTTCTGGTCAGTTAAAATTAAGAAAGTAAAATCAATGAGAGACCAAATTTATGTACATAAAGTATATTTAATTATGATCTTATCAAAAAGGAAATATCGTTGATATTAAGGTAAACCTCTCAAAGGGCAGTTTTAATTCTGGCCGATAAAGCCTACAAACTTATTTCCAGACACATTGAAATGGACAATAAAAACTGCTTTGCCAAAAAGAAAAGGATTCTGAGCCTGATAATCTATTCAAGTAAATTTGAAATTAAATTATTTTACCTTGTTTGGAATGTGTTGATATCTGTGCTCCTTCATACTTAGTACGCCTTATTTACATGAGCGAATCAGGAAAATTAATAAACCATGAACTACGGTGAGATTTTGAAAAATAGTAACAGTAGAATGTGGTGATATATTGGAGAAAAACTTAATTGGCTTTAGTTCTTGGCTTTGAATTTTGGAATAATCTGGATCCTAGTGTCTGTGCATAGGGGAAGGGGATAAAGGCTACTTCCTGGAAGAAGCTGGTCCAGTTTTCGGTTAGGGACATACATATACATAGAAACATTTGGGAGAAAAACATATGTGCTATGCAAATAGAATGTATCATCATGATGATTTGTGAAGCAAGTTTTTTTTTTCATTTCAGACTTCTGAAATGGCTGCTTACACAAATAATGCAAATTATCTATGAAATAAAATAAAATAAAATAAAATATGCACCTATACTGTACGAACCTGAGACAAATGGTTGTTAATATGTTGATGGCTACACTCTCAGGCTTATATTACATATAATAAGCAGCAAATTCCACTAAGGTCAGCATGTTGATTCCCTTATTTACTGTTGGAGCACCAGTGCCTAAAAAACAAATGCCTGGATGTATTAGTACCCAAAGAATATTTGAATGAATTTAATGAAAATTGGCTCATGGCCTAATGTCTATGTTGTTACAACTTTTCTTTTTAATTAATATTCCATAAGTGTATTTACATGTCAGTAAGTATTAAACCGTATCATTATTTGAGAAACAACTTTCTAGTCTTCCTTCTATAATAATATTGGAATTTTTAAAGCACTGTTTATGTTTTGAACTTTTAAATTGTTCCAGATTTTTATGTTACAAACTCCGGTGCTATTAAGCTTTTATCTACTAGTTTACTTCACAAACAACTTTCTATAAATGGAATTGCTCAGTCAAAGGCCATGTTCTTTTTCAGGGCCTGTGACACATACCACTTTTAGCTCTCCAATTAAGTTGAAAGTTGAACAGTTCCAACGGAGGTGCTTGTTTCCTGCGGAAAGATATTCCAGTTGAAAGTTAGCTACAGGTGAAATATAAATATAAAAATAATGAAGACTCTAACACTAGACTTACCACAACATCCTGTTTTGCAGATAATTTATGTGTCTAAGTTGGGGTCTTTTTTAAAAATAGTTATTAGGTTAATTGCCTTACTCTTTCTTTTTCCTTCAGGGTGGAGACCTAACTACTACTTCATCATGATAGTCCTTTCATTATTTCATAACAGCTACCACATATGAATGAGAATACCTGTTATGTTGTAGGCATGACATTGGGCTACCATATATATGGAAGCTATTATGAAATGGTATAGTAGATATATATATATGTATATATATGTGTATATATATAATTCTCTCAAGAAAAATATAAGATAGAATTATTTCACTAATTAGAAAATTGAGATTCAGAATGAAAAAAAATAATTTGCCCAGGTTTACTTGGGCTAGCAAGTGACAGAAGAGGATATAAAACAAGGTCTATCAGACTTTAACTTTGTGCCCTTTCAACTAACCTACACATAAAGAATGTATTGAGCATCTGTTCTGTTACTGTTAGATAGGCTTTTACTGAAAATTGTTGATACAGTTAATCAGAAAATGAAAAGTCATTTATCTGTAACAAAACCTACATTTCTCTAATCTATCTTATTGACATATTTATTCTGCTTGTATGATATGTAATACAATAGTATCTGCCTAAGGTGTTGCTTTATGGAGATGACTATATAATAAGTGATGTAGTTTGGATTATTGCTCAGGAAATATTTATATTTTCTCACCTCACTGTCCCAGGTAAGTGGAGTACACTTTTCTATCCTACTGACATTGAGTTTGGCTGTAGAATTTGCACTGATCAATGGGTTGTTTGCAATTGTATTGTGAGCTTAAAATCTGCTTCGGCTGTTGGGGTTGGCCAGTTAAATTCCTGTCTTCCATGAGAAAAGTATGTCTCAGTTACTTACTGGTCCAAAGAATATAAGACACTCATAGACTTTATTATTTTTCTCTTTTAATCGACTAAGGCAGTAAATTAAGTTGATTGATTTCTAATTAAACCACCCTGGCGTATCTGTGATAATACCTACGTGGACATGAAAAATTATTTTATGTATTGCTAGATTTTATTTTCTAATCTTTCGTGTGCCTGAGAGATCATTGTTCCATAGTTTTATTTTTATCTACTTTATTATTATTATTATTATTATTATTATTGTTATTTTGTATAGTTTTGACATCATGGCAATGCTGGCCTTAAAAAACAAGATGAAAAAGTTTCAAAAAAATTTTCTGCATGAGATTTTGTACAGTTGGTAATATTTTTTCCTTAGTTGATAGAATTTGCCAGTAAAGTATTTTGGAACTGAATTTTATTTGTAAAGTGGTTTTTTGGGGTTTTTTGTTTGTTTGTTTGTTTGTTTGTTTGTTGTTTTGAGATGGAGTCTCGCTGTTGTTGCCCAGGCTAGGGTGCAATGGTGGGATCTTGGCTTACTGCAACCTCCGCCACCTGGGTTCAAGCAATTCTCCTCCCTCAGCCTCCCCAGTAGCTGGGATTACAAGCATGCACCACCATGCCCAGCTAATTTTCTGCATTTTTAGTATAGACGAGGTTTCTCCATGTTGGTCAGGCTGGTCTCAAACTCCTGACCTCAGGTGATCTGCCTGCCTCGGCCTCCCAAACTGCTGGGATTACAGACGTGAGCCACCACACCTGACTGGAATGCTTTTTATATATGAATTCAACCTAGTTAAGAGTCATAGGTTTACATCGTAGGTTGTCTATTGCCCCTGAATGAACTTTGGTAGTCTGTATCATTCAAAATGCTTGTCTTTAAGCTAGTAGTAGAATTTATTGCCATAAAGTTGTTCATAACATTACTTTATTATCCTTTTAATGTTAGTTGGAACTTCAATGATGTACCTTTTTTCATTCCTAATACTAATAATTCCTGCCTTTATTTATCTTACTTTAGATTGACTGGAGGTCTGTCAATTTGTTTTTCCTTTTATTAATTATTTCACATGGTATTCATAAATAATAACATCACTTTGTACCACATACATATATAGAACTATAATTGGTCAATGTACAATATAAAAATAAAAATTAAAACAGATTCTGGCAATAATGATTTCTCTATATTTCTATTTGTTTTCAATTTCAGTGGTTTCAGTTTTTTTTTTAATATTTGCATGGAATATTCTTTTCCATCCTTTATTTTTTAAAATCACTTTATTGAGATATAATTCACATGTCATAAAATCCAACCATTTAAGATAAGTAGTTTTTTAGAATATTCACAGAGCTCTGCATTCATCACTGCAATATGATTTTAGAACATTTTCATCATACCCCCAAGACCCATCCATTAACTTTTAATGGTATTTTTACTTTTAAATGATAGTTACATTGTTATATTTAAAGTGGGTTTCTGTAGACAGCATATAGTTGGGTCTTTTTTTCTGCCATTTTGAGTTTCAGCTCTTCACTTCATTATTTCCATTCTAAAGATTTATGTCAATTTTATCTATTATTATTTTTCTTCTTTCTTAAGAAGGTATCATAGATTATTGATTTAAAGTCTTTACTATTTTCTAGTATAAACATTTAATGCTATAAATTTCTCTATAGAGAAGATAATTACTGCTTATCTGCCTCCCATACATTTTTATATTATGTGCTTTAATTTTTGTTCAATTCAAAATATTTCATTTTTTTTCTTCTGACTTGGTCTTTTATCCATGAATTACTTAGTTCTATGTCTGCATGTTTTGAATTTAGAAAATTTTAATGATATCTTTTTGCTGTTGAATTTTAATTTGATTTCATTTTGGCTAGAACATTTAATTTGTAAAATTTAAATTCTTTTACAGTTTTTGGAATTTTATTTTTCTAAGAATATAGTCCACCTTGGCAAAGGAAAAAATGTATATTTTTCTGTTGAGATGTGGATGTTTCTAACATCACACATATTAAACATGGCTAGTACACGTGAGAAAGTGAACTTTCAATTTTATTTAGTTTTAATTCATTTAAATTTAAATTTAAATAGCTGCATTTGGTCAAAGTCTACTATATTGGAGCACACAGTAATATAATTATTAAAATATAAGAAAACTTGACTTTTATATTTACCTTCATTTTTGAAGTTGCCACAGATCTTTGTTTATTTGCAAAAAAAATAGGTTTTCCATAATATTCTACACTTTTAAAAAGTTAATTACTCACACAAGGGGTTCCTGGGGACAGCTGGGTGAGCAGGAGAAAATCCAAGCTGGCTTGGGCTTACTAGAAGGAGTGGGTTGGGCCTATATAGTGACTGGCGTGGAGGGATGGGACTGGGGCATGTTCTCACTAGCAGAAAGTTTAAATTTCCCACTGGCACTAAATGAGAATGTGACCTAACAGTCTTTCTTATCAGTCTGTCTAGATGTAGGACCAAGAACAAAAAAAGAATTGAGGTTTAAAAAAAGTCAACAATCAAACATCAAAAATGAAGTCAGACTTTGATTACACCCTGTTTAACTGTATTCTAAGAAATGCAAAAATGAATTAATTTTTGGCAAGTATTAGCATCATGACTCATTCAAAAGAAATACAGGTGTGAAAAAAATAAGTAAGCAGACACATAAATACATTGAAAAGTAATTTAAATGTTTAAATATGACACTTATAAAAGTAAATTAAAATGGAGATCAGTCATGAAGAATCCCTGAGTAGACAAAGCCAGTTAGGCCTCATAAGTAACCTTAACTTTGCTTGATTTGCAAACATAAACAAAACTTAACCTGAGTCGGCTATTTCCTGTAAATGCCAATATTAAAGAAAAATGAAACTTAAGGCTAACCAATCAGAGGTTATCATAGTTACATAACTAAGAACTTTCTGGGAGGACTGACCAAATAAGACAACGGTATAACTGTAACCAATTAAATATTTGCTTTGCTTTACTTTTACGTTCACCCTATAAAAGTTCTCCCTTTGTGTTAGTCCATGGAACCTCTGAACCATTGCTAATTTGAAACTGCATCATTCATAAATTGCTGTTTGACTAAATCCATTAAAATTTTATTGTGCCTCAGTTTACCTCTTAACCCAAAGAGGTCACAAAAGAAATTCCACTAGAACTGACATTAAAAAAAAATACCCTGGAGGCCGGGCATGGTGGCTCACGCCTGTAATCCCAGCACTTTGGGAGGCCAAGCGGGGTGGATCACAAGGTCAGGAGTTCAATACCAGCCTTGCCAAGATGGTAAAACCCCGTCGCTACTAAAAATACAAAAAATTAGCTGGGCACGGTGGCAGGAACCTGTAATCCCAGGTACTCGGGAGGCTGAGGCAGGAGAATCACTGGAATCCGGGGTACGGAGGTTGCAGTGAGCCAAGATTGCACCACTGCACTCCAGCCTGGGTGACAGAGTGAGACTCCGTCTCAAAAAAAAAAATACTCTGGAATTTCTTTAGCTTTTTTTTATCTCCCTGAAGTCCCACACGTATTGCTCATAACTTTTTTTTTAACTCTTTTCCTTCAAAATTGAAGCTTTATTCTCTCTCTCTCTCTCTCTCATAAAACTCTACCTGTGTTAGCTTTCCCATCTACTTTCTCATCTATTTTTGTTCCATACAATGAAGTCCTTTATGTTGTAAGTAACATCCTTTCCTTTCTTATGTTAATGAGCGTCACTCAATTTAGGCCCTTTTATTACTGCAATTCTCTTTTTAAAGTTGTGTAGTATTATAAAGCCAACTGCCAAAACTTGATGATGTAAAACTGTAAAAGCAACAAAAATTCCCTATATCTCATTATTCTGTGGGTTAACTGAGCGCAGCTGAGTGGTTCTTAAACGTCAGGTAGTGTTGTCAGGGACGAGATCATTGCAAACTCCATTGAGTAGGGATTTTCAGTGAGGCCCATGCACACAGGTGGCAATTATTGCTGGATTTATTTTCAGATTTCAGTTTGGGCTCAACCAGTGTGCTTTGATTCTCCTATAGGTAGCTTCTCAACAATGCTTGGAGTTCTCACAGCATACCTGATGAACTCCAAGAAGGAGCCTTCCAAAATTTAAAGTTTGAAGCTGCTGAATTCTTAAGGCCCATCTTCAGAAGTTGTACAGTGTAATTTCTGCCTCATTGTATTGGTGAAAACAATTTACAAAATAAACTCAGATTCCAGGAAAAAGGAAATAGATTCAAACTCTCAGTAGGAGAAATGACAAAGACATTGCAGCCATCTTTAATGCCATATCTTTGTATAACTTTTTCCACAAAAACAAAAATTTGTTTATGCTGATTCAAGAGACATTCCTTTTTTTTCAAGCAAGAAAGGTGAAAAGCAATGGAGACTTAAACATTGCCATATGTTGACAATGCCAAAAGGTTTATCTTTTATATTTCATAAATCTAGAATAATCTCACAACCAATAGTAGGTAATACTTATAATTGGCAGCATATATTTTCTTTATAAATGATATATGTTAAGATTTAGTTTACAATTAATAGTGGCTTAGATTTGATGCAATATGATAATTTGGGGTTTGTATGTGTCTACTCAGCATTAATTATTCTCTTTTCAAGCTACAAAAACTAGAAATTCTATTCTATGCCCAATGTTGTTATTCTTTGTGTGCTGTACATGTAGTCTCTGCTACAATAATACCTTTGACAGAAGGAAAAAGAATCTATGAGAAGACCAACTATATATGTCAGGGTATTAGTCAAATAGCCTAGGCTACGCTGCTTTAAAAAAAAATCCCCAAATCTGTGGCTTAGTACAATGAAAGATATTTTTCTCCCATGCCACCTGAACTTTGCTGGTTGATGAGGAGCTTCGTTTTATGCAGAGTCATTCACACACCCATGTTGATAAGGTGTTTGTTCACATTTTATCCAGTATCAGATGATCTTATAGTATGGGAGCAAAAAAAAGAGATGAATGGTGACACAGGTACAGACTCTTCGGCTTTTTTCTATTCCTTTTTTTTTTTTTTTTTTTGAGACGGAGTCTCGCTCTGTCACCCAGGCCGGACTGCGGACTGCAGTGGCGCAATCTCGGCTCACTGCAAGCTCCGCTTCCCGGGTTCACGCCATTCTCCTGCCTCAGCCTCCCGAGTAGCTGGGACTACAGGCGCCCGCCACCGCGCCCGGCTAATTTTTTGTATTTTTAGTAGAGACGGGGTTTCACCTTGTTAGCCAGGATGGTCTCGATCTCCTGACCTCATGATCCACCCGCCTCGGCCTCCCAAAGTGCTGGGATTACAGGCGTGAGCCACCGCACCCGGCCTCTATTCCTATCTATTCCACAATCTATTCATCCTAATAAAGATGGCTTCACACAAATGGAAAAGGAGCTGGATTTGTGGGGTGGCAGATCGAATGTTGGGTGTGTATATCTCTCTCTACATTGGCCTGCATTTCTTCTAGCCAGTGTGATTAAAAGGACTTCAGGAATTTTCATATTTAAAAAAAGTTACACTCTAAGTCAATTATTCATGTTAAAATGTCCATTACTAAAGATTTGTTACAGTGGATTAAGAAAGTATCTCTCATTAACACAATTATGTGACTATGTTCTGAATGCTGAACACTTTGAATCATTATTAATATTAACAGGTTGATGTTAATAAAGTTGTGACAGGTTTCTTTATGAGTGAACTTAGTAAAAAATAACTTGATATTGGGAAAATCTAGATTCAACTCAGTAAAGTCAGCCTCAAGTAGTATGTTTATATGATCCCTGCAACTCAGGCAAGGATAATGGTGCTGGGCTTTTCAGAGTGACAGAGGGAACATATTAAGAGCATGTTAAGTAAGTGGTGACATGATATCAAAATAAATCTTACTTTAAGTGACTTGCTCCCCACAGTAACAACTAAAAGAAAACAATTGTGAGAAATGTTGGTGGTGTTCTCCAAATATTTCTAATTCTCTGCCTTCAGGGTTCATGCAAATTTTTACTTTCTCACCTGTTATTATGAATGGGGCCTGAATCAGGTCTGATTCATGGACATGTTATCAGTGTGGTCACATGGTTCCCTGGTTAGAATATTCCAGGCGTGTAAGAGAGCCCAGACATAAGCAGAAACTACCGCTAGATGACCACACCTGACTACAGATGAGTGAGCGATCCCCTCTGAGAATGCTTAACTCTTGTAGAGCTGCCCAGGTTGCCCATCAGCTTATGAGCTACTGAATTTTTGTTATTTGGCAACAATAGCAAACTGATACAAAGACCTGGGAGATGACTGTTATCACAGCACATTGACTGCAATGCCACTTTTTCTGAGCACTGATTATGTGTTCCAGATACTGTTCTAAGCCATTTTTATATTATCACATTTGAGCCTTGTGCCAATTAGACTGCTATGGTATTATCCTCAGTTTACTGTTAAGATAATTTAAGTAGCAGAAAACCAGCAACTCATCTAAGGATTGTAATACGTATGGCGTAATGGAAAAGTGGGCAGTTTCATATTTAGGCCTGTTTGTATATTACTGCATTATTTTGCTCAAGGTCACAGAAATCTATTTGTATGACATTAGCAAATTGTTTTCTTTTGGCTCGGCTTTCCTCAATTTGGATTGGTGATGTCAAGGGCCTTCCAGCTAAGAATTTAGTTTCATATTCTGCTCTACAATTTTGATTCAGGCTAGGGGAACAGCAAATGTGGTAGATGTAAATTTCCATGTAACAACATTTTGTCTGATTAAAGAGACAAATCCTTAGGTGTTCTACTGTGACTCTTTATTGTGCAGCTGTATGATGGCTCCCTTGGCTCTCACCCTTTGTCCCACAGCCTGGGCACTCACCCTGATCTCTCCTTTTGGGGTCAGCTAGCATGTATTCTGTTCTGGGTAGTTTCTCTACTCCAAGCCTGCAAAAGGTGACAAGTAATTTTCCAGAGGATATTTAGTGACAATTACTAAAAGAAAAGATTCAATGAGAAAAATGATAAACTAAAGTAGAAACAAAACAAGATACAATAAAATGAAATTAAATAAAGAACATGGAGAAAACTTCCAGGTCTGACACAGGCTCAACGATTATTCCCCAACCCCTTACTAAAATGGTAACTGGAGGTGTATTGAGATTTTACCATAGCCTTACGTTCTCTGGTGTGAGGTTGATCAAACTGACCTCATCTTTCAGATTCCTTGGAAATGACCACATGAACCCTCTTCTTTTTCTCAGAACTTAAGTTACAAGACACATGGATTACCAAAGACTGATGCACTCCTGCCTTATATTTTTAAAGCCACCTACAATGAGTTGAAAGAAGACCTCTAAGCCAATGGTTCTCAAATTTTAGTTTGCATCACAATAAAGACTTGTTAAAACATAGGTTGCCAGATACCGGCCTGACGTTTCTTATTTAATTGGTCTGTGCGGGGCCTGATGAGAATCTGCATTTCTAACAAGTTGCTGAGAGATGCTAATATTGCTAGACTGGGGACCAGTGTTGAAACCCCTGCCTTGATTTTTTTTTTCCTTAGCTTAGTTAAAATGTGTTATCTTACAATTTAGTCTTTCTCTTGAAATTATAGCTATTGGTGCTTTTTACATTAAGTAAACACAGTTTGCTGTTTCTATTTTCCAGTTTCAAGGGTACCACAGCATTCATAATTGTTGCAAAATTTCAAAGCAGATCTACTATAATTCTAGTTATTCTTTAGATTCAGATACACTTGGGAAAAATTGTAGTTACAGTTTTATAGGAAGAAGACTTGGTAGTAGGGTGAATCTCAACTTATTTTCAGGCTATAGTTTTAAAACAGTACTTCATGTAAATCTAGATGGCTCTGATAATTGAAAAAGGAAGAAAACTGCAAATTAATTTGTCCCCTCAATAACTGTGTAAAAACAGACATTCCACAATGGTGTTAACCCCAGGAGATCATGGTGAAAAATAGCCCACTGGTGTTTTGATTACCACAATGAGTTTGTGGAGGCATCACTGATATATGGTTATGATTGTGTATTCACTCACAACTTTATAGAACTCCATTATGAAAGTTTATAGCAGAGTTGCATCATTATATGTAACACGAGCAGCTAGAAAACCCTGAGGAAACATAGTTAAGTAGAGGATTAAATAGCTTTTTAAAAATGGATGGAATAGTCTAGTATTAATTAGAGAAAGGATTATTTTCAACTATGAAAGCCAAGGCTTTCTGTCACTTGCCTATGGGGTTATGGCTCTCTCTGCAATGGAATCAATACAAGACAAGTTTTTGTAAACTGCCTATTTGAAGGACTGAGGAAAACAAATATACATTTTCACCAAAGTAATCAACTTGTAGATTGGCATCCTAACCATCTTCTATGGAAATTACCAATCCCAGTGGCATGGCAGCTGTCACCTTTCTTCTCAGTAAGGGGCCAGCTGTTACTGTCATTGGACTCAAATTCTCTGTCAAACACTGATGTGGAGCACAAAGTTAATGTGTCTCTCAGTCCAATTTGAAAAGTATCTCACATTAATGTATTCCTTTAATTATCCTTTAAAGTAAAACATTCTTTTTATCAAATTCTCTTTTCCCGTAGACATATAATCCAACTGGTATAGTGTTCATTTGTGAAGGAAAAATTAAACCAGAATATATAATAGAATCATGCCAGTATAATTAATACCTTAAAATTAACTATATTATATGTAATTAATATTTTTAAATTACTCACTAAAATGACTAAATTAAATGCTTTTTCTTTAATAATATGAAAGGTTGGAGTGGCTAGGAAGATTTATATATGGCACAATAAATAAAAGGTGAAAAAAGTTAAATAAAACAAAATCTGGACATGCCAGCTTAACTCCTAAAAGGGTACTAGACTTCAAAGTCACGCCTATTTTTTGATGCTGAGAGAGCAGGTGTTGGGCCCGAGCATGGCTACTGAGCACGCTTGCATATTCTTCCCAAGTGAGCCAAGAATTCATGGCCCTGATGCCTCTTTTCCCAAGCCATTTCTCAGATTTGTGTCTGCAGTGATAAACCTTAAGGGATGAGATAATGTGTCTCATCAGGATAAAAAAGAGACATTCTCCATATTCCATTTCTATAATGTAGCTTGCTGAAAGTACAAACTCCCTCTGGGCCTGTGCATGCCCTGGGTATGATTTAGTGGCAAGATGAACCTAATCAAATATACTGACACTCAGCCTGATTGTTGTGCAGTGAGCAAAGAGGACTTTGTCTTTGATCCAGGAGATTCTTATCTTCTGTCTAGAAGATAAGAATGTTGACTAGAAACAACAGTAATAGGCAGTTTTTAGAAGTAAATTTGCTAATTTAATAGCTATACCAATACAGCTATGCAAATGATACAAAACACAGTCACGTGTAAATTAAGAGCACATGTACATTCCTAGAGTTGCCTGTTTCTGGACACCATTTAATTAAAGTAATTAAACATTGTAAACCAAAAATAAAATCCTAAGTCCCTCACCAAATAAATCGAGAAAAACCTTAAAAACAAAGTTCCCAGCCATGATAGGACAGAAAGTCCGACAGGCTCATTATGCCCCCTCTCTTTTGCAGTTTAGACACAACAACTAACCTCATGAGACTGACAGAACAGACTCTTTGTGGCAATAAGATACAAAATTATAAACAGGACCTAAGGCTATACCAGGCAAGGGTTAAGTCATGCACTACACTTAAAGAATAAACTGTATTCTATCTGCCACAAGGTTTTTTTTTTTCCTTTTTTTTCTAGCAGCTAAATAAGCACTGACCTTAAGATAAGCAATATTAAAACAATTACAAATCATCTACCTCACAGATGATGACTAACTGAAACCCTGTTCCACCAGCCATAACTACAACTTTGATTGGACAAGAAACCGATTTCATTAACTTTCTCCAGTTAAGAAGACTACTGACAGAAGATGGCCAAATAGGAACAGCTCCAATCTGCAGCTCCCAGCGTGATTGATGCAGAAGAGAGGTGATTTCTGCATTTCCACCTGAGGTACCAGGTTCATCACATTGGGACTGGTTGGACAGTGGGTGAAGCCCATGGAGGGTGAGCCAAAGCAGGGCGGGGCATTGCCTCACCCAGGAAGCACAAGGGATCTGGGGATTTCCCTTTCCTAGCCAAGGGAAGCCGTGACAGACTACCTGGAAAAATGGGACACTCCCACACAAATACTATGCTTTTCCCAAGGTCTTAGCAACTGGCAGACAAGGTGATTCTCTCCCGTGCCTGGCTCAGTGGCTCCCACACCCATGCAGTCTTGCTCACTGCTAGCCCAGCAGTCTATGATCAATCAGTGAGACTGCAGCCTGGCTGGGGTAGGGGCGTCTGCCATTGCTGAGGCTTGAATAGGTAAACAAAGTTGTCAGGAAGCTCGAACTGGGCAGAGCCCACCACAGCTGAACAAGGCCTACTGCCTCTAGACTCCACCTCTGTGGGCAGGGCGTAGCTGAACAAAAGGCAGCAGACAACTTCTGTAGACTTAAATGTCCCTGACTGACAGCTCTGAAGAGAGCAGTGGTTCTCCCAGCACAGTGTTTGAGCTCTGAGAACCGACAGACTGCCTCCTCAAGAGGGTCCCTGACCTCCGTGTAGCCTAACTGGGAGACACCTCCCAGACAATTCATATAAGTGGCTGTCCCTCTGGGACGAAGCATCCAGAGGAAGGATCAGGCAGCAGTATTTGCTGTTCTGCAATATTTACTGTTCTGCAGCCTCTGCTGGTGATACCCAGGCAAACAGGGGCTGTAGTGGAACTCTAGCAAACTCCAACAGACCTGCAGCTGAGGGACTTGACTGTTAGACTGTTAGAAGGAAAACAAACAAGCAGAAAGGAATAGCATCAACATCAGCACAAAAGGTCATCTACACCAAAACCCCATCTGTAGGTCACCAACATCAAAGACCAAAGGTAGATAAAACCACAAAGATGGGGAGAAACCAGAGCAGAAAAGCTGAAAATTCTACAAATCAGAGCGTCTTTTCTCCTCCAAAGGATTGCAGCTCCTTGCCAGCAACGGAACAAAGCTGGACAGAGAATGACTTTGACGAGTTGACAGAAATAGGCTTCAGAAGGTTGGTAATAACAAACATCTCCGAGCTAAAGGAGGATGTTCAAACCCATCACAAGGAAGCCAAAAACCTTGAAAAAAGACTAGATGAATGGCTAACTAGAATAAACAGTGTGGAGAAGAACTTAAATAACCTGATGGAGCTGAAAACCATGGCACAAGAACTTCGTGACGCATGCACAAGCTTCAATAGCTGATTCAATCAAGTGGAAGAAAGGGTATCAGTGATTGAAGATCAAATTAATGAAATAAAGCAAGAAAACAAGATTAGAGAAAAAAGAGTACAAAGAAACAAACAAAGCCTCCAACAAATATGGGATTATGTGAAAAGACTAAATCTACATTTGATTGGGGTACCTGAAAATGATGGGGAGAATGGAACCAAGTTGGAAAAAGCTCTTCAGGATATGATCCAGGAGAACTTCCCCAACATAGCAAAGCAGGCCAACATTCAAATTCAGGAAATACAGAGAACACCACAAAGATACTCCTCGAGAAGAGCAACCCCAAGACACATAATTGTCAGATTCACCAAGGTTGAAATGAAGGAAAAAGTGTTAAGGGCAGCCACAGAGAAAGATCGAGTTACCCACAAAGGGAAGCCCATCAGACCAACAGTGGGTCTCTCAGCAGAAACCCTGCAAGCCAGAAGAGAGTGGGGGCCAATATTCAATATTCTTAAAGAAAAGAATTTTCAACCCAGAATTTCATATCCAGCCAAACTAAGTTTCATAAGTGAAGGAGAAATAAAATCCTTTACAGAAAAGCCAATGCTAAAAGATTTTGTCAACACCAGGCCTGCCTTACAAGAGCTCCTGAAGGAAACACTAAACATGGAAAGAAACAACCGGTACCAGCCACTGCAAAACAGGCCAAATCATAAAGACTATTGATGCTATGAAGAAACTGTATCAATTAGCAGGCAAAATAACCAGCAAACATCATAATGACAGGATCAAATTCACACATAACAATATTAACTGTAAATGTAAGTGGGCTAAATGCCCCAATTAAAAGACACCAACTGGCAAATTGGATAAAGAGTCAAGACCCGTCAGTGTGCTGTATTCAGGAGACCCATCTCACATGCAAAGACACGAATAGGCTCAAAATAAAGGGATGGAGGAATATCTACCAAGCAAATGGAAAGCAAAAAAAAAAAAAAAAAAAAGCAGGGGCTGCAATCCTAGTCTCTGATAAAACAGTTTTAAACCAACAAAGATCTAAAGAGACAAAGAAGTGAATTACATAATGGTAAAGGGATCAATTCAACAAGAAGAGCTAACTATCCTAAAAATATATGCACCCAATACAGGAGCACCCAGATTCATAAAGCAAGTTCTGAGAGACCTACAAAGAGATTTAGACTCTCACACAATAATAATGGGAGATTTTAACACCCCACTGTCAATATCAGACAGATCAACGAGATGGAAGGTTAACAAGGATATCCAGGACCTGAACTCAGCTCTGCAACAAGCAGACCTAATAGACATCTACAGAATTCTCCACCCAAAATCAACAGAATATACATTCTTCTCAGCACCACATCACACTTATTCTAAAACTGACTATATAATTGGAAGTAAAGCGCTCCTCAGCAAATATAAAAAACAGAAATCACAACAAGCCATCTCTCAGACCACAATGCATTCAAATTAGAACTCAGGATTAAGAAACTCACTCAAAACCACTCAACTACATGGAAACTGCACAACCTGCTCCTGAATGACTGCTCGGTAAATAATGAAATGAAGACAGAAATAAAGATCCTCTTTGAAACCAATGAGGACAAAGACACAATGTACCAGAATCTCTGGCATACATTTAAAGTAGTGTTTAGAGGGAAGTTTATAGCACTATATGCCCATAAGAGAAAGCAGGAAAGATCTAAAATTGACACCCTAACATCGCAATTAAAAGAACTAGAGAAGCAAGAGAAAAAAAATTCAAAAGCTAGCAGAAGGCAAGAAATAACTAAGATCGGAGCAGAACTGAAAGAGATAGAGACACAAAAAACCCTTCAAAAAATCAATGAATCTAGGAGCTGGTTTTTAGAAAAGATCAACAAAATTGATAGACTGCTAGCAAGACTAATAAAGAAAAGAGAGAAGAATCAAATCAATGAAATAAAAAGATAAAGGGGATATCACCACTGATCCCAAAGAAATACAAACTACCATCAGAGAATACTATAAATACCTCTATGCAAATAAACTAGAAAATCTAGAAGAAATGGATAAATTTCTGGACACATACACCTTTACAAGACTAAACTAGGAAGAAGTTGAATCTCTGAACAGATGAATAACAGGCTCTGAAATTGAGGCAATAATTAATAGCTTACCAACCAAAAAAAGTCCATGACCAGTTGGACTCACAGCCTAATTCTACCAGAGGTATAAAGAGGAGCTGGCACCATTCCTTCTGAAACTATTCCAATCAATAGAAAATGAGGGAATCCTCCCTAACTCATTTTATGAGGCCAACATCATCCTGATACCAAAGCCTGGCCAGAGACCCAACAAAAAAAGAGTATTTTAGACCAATATCCCTGATGAACATCAATGTGAAAATCCTCAATAAAATACTGGCAAACTGAATCCAGCAGCACATCAAAAAGCTTATCCACCATGATTAAGTTGGCTTCATCCCTGGGATGCAAGACTGGTTCAACATACGCAAATCAATAAATGTAACCCATCACATGAACAGAACCAATGACAAAAACCACATGATTATTTCAATAGATGCAGAAAAGGCCTTCGACAAAATTCAGCAGCCCCTCATGCTAAAAACACTCAGTAAACTAGGTATTGATGGAACGTATCTCAAAATAATAAGGGCTATTTATGACAAACCTACAGCCAATATCATACTGAATGGGCAATAGCTGGAAGCATTCCCTTTGAAAACCAGCATAAGACAAGGATGCCCTCTCTCACCACTCCTATTCAACATAATGTTGGAAGTTCTGGGCAGGGCAATCAGGCAAGAGAAAGAAATAAAGGATATTCAGGTAGGAAAAGAGGAAGTCAAATTGTCTCTGTTTGCAAATGACATGATTGTATATTTAGAAAACCCCATTGTCTCAGCCCAAAATCTCCTTAAGCTGATAAGCAACTTCAGCAAAGTCTCAGGATACAAAATCAATGTGCAAAAATCACAAGCATTCTTATACACCATTAACAGACAAACAGAGAGCTGAATCATGAGTGAGCTCCCATTCACAATTGCTACAAAGAGAATAAAATACTTAGGAATCAAACTTACAAGGGATGTGAAGGACCTCTTCAAGGAAAACTACAAAACACTGCTCAAGGAAATAAAAGGGAACACAAACAAATGGAAGAATATTCCATGCTTATGGATAGGAAGAATCAATATCATGAAAATGGCCATACTGCCCAAAGTAATTTAAGATTCAATGCCATCCCCATCAAGCTACCAACGACTTTCTTCATAGAATTGGAAAAAACTACTTTAAAGTTCATATGGAACCAAAAAAGAGACTGCATTGCCAAGACAATCCTAAGCAAAAAGAACAAAGCTGGAGGCATCATGCTACCTGACTTCAACCTATACTACAAGGTTACAGTAACCAAAACAGCATGGTACTCGTAGCAAAACAGAGATATAGACCAATGGAACAGAACAGGGGCCTCAGAAATAACACCACACATCTACAACCATCCAATCTTTGACAAACCTGACAAAAACAAGCAATGGGGAAAGGATTCCCTATTTAATAAATGGTGCTGGGAAAACTGGCTTGCCATATGTAGAAAGTTGAAACTGGATCCCTTCCTTACATCTTCTACAAAAATTAATTCAAGGTGGATTAAAGACTTACACATAAGACCTAAAGCCATAAAAACCATAGACGAAAACCTGGGCAATACCATTCAGGACATAGGTATGGGCAAGGACTTCATGACTAAAACACGAAAAGCAATGGCAATAAAAGACAAAATAGACAAATGGGATCTAATTAAACTAAAGAGCTTCTGCACAGCAAAAGAAACTACCATCAGAGTGATCGGGCAACCTACAGAATGGGAGAAAATTTTTGCAATCTACCCATCTGACAAAGGGCTAATATCCAGAATCTACGAATAACTCAAACAAATTTACTAGAAAAAAATACCTCATCAAAAAGTGGGCAAAGGATATGAACAGACACTTCTCAAAAGAAGACATCTTTGCAGCCAACAGACATAAGAAAAAATGCTCATCATCACTGGTCATCAGAGAAATTCAAATCAAAACCACAATGAAATACCATCTCACACCAGTTAGAATGGTGATCATTAAAAAGTCAGGAAACAACAGATGCTGAAGAGGATGTGGAGAAATAGGAATACTTTTACACTGTTGGTGGCAGTGTAAATTAGTTTAACCATTGTGGAAGACAGTGTGGTGATTCCTCAAGGATCTAGAACTAGAATTACCATTTGACCCAGAAATCTCATCACTGGGTATATACCCAAAGGATTCTAAATTATGCTACTATAAAGACACATGCACACATATGTTTATTGCAGCATTATTCACAATAGCAAAGACTTGGAACCAACCCAAATGTCCACCGAAGATAGACTGGATTAAGAAAATCTGGCACATATACACCATGGAATACTATGCAGCCGTAAAAAAGGATGAGTTCATGTCCTTTGCAGGGACATGGATGAAGCTGGAAACCATCATTCTCAGCAAACTATCGCAAGGACAGAAAAACCAAACACTGCATGTTCTCAATCATAGGTGGGAATTGAACAATGAGAACACTTGGACACAGGTTGGGGAGCATCACATATTGGGGCCTGTCATGGGGTGGGGGCGCTGGTGGAGGGATAGCATTAGGAGAAATGCCTAATGTAAATGATGCGTTGATGGGTGCAGTAAACCAACATGGCACATGTATACCTATGTATCAAATCTGCACGTTGTGCACATGTACCCTAGAACTTAAAGTTCTTAAGTCCTTCCCAGTTTATGGAGGCTGCACACTTGAGTGCTTATGTGTTCTGAAATGATTTTTTTGACATATCCAGCCTAATTGTAATATATTTAATGATAAGTCTCTGCTCCAACGTGAACATGAGTTGTATGTTACATATGTGTTTGTTCAATACATATGTGTCAAGATCACCTTCATGAATATACATAGCTCCTCCTGTAACTTGTTAAATATGTATCCTTAGCCAACTCATTCAGCATAAATCTCCTACCCCAATCTTCCTCTATTTGAAGTGCCTTTTTCTGGGCTTTGGTTGGAGCCTGTGCTTCCTGGCTTGCGGGATAACAATCTTGCAGGTTGTAACCATTTATAAAAACTGAAGTCTCCTTTCCAAACTTAGTGTGATTTTTAAGCTAACACATATATTAAATACATGTATGTAAATATATGCAATAGATCCAAAAATTATTCTCTTCTTTATGCAGTTAATAAAATCACATGAAAGGAGTGGCCAAAATGGCTGACTAGAGGCAGCTAGTGTGCATGACTCTCAAAAGGAGGAATGAAAGGGGCAAGTAAATACAGCACCTTCAACTGGAACATCCAGGTTCTCACATTGGGACTAATCAAGGAAACAACTTGACCTCCAGTAAATGGAGAAAAGCAAGGCAGGACAACAACCCAGCCAGGACTGACAGGGAGCCAAGGGAACCACTCCCATCCGGGGATGCTGTGAGTGAACACGTGACCCTAGGAACCCATGCTTCTGCCATGAATCTTTGCATCCCTCAGGTCCAAGATCCCCTCATGAGCTCACTCCAACAATCTGACACACAGAGTGTGAATTCTTGGCAGAGCAGCCTGATAGACCTGATAGAGGTAAAATGTACACTACAAGAATGTCATAATGCAATCACAAGTATTAATAGCAGAATAGAGCACATGGAGGAAATAATCTCAGAACTTTAAGACTGGCTTTCTGAAATAAGACTGGCAGGCAAGAATAGAGAAAACAGATAAAAAGGAATGAGCAAAACCTCCAAGAAATATGGGATTATGTAAAGAAACCAAATGTACAATTGATTGTGTACAAGAAAGAGATGGGGAGAATGGAACCAACTTGGAATACTTATTTCAGGATACATTATCCATGAGGACATTCCAACTGAGCTAGGGAGGCTAACTTTCAAATGCAGGAAACGCAAGGAACTCCAGTAAGATATTCCACAAGAAGATCATCCCCAAGGCACATAATCATCAATTTCTCCAAGGCCAAATTGAAAGAAAAAATGTTAAAGGCAGCTAGAGAGAAAGGCCAGATCGCATACAAAAGGAAGCCTATAAGACTAATAGCAGAACTTTCAGCTAAAATCCTAAGGCAGAAGAGATTGGGGACCAATATTCAACATTCTTAAAGAGAAGAAATTCCAACCCAGAATTTTATATCCAGCCAAACTAAGCTTCATAAGCAAAAGATAAGTAACATCCCTTTCAGACAAACAAATGCTGAGGAAACTTTTTACCAACAGACCTGCCTTACAAGAGCTCCTGAAAGAAGCACTAAATATGAATAGAGAAGACCATTATCAGCCACTACTAAAGCACACTGAAGTACATAGACCAGTGACACTATAAAGCATTTACATAAGTGAGCCTGCAAAATAACCAATTAACATCATGATGACAGAATCAAATTCACAAATATCAATACTAATCTTAAATGTAAATGGGCTAAATGGCCAAATTAAAAGACACAGAGTGGTAAGCTGGATAAAGAACCAAGACCCAATGGTATGTTGTCTTCAATAGACCCATCTCACATGCAAAGCACACATAGGTTCAAAATAAAGGGATTGAGGAAATTTACCAAGCAAATGGAAAAAAGGAAGAGCAAGGGTTGAAATCTAATTTCTGAAAAAAAAAAAGGAGTTTAAACCAATAAAGATAACAAAATACAAAGCAGGCATTACTTAATGGTAAAGGGTTCAATTCAACAACAAGATCTAACTATCCTAAATATATATACACCAAAATACAGGAGCACCTAGATTCAGAAAGCAAGTTCTTAGAGACCTTCAAAAAGACTTATATTTTCACATAATAATAGTGGGAGACATTAACACCCCACTGACAATATGAGACAGATCATAGAGACAGAAAATTAACAAAGATATTCAGGACCTGAACTCAGCATTAAATCAAATGGACCTGATAAGACACCTACAGAACTCTCTACTCCAAAACAATAGAATATACCTTCTTCTCATCACCACATGGCACTTACTCTGAAATCAATCACATAATCAGAAGTAAAATACTCCACAGCAAATTCAAAAGAAATGAAATAATAACAAACAGTGTCTCAGACCACAGAAACAATAAAATTAGAAATCAATATTAAGAAATTCATCCAAAACGATACAATTACATGGAAATTGAATAACCTGCTCCTGAATTACATTTGGGTAAATAATAAAATGAAGGCAGAAATCAAGAAGTTATTTGAAAACAATGAGAACAAAGATACAATATAGCAGAATATCTGAGCACAGCTAAGGCAGTGTTAAGAGGGAAATTTATAGCTCTAAATGCCCATATCAAAAAGGTAGAAAGACCTCAAATTTACAACATAACATCACAACTAAAGGAACTGGAGAACCAAAAGCAAACAAATCACAAAGCTAGCAGGAGACAAGGAATAAGCAAAATCAGATCTGAACTGAAGGATATTAAGACATGAAAATCCATTCAAAAGATCAACTAATACATAAACTGTTGTTTCTTGAAAAAACTAATAAAATAGACCACTAGCTAAACTAATAAAGAAGAAAATATAGAAGATTTAAATAAACACAATCAGAAACTACAAGGGGGATATTACCACTGACCCCACAGAAATACAACCAACCATCAGAGAATATAATGAACAACTCTGCAAACATCTAGAAGAAATGGTTAGATTCCTGGACACATGCACGCTCCCAAGTCTGAACCAGGAAGAAATTGAATCCCTGAACAGACCAATAATGAGCTCTGAAATACAGGCAGTAACAAATAGCCTACCAACCAAAATAAGCCCAGGACCAGATGGATTCACAGCTGAATTTTACCAGATGTACAAAGAAGAGCTGGTACAATTCCTACTAAAACTATTTTTAAAAAATTAGGAGGAGAGACTCCTCTCTAACTTATTCTATGAGGCCAATTTCCTCCTGATACCAAAACCTGGCAGGGATACAACAACAACTACAACAACAACAACAAAAACTTCAGGCCAATATCCTTGATGAACAGTGATGCAAAAACCCTCAACAAAATACTGGCAAACCGAACCAGCAACCCATCAAAAAGCTTATCCAGAAATGTCAAGTAGTCTTCATCCCAGGATTCAAGGTTGACTCAACATGTGCAAATCAATAAATGTGATTTCATCATATAAATAGAACTAAAGATAAAAAACACATAATTATCTCAATAGATGAAGAAAAGGCTTTCAATTAACTTCAACATTCATTTGTGTTAAAAACTCTCAATAAACTATGTATTGAAGGAACATACCTCAAAGTAATAAGAACCATATATGACAAATGCACAGCTAACATCATATTGAATGAGCTAACCTAGAAGCATTCCCCTTAAAAACCGACCCAAGACAAGAATGCCCACTCTTACCATTCTCATTCAAAATAGTATTGGAAGTCCTGACCAGGTCAATCAGGCAAGAGAAATAAATAAAGAATATCCAAATAGGAAGAGAGAAAGTTAAGTTATCCCTGTGCAGATGACATGATTTTATACCTAGAAAACCCCTAGTCTCAGCTCAAAATCTTCTTAAGCTGATAAAGAACTTCAGCAAGTCTCAGAATGCAAAATTAGTTTGCAAAAATCACTAGCATTCTTATATAAAAATAATTATCAAGCCAAGAACCAGATCAGGTCAGAGCTTTTATTCACAATTGCCACAAAAGAATGAGATATTTAGAAATGCAGCTAACTAGGGAGTTGAAAGATCTCTACCAGGAGAACTACAAGCCACTTTTCACAGAAATCAAAGATGGCACAAACAAATGGAAAAACATTCCATGTTCTTTGATAGGAAGAATCAACATTGTTAAAATGGTCATACTGCCCAAAGCAATTAATAGATTCAATGCTATTCCTATTAAACTACCATTAAGATTTTTTACAGAACTAGAGAAAAACTATTTTAAAATTCAGTTGGAACCAAAAAGGAGCCCAAATAGCCAAGGCAATCCTAAGCAAAAAGAACAAAGCTGGAGGCATCATGTTGCCCTTCTTCAAACTATGCTATAGGGCTAACCAAAACAGTATGGTGCTGGTACTACAACACACACATAGACCAGTGGAACAAAATAGAGAACACAGAATTAAGACTGCACATATACAATTGTGTGATTGTCAACAAATCTTGCAAAAATAAGCAATGGGGAAGCATTCTGTATTCAATAAATTGTGCTGGGATAACTGGCTAGCCATACCCAGACGATTAAAATTAGACCCCTTCCGTACACCATATACAAAAATTAACTCAAGGTGGATTAAAGACTTAAATGTAAAACTCAAGCCTATATTAATCCTGGAAGACAACCTAGGCAATACCATTCACAACATAGGCACAGGCAAAGATTCCATGACGAAGATGACAAAGGCAATTACAACAAAAACAAAATTGATAAATAGGATTCAATTAAACTAAAGAGCTTCTGCACAGCAAAAGAAACTATCAACAAGGTAACAGACAACCTACATAATGGGAGAAAATGTTTGCGAAGTACACATTCAGCAAAGATCTAATATGCAGCAACTGTAAAATCTTAAACAAATTCACAGGAAAAAAACGAACAACTCCATTAAAAAGCTGGCAAAGGACATTAACAGACATTTTTTAAAAGAAGACATACATGTGTCCAACAATCATATGAAAATAAGCTCAACATCATTGATCATTAGAGATATGCAAATCAAAACCACAAGGAGATAAAATCTCACACCAGTCAGAATGGCTGTTATTAAAAAGTCAAACAATAACAGATGCTCCAAGGTTTTGGGAAAAAAGAACACTTATACACTGTTGGTGGGAGTGTAAATTAGTTCAACTATTGTGGAAGACAGTGTGGCAATTCCTCAAAGACCTGAAGACAGAAATACCATTCAACCCAGAAATCCCATTACTGGATACACACCCAAAGGAATACAAATCGTTATATTATAAAGACACATGCACAGATGTGTTCATTGTGGCACTATTCACAATAACAAAGACATGGAATCAACCTAAATGCCCACCTATGATAGGCTGGATAAAGAAAATGTGGTAGAAATATACCATGGAATACTATGCAGCCATAAAAAATGAGATTATGTTCTTTGCAGGGACATGGATAGAGCTGGAGGCCATTATCCTTAGCAAACTGGCATAGGAACAGAAAACCAAATCTTGTGTGTTCTCACTTGTAAGTGGGAGGTAAATGATGAGAACACACAGACAGAGGGGAACAACACACATTGTGGCTTTTCCAGTTTTCATGTGGGAGGCACAAGAGGATCAGGAAAAATAAGTAATGGATACTAGGCTTAATACCTGGGTGATGAAATAATCTGTGCAACAAACCCCCATGACACAAGTTTACCTACAAAACAAACTTACACATGTCCCCCAAACTTAAAAAAAAATTACAAAAATAAAATCATGTGCCAATATATTAAATTCTATGCAACCTGCTTCAATTTGATTTGCTATTTTTGTTTTGGGAAAGGTAAAAACCCTTTTTAATATAACAGACACTGCTTATTAACATAGGTAGTCAATTGTATACCCCTCAGCCAAAAATATTTTCCTGTCAAATTTATTCTATTGTATTTTACCATTTCTTTATCCATGAGATCTGTATTTCATCACCTTGGGAATTACATTATTGACTACTAAAATCTCCCAGAGACATATTTTCATACAACATGTAGTGAAGACAACTTAGCCCACTGACTATAAAGTCATACAAATATGATGATTTTAGATTAAGAAAATATAAAAAGATGAGAACTGCATTTGCCATATATTACTACGTAGGTGAGCATTAAGAAGAACTCAGGAATAAACAAAATCCATCATTTACTTTTATGCCTTTTATGGGGCATCGATTTGCCTGTCAATTACTGAGCATGTAGCATGTGCCAGTTTTTGTGCATAGCACTTTACAGATTATCTTTTATCCCTATAATATTATTCAAGTTAAATATTTTCATGCCTTATGAAGCAATTTAGAAATGTTTATCTATAAGCAAATGCTCATATATATATATAAAATTGTATTTCATTGCTGGTATTTGAAAACTGTATAATTATATTATTGGCAACTTATATACTTTGCGTATTTATCCCTGCTCAAATCTCATGTTGAATTGTAATTCCCAGTGCTGGAGGTGGGGTTTGGTGGGAGGTTTTGGGATCATGGCGGCAGATCCCTCATTGCTTGGTGCTGTCTTCATGATAGTCAGTTCTTGAGAGATCTGGTCATTTATAAGTGTGTGACACCTCCCTCCCCCCACTCTCTCTCTCTTGCTCCCATTCGTTCTCACCATGTTATGTGACTGCTTCCCCTTTGCCTTTCACCATAATTGGAAGCTTCTTGAGACCTCTCCAGAAGCAGATGCTCCTATATACACTTCCTTTACAGACAGCAGAACCGTGAGCCAAATTACCCAGTCTCAAGATTTCTTCACAGAAATACAAGACCAGCCTGATACAGCAACTAAGCCAAGAATCAAACTAGTAATGTTCAGAGTACAATAAATACATAATTATCCACTGAACTTAACTTCATATTTTTCCAAATATTAATAAAATTAATAATATAATTATATTATATTATTAATAAAATGAAATTGTATTATATTATTTTACCAGTCATGTGGGTGTGAATATATCAGACAGTATATGATTTCTATTTCTAACCAACAACCATTTCTTTCATTCTTTTTTATTAGCAGAATCTGATTTTGTTCAGTTATCTACTGTAAAAACATAACAACCCTCTCCTAAATTTAAAAGTAAATCTGCTTTAGGGTAAACTCATTATGGAAATCTCAAACCATTTACAGATGATTAATGTAGGACTGGCATGTGAAAACAGTTCCGTCCAATGGGAAGTGAAGAAATGTCAGCAAGAGGGTTTCTTGGAAACATGTCTGTTTTTAAAGTAACTAAATTGGAGGAAGCTGCACCTTATTTTCCCCACTGGACATTATTGTGTTTTTGTGTGATGCATGGAACTGCAGCACCCAGTGTGTGACAGTAGGAGACTTAGAAAGAAGACAAGACCAGTGTTCTGAGAATGGCAGAGATAAAAAGGGTTCTAAGGTTCTCAGTCATTTTTTTGAACATTTGGGGTAATATTTCATAAAGTTCTACTATCAGGCCTTTTCATTATAAGACAGAAAAATTTAATTAAACTTATTTCAAGTTAAATACTTTGTTACCTGTAGCTGTGGGGCATTCTATTTGTTACAGTGTACAAAGCACAAAGTCTAAATGGACTATTAAGAGATGAAATTGATTTGATCTATGATTTGTTTTACATGTGCTCTTTTTGGGATTCTGCAACCAATAGTATTTCATTTGCTTACTAAATAATTTATTCTAATAGTACTCAAATTCAAATTATAATACATAAAAATATATAATATCTCAACTAGATAAGATTATTTTAGTATGTAAATAATTCAAAGTATACCTAGAATACTTTGAAAATTACTTTTTTCCTGAGGTTTTTCTGGTTATCATCTGTAGGTTTCCATAAATATCCCAGTCAATGAAATTCTTTAAAACTCACAAGAATCGAATGAATGTGTTAAACTTTACCAAATATAGAAATAACTTTTCACATTTATCTGATCTGAAGTCCTTTAGGATATATGAGAAAAATATATTGCAAATTCAATGAATAATAAGTCAAAAACTGGGCAATTCAAAGATGAAAGTGATTTGTAAATATCAAAGATGACATAAAAGCACAGATGTGGGAATTTACAAGGCCTTTTATAATCTAGCTTCTTTTTACTTTCCTTCCCTTACCCCACGCAGTATTTCATCCTCATCTCTCCCCTCACCCATTCTCTGCATCAGAATTATTGAATTTCTTTCCATTTCTCATTGAAGCCAAAGTTTCTCTCAACTAAAGTTTTTGTTTTAGCTACAGAACCTTCTTCCGGAAACATTCATTCTCAAATCTCCATTTGATCAGCTTATATTTCATTCACTTCTCAGATTAGTTACCACTTTCTCTTTGGAGCTTTTCCTGACATAATGCAAGGTGTTTAGGCACCTTCCTATTTAGAGTGTACCCTCTATTATTCCCATTATACCACTAATTCCATTATATTGAATTTGACTGTTTTAACAGACTGTGAGCTATAGGAAATTGAGTGTGTGTTTGACTTGTTTACCTAACACAGTGCCTATTACTTTGTGGATACTTAATAAATACCTGTAGTTTTTCTGAATTAATAATAATTATTCTCAGTAATGATGCTGGCATTTTGGAGTTTATGGGAGAAAATATTACACAGAGAATGGGATTAGAGACTTATAATTCACACTCACTGGCAGATCATTGCAATGTTTTCAGGATGAGGGACCCCACAGAGTTGTAAGCTAATTTTATAAATACCAACAGCTATTCAGTATGTTATTTTAACTTTCTACTATATATAAGACACCATGCTAGGTGCTGCTTAAACAGTGATGAATAGGACCTTGGTTTCTCTGCCTTTAATGAACTTACAATCTGTAGAATGAATGTATGAATAATGTGTCATTGTTTCTGAGCAGGAATTGTTTAGGGTAAAGTATTTGTAGTTACTGTAATTCCTCAGATACTCTTTTTCTTTCCCCAACCCATTTCTCTTCCATTAATAACTTTATCCAAGGAGTTTACATTTAGCTACCGAGAGGGATAACTTGACTATCATGCTCACAGCTACATGATTTATCTACTAGTTTTGATGTGGTAAATTTTCATGTGTTCTATCTTAAATTGTTTACCTTGTGATAGATTTACAAACAGATAATGAGAGGGGAGAAATGTATCAGACCCTTAATTAAAGGGTGGTTCTAAGAACCATGTTGTAAAACATGAACATGTTGTACAACTATTCAAAAGGTTTTCTTTCTTCATATCCACGTTCTATAGGCTTTTCTCTATTCTTTGAAAATAAAAACAGATTGGCTGAAATGGTTGAGCAATAACATAATTGAACCTCTCTTGGCACAAATATTCAGAATGTTTTTGTTAAATTAACATTGGCCCAGGTAATATAAGCACTACTTGACATATTAGATAACAATAAAAATAGATGCTTTATTACTAAGAAAAAATGTTACATAATGTTGAAATGAATTACAACTCGGTTAAGTAATGACCATTTGTATTATGAATACTCATCTTCTGAAGAGCCAGAAATGATAAATCCGGGCTAGCACAAAGTGAAAGAATAAGAAATATTTGCACATTATAAACTGGACTCCATTTTCTTATTAGTGAGACTTAAATCAGCCTTTATATTGAGCATAGAGACTGAGCTCTGCATGTCCAGAATATCTTTTTTGGGAAAACAAGTCTTATTTAGGACACACATCAAATAAACCAGAACAAATAAAAGGAAATACTTACCTATTTTAAAAATTAGAAATATATATATTTTTTCTGTTTTGTTGTGACTAAAATCATTAAAATAACTACTTATAAAGAACCTGTGTAATAACAAAAATATGTATCACGGATAATGCTACTATACTAACCAAATTATTGTTATTAATAACTATATTTGTTTCTCTTTCCAGGCTTCTAAGTTTTTAAAAATATCATTGTTTATTTCTCAAAAATCTTTAGAGAGAGAGAGAGGGTGACACACATACACACCTACATAAATAGTCATATGCCACTTCACAATGGGGACACCTTCTGAGAAATGTGTTATGCAATTTTGTCATTGTACAAACATCATAGCATGTACTTACACAAATGTAGATGGTATAGTCTCCTACACACCTAGCTGATTGCTAAGTGTGATAGTTTATTGCTCCTAGGCTACAAACCTTTACAATATGTTGCTGTATGTAGTACTGTGGGCAATTGTAATGCAATGGTAAGTATTTGTCTATCTACACATATCTAAATATAGAAAAGACACAGTAAAAATACAGTATAAAAGATTTTAAGAAATGGTGCCCCTGTGTAGGGCACTTACCATGAATGGAGCTTGCAGGACTAGAAGTTGCTCTGTGTGAGTCAGTGTGTGAGTGGTGAGTGAATGTGAAGGCCTAGAACATTACTGTACACTACTGCAGATTTTATAAACACTGTACACTTAGGCTACACAAAAATTTAAAATAAATTTAATAAAAATTTGTTGTTATTGAATGTTAGCTTACTGTAACTTTTTTACTTTATAATCTTAATTTTTTAAACTTCTTTACTCTTGTAATTACACTTAAAACAAGAACATGTTGTACAACTATTCAAAAGGTTTTCTTTCTTCATATCCTTGTTCTATAGGCTTTTCTCTATTCTTAAAGTATATTTATTTATTTGACTTTGTAAGTTATTTTATTAAAAACGAAGACAGACACACATTAGCTTATGCCTACACAAGGTCAGGATCATCAGTATTACCACCTGCCACATTCACATCTTGTTTTTCTGGAAGATCTTTAGGAGCAATAACACACATAGAGCTGTCATCTCCTATGAGGATAATGCCTTTTAGAGGACCTGCTTAAGTCTGTTTTACAGTTCACCTTTGCTTTCATAAGTAGAAGGTGTATATTCTAAAATAACAATAAAAAGTGTAATGTAAATACATAAATCAGTAACATAGTAATCATTATGATTATCAATATTATGTACTCTACATAATTGTATGTGCTACATTTTTGTATGACTGGCAGAACAGCAGATTTGTTTAGTATACTATTATCACCAAAAAAATGTGAATAATGTATTTTATTACAACATCACTAAGTGAAAGGAATTTTTCAACTTCACTATAATCTTATTTGAACTACCTTCATATATGTGTCCTGTAGTTGACTACAACATTATTATGTGTTGCATAACCCATTTATTATTTATTTATTAATTTATATATATATATATATATATGTATAAAGCTTGGTTTTTCCCTTCATCTGGGGCTCGTCCTCTCTCTTAGAATATCTGGTAATTTTAGGTTGATTATAATTTTCTCTTACTCTCTTTAGAGGTTCCAGATGATGTTTCTAAGGGAAAAATAGACAACAGAAAAAGACTCAGATGATCCAGCTGTAGGAGGTTATAGCCTATAAGTTTAATAGAGTTGCAATTACCATACTTAGGAAAATGTGAAAAAGAAATGGAAGAAAAAGAAATGATTTGGAAATTTATTAGATTGAAACATGGAGAATACTTGAGAGAGTCTGATATACCCTGTGGAGTTTATGGTTGCACTTGAACATAGACTGAGTGAACATAGACACTGACTATTTTCTTTTGTTAATTTCAAAAGTAGGAAAGTGGCTAGAGGAGCCTGCCTCTTTAGAAATTAAAGACAGGGCCAAAATAAGGCATCTTGTACTCCCCTATGGAAAGAAAACTGGAGTTTGCCAAATGTATGCCACTATAGGTTGTTGAGGTCAAACTGTCTTTAGGCAAACTGTCCCTGCAAATGAGAATAAGTCTTCTTACGTACCTTCAGGAACAGTAATTATGCAAGTAGGAGTCTAAAAGTTTCATGCAAGAATATTGGCATTTGCCAAATGTATGTATGCATTGTTTTTCCAAATAAGATTTAGATATTGTTTGTAATGAGATCTTACAATGATGCAAAAAATTAATAGTTAATAACATTATGGTTATTTCTGCGAATGGTAAGGGTTACTGATGTCCCAACCATGTTATAAAAAATCCTATTTAAATAAATTTCTTAAAGTAAATAAAAATAATATAGCATATACATTTGTATATGAATATAGTGCATAGCACATACAGAATTTTCCTCACCGTAATTTTCATAACTTAGCTCAAGACAAGAGCTGAAATATTTTTCCCCTGAAAAAAATAAGTAAAATGAAATAAAATGAAATGCAGTAATATAAAGCAAAACAAAGAGAGTCATAGCAATTTTCAACATAATGCAAACTAATGTCATAAGAATAATTTTGGGTTCTTTGGAGGACCTATGGAAAACTCAGCACTTTCTGTTCACCTGATAGGTGTATTTGAAATAGCATTCACCTATGTCAGAAAGACCTAGACTAAAAGTAACTTCTTAATACTAGTAATTCAAGTAGTTGATAATTTATTCTGGTTAGTCACATAACATATCTTGCATTAGTTTCCTCATATGTCATAGAAAATAAGATTATATCAAGATAAAATTTTACAAAATAACAAGAAAAGCCAATATCATAGTGCCCGAACAGATTAGCTAAGTAGTAGATATGTATTAGTCCATTTTCATGCTGCTATAAAGAACTACCTGAGACTGGATAATTTAGAAAGAAAAGAGGTTTAATTGACTCACAGTTCAGCACGACTGAGGAGGCCTCAGAAAAATTACAATCATGGCAGAAGGCGAAGGGGAAGCAAGGCATCTTTTTCACAAAGCAGCAGGAAGGAGAAGTGTGGACTAAAAGCCACACTTTTACTGGAAAACCAAAAGCTTCCAGTATAAGGGAAAAGCCAAAAGCCCCTTATAATATAATCAGATCTCATGTGAACTCAGTCACTATCATGAGAACAACATGGGGAAAACCGCCCCCATGATTCAATTATCTCCACCTGGTCTCTCCCTTGACACATAGAGATTATGGGGATTATGGGGTTTACAATTCAAAATGAGATTTGGGTGGGGACACAAAGCCTAACCATATTAGTATAGGAACTCTTCTTATCATCATCAGTTCCCTTTCCTAAATTTTTTGTTCCACATTCTTTTTTATTTCTAGCTGCTGAAATCCTACACTTACCTCAAGACTAAACTTAAATTTTGCTTCCCATATTTACCCAATTGTAAATAATAATTTCCACTAATAGCCTATGAAAATTATAAATACAAAACTAATAATTAGAAAAAAAGGTCAACACCTTTTAAAGCCTTTATTTCAAGATACAGGCTCAAGTATTAAGAGAAAAATAAATTGATTGCTGACATGATTACTACATTACTTCCTTTCACAAAACACTTATTTTTATGAAACTGATAATTTGATTTTAAAAATGGGGGAGTTCTACTTTACATTTCATGATTTTTTTCAAGGTGTTAAAAATTACACCCACCTCCTTATACACAGCACACAATTATTAAAAATAATTCAGTGCTCCGTAGTTTATTTTTAAAGGGAGAGGGAAAAGGCTGGTATGCCATTTTGTATAAGTAGAGTGTTTCATACTTATAATAATAATAATAATAATAATAATAATAATAATAAACTTCTCACATAAAGAACAAATTAGCTGCACTGGGAAGACTTGGAAGATAAGTGATCTATAACTGCAGATGTAGCTGCCTCTCCAGTTCTAACTCTTGGTAACTTAGAAGCTGCACTTGGAAGATATTACACTTTGCCAGAGTAAGTCCTCCTCCGTTTTAATGAGCTGAAATGTACTTCTGCGTCTGTGCGATTGGATAAATTCCTATCTGGACAAGAAAGGGCTATTAAAGTTAAAGAGGCCAGAGTATAGCAAAAACTTGAATAATGTTAAATACTAAAGTCTTCATGCACATAATGATTCTTCCTAACATTAATGGATTTTAATGAAATGTATGGAATTGATGTATCTGTAATTATTATCCTTATTTTTAAGAATAGGTGCATCCATTAAGTATGAATTTTTATTTTTTTATGTTAGAAACCTTGAATATTAAAAATGTAATAATCAAACATTGCTTTTGTTCCTACAGTAAGATCAAATCAAACAAACAACATAAGAACTTGGCACCAGTAAGTTATAAAGGAATAAGTACACAAAGAAAAATGTATCAAATGTGTCTTGGAATTATCAGAAGCTGTTTCAAGAAGGTCCCTTATTCTTAGTCGCTAACATTTTCTTTACCTTTTACTCAAATCTTTCTTTAATTATAATGGAAAAGTGTGATCATTATGTCCATAAGCAGCTATGATCACTTGAGAAAGACAAAATCTAGCAGTTGGCAATACTAGATGATTGAACAGTTTCCTTTGGCACTATTTGTCTCAAGTAAAAGGATCTGGAATTTATAGATATGAAATGCATTAATAAAGGGAGGGTGATAAAAGGCCTCATCTTAACATGATGTTGGCAACCTTAGCAGTGATAAAATATTTTTTATTTGCATTAGTGGTTTTCATGGAAATGAATAGTTCAACTAACTGAAAGTAATGCTATTTTATATCCAACTAATTACTCATAAAAAGTCAAAACGTCAATATAATTTATAACAGCAAATTACATCAAAATATGAAAGATTTGCTTCTTCTTTATAAATGATTGCATAAAATGCCTTTGAAGACAAGCATTCATATTCCAGAAATGGGCTATGTTGAGAAGGCATTTAACAGAACTTGAGAAGATGACAAAATCTGTAAGTATAGTGATTCTAAGTTACCAAGAGTTAGAACTGGAGAGGCAGCTACATCTGTGGTTATAGATAAGCTCCTTTAAGGTTCTTTCAGGGAATGAACCTTCCTTTTTAACACTGTGGACCAAGGAGAAAACAGATATTTTCTTTCATAACCCCGTGTAAATCTGAAGATAGTTTAAGATCTAAAGAGCCTGGGAGTAGGCCAAGCACAGCAGTGAATGCCTGTAATTCTAGCTCTTTGAGAAGCCAAGACAGGAAGATTATTTGAGGCCAGGAGTTTGAAACCAGCCTGGGCATTATAGACCCACATTTCTAAAAATATAGAAATTAGCTGGGCATCAAAGCACATGCCTGTAGTGCCAGCTACTTTTCAGGAGACTAAGGTGGATGGATCACTTGAGCCCAGGAGACTGAGGCTGCAGTGAGAGTTAACTTCAGCCTGAGTGACAAAGCAAGAACTTGTCTTAAAAAAAAAAGATAAAGAACATGCATGAGTCCTGAGATGATAAAGAAGCTGAGAGAGGTCTAAAACATTACGAACTTTTTAGGTTTGTAACATGTTAATAATGAAGAAATCCAAACCAAATTATAAAATTGCTGTTCTTTAAATGTATTATAAACAAATTTACATCTTAATACATAATACATGAATATGACTATTGCATATATGGCATCTTTTAGTTTGTCATTAATAACCTAAATCATTAACTTCCTTAGAAATATGAGACCTGGGGCAAATGACCAATTTTCCTGCTTTGTGTGGGTCCTGGATTACTTTCCAGAATTTTTTTTTTTTTTTTAAGAAAGAGTGTCATTATGTCGCCCAGGCTTGAGTGCAGTGGTGTGATCTTGGCTCACTGCAACCACTGCCTTCCAGGTTCAAACGAATTTCATGCCTCAGCCTTTGGAGTAGCTGGGACTACAGGTGCGTGCCACCATGCCCAGCTAATTTTTGTATCTTTTAGCAGAGATGGGGTTTCACCATCTTGGCAAGGTTGGTCTCGAACTCCTAACCTCAAGTTATCCATCCGCCTCTGCCTCCCAAATTGCTGGGATTACAGGCATGAGCCACTGCACCTGGCCCAGAATTTCTGCCTTGTTGCAAATGGATCTTAAGAATGGAAAGTGCATCTCTGAAATGAGTGCCTCCATGGGGAAGACACTATCTTTCACACTCATTACAAATGAACATCTTCTCTTTTATTCACACTTTAAATTTTCTGTGAGTGAAAGGCTGATTCCCTTTTCTTTCTTCCCTATTACCTGTATCTAATTTTCTGGCAGAAAAAAAATTTAAATGATTAAAATGCCCTAATATTATGCACAAACCACAAAAGAGAGAGAACAAAAATAAGATCATTTGCTTACAAGTGGCAGGCTAGCAAATGAGAACTCTTTGCTTTTATAAAGCTAATAAGTCTCAAGTGCTAATAATCCGAAGATTTGAACTTTTGGAAATTAAAAGTTTTTTTTTCTCATTTTATGTCGAAAACTCCTCAACAGTCTTATAAATTATTTTATTAGTAATTATAGTTTACATCTATCCTGGGTCACATTCACTTTGGGGTAAATTTCTGTACACAGATCCTGCTATCTAATTTGCCATATTCACCACCTATTATTTATAATGACGAATTAAAATAGAGGTATGTGGCAATGTTAAAATATCATTCACTAGTAACTTATGACATATATGCATATATATATATTATATATATATATATATATTTGCACAAAGATGAACTAGACCATTCAGATTACTCCCGTGAGTATTTGTAATCTGGCATCATTCAGTGACTGAGGTAGCTGATATTGTGTCCAGAAGCTGGTCTAACTGAAAAAATTACTTGATTTAGGAATAAGATTGAAAATAAGATTTAGGGTTGTGGGCAAGCATACATGATGAGGGAGCAGACCCATCAGTAACCAGAAGAAGCTGGCTTATAGAGGAAAGAGAACCAAGCACAGGAAGAAAAGATGCTATCTAGGCCCTGAAAGGGGGAATCTTCATAATTTTTGACATTTTTTCTTGTCTAGTCGTCATGGATTTTTGTCAGTAAACACTACATTTTTCTTAAAATGACTTGAACCTGGGTCAGTGCTAGCTTTTATAGAAACCTAACTAAATCATTGTCAGTTCATATTATTTACATAGGCTTGACCAAACAACATTTTGAGTAAATCCTGTAGGGGTGATTAAGATGAGTATTCTTTGTTCTCCACCTCATTTTATGACCGGGATTCCATTGAGGTCACCTTTAGAAACAGTTGATTTAAATTTGATATCAAAGTCATTGGTGATTGAGCAACTTCAGCTTCAGTGAAGAGATTGAAATTTTCAGCAGCTTTGATGAGGAGATTCAAGGTTGATGGGTATCTAACAGATTGTTTCATTAAAAAAATCTCAAGAATGATTGATGTAATTGGCAAATAATTGTTTGTGAGAAGCTGTCCCATCCAGGCGGCTCCAAACCTAGGAACAAGTAGCTTGAGTAAAACCGTAAAAGGAACCCAGTACAAATGCATCTTTTAGTTTATGTTTATCAGTAATTTACTAAGTACCTGCTGGGTACCAGGCACTGTGCTAGTTGTTAAGCATTCACTGGAGCAAAAATAAGCAAACCAACAAAAACACAGGCAAACAAAACTACCAACAAAAAATCTCAGGTTAATTTTGATTAGGTTTTTTTGTTGTTGTTTAGAGATTTGGATTTTGTATCATATCTATTGAAGTAGTATTAAATGGTAATTTTGAAAAGCATTTTGGTTCATAAAGGTTGTATGAAAATATAAAATGCTTTACATGGCAAAGTTAATATATAAAGTCACTAATTGTCAATAATTTGTTAGCAAGAATTAATTTAGTTTAGTAGATTTGAGCAAAGAGAAGATAGTGCTTTTGATAACATTTTCAGCCCACAAGACAGAGCACTGGAGAAATATTCACAACAGGGCCCTTACCAAGGGTCACAAATCAAGAACCATAGGCAACTCTTTTTTTTTTCCTTTAAAGAATAAAACAGACTTGAATTTGGAGTAGACGATAAAAAGTTTAAAGTTTTTACACCTCTATGGGTAATTCTCAAAACTGAAGAAACAGCTTGAAGGTACTGGGTATTGGGCAAGGGGAGGGATGAAATGGGGGAGAAGTAAAAGAGAAATAAATGCTAAAAATGAGTAACACTTAGCAATACAGTGTCAGTGAGAAGCCAGAGGTGTAATGCTGAAAAACTGGTTAGTATTTTGGCTTCATTTGATGGTACTAAGATTCCATAGCCTATTGTGTTGACCATGCTTCCCTAAATTGTGTGTCTTCATGGAAACATTTTTAAAGCCACATGTTGACCCTGGGAATCACCAGGGCAACACATCTTCCCACGATGAGAATTAAAACTCATGAAGAAATATTCCAGTGCCTTTACCTTATGGCAGACATAGGGTGAACCATTCGTTTCTGAATGTAAGAAATTTAAATTAAAAATAATATTATCATGCTAATAATTATCATCTAGTAAAATAATATCCAGAATTGAAACTAGCATTTATATTTTTTTAAAAAATAAGCTGCTTACGGAAGAAAGCAGACTTTCAAATTCAGAACAATGTATAATTTAATTCTCCAAACAGCATCTTAGGCACTAATTGACTTTGAAATGATTTTGCTTTTAGAAAGAGACCTTGTTGAACTCTTACCTCATCTGATAAAACATGCATTAACTTACTGAAAGTAAAGAGAATTATAGCATGATGGAAATAAAGAGCAATATAAATGCTGAATGACAACAATGCCATCTCTACATGACACCTGCTGAGTCTTTGTGGTTGGAAAAGTTCTGATTGCATACTAGGTTACTATTTCTTTTCTTCTATATTACATAAGTGAGATGAAAGTATTTCTGCAAGAAGCAGAAAATGAGTAAGTGCAGAAAAAATTAAATTTATATTGAATATTTAATATACTAGACATAATTGCTAAAAGTGTTATCAGCTGTAGAGTTGTAAGAAACACATACCAGTAGTAAGTCAAGTAAATATGATAGAAAGAAGACAAAAGTGTCAATATGGAAAGGAGTAATGACACAAAAGATAGATGTCTAAACAATCAGCCATATTTTTCGAATATGTGATTTTATGAGAGCAACCAACATGGCCCTGAATTCTGCTGATGGTCATAATAGAGTTCCTGTTGTGTCAGGATTGTGTCTAGCACCTGTGAAAGGAGAAAAATCACACATGCAAGCCTTTATATTGTAAATCAGAGAGGTGTAGAGGGCAAGAAGTAAAACCTGAAACTTTAATTCAGAAGAAGAATATTAGATGCATGAGAGGAGTAAGATCAGTTCTTTTCTCTTCTTTAAGGAAAATGACTCCAATTAAGTCAAACAGGCAAAAAGAATATATTGGCTCACCAACTGGGAACTTCAAAGGGGTAAATGGGCCTTAGATATGACTGAACTCAGCATTAAAACTATGTGATTAGGAAATTTTCTCTTCCTCCATCTCTCAATTTCACTTCCACCCATGTTGGCTTCATTCTCAGTGTTTTGTTCAGAGAAATAAAGAGAATCACCACCAAATGGATTAAATTGTCTTTCAACCTGGAAATCTTAGTGAAAGATTATACATCTTTTCCAAGAGTTTCAGCAAAGTTTCTAAAGATTCTGATTTGTCTGGCTTGTATCATGTGCCCATCAATAATCCAATCACAGTCTAAAGAATGAGGACTCTAATTGGTGGACTTGGATAATGTTTCAACCATTATCTAGGTGAAGGGTTCAGGAGTGAGCAGGTTATAGTCATACACAGACACAAAGTGCTTTTTATAAGAAAAGGGACCAAAAAAGGGGAGCAAAATGCATGATGGGTAGATAATAAACACAGCTATAACAGTTCATTACATCCTGTTTCTCAAAGGGTGGTGTAGTGGGCCATTCTTGCATTGCTATAAAGAAATTCCTGAGACTGAGTAGTTTATAAAGAAAACAGGCTTAATTGGTCCACAGTTCTGCAGGCTGTACAGGAAGCATAGCACTGGCATCTTCTTGGCTTCGGCGGAGGCACCAGAGAGCTTTTATTTATGGGAAAAGGTGAAGCAGGAGCAGGCACATCACATGGCCAGAGCAGGAGCAAGGGTGCTGCCACACACTTTAAATAAGGGTGGCAGGGAGATGCCACACACTTTAAATAACCAGATCTCATGTAAAGTGAACTCACTCACTATCGCAAAGACAGCACCAAGCTAAGAAGGATCTGCCCCCATGACCCAATCACCTCCCACTGGGTCGGACCGCAAATGTTGGAGATTACAATTCAACGTAAGATTTGGTGGTTACACAGATCCAAGACACAATAGGTGATGTGTAAAGGGGCAGTGTCAATATTACCTGGGAGCTCTGTGCAAATGCAGAATTGCTGTGCAGACTTTATACCTACTGAGTTAGAATGTGCATGCTAAAAAGATTCCCAGGTGATTTGTATGCATACTAAATTTTGAATAGCATTCATTGATACTTTCACAGAGAATTATATCCGTATCAAATCTTTACAACACTGCCTTTTGCCAGTTCATATTATTAATCTTTTTTCCTACGCATATCCCTAACTTGGTGGCACAAAGGTCCCAGAATGCCTGACACCTTTCTTCGCAGGCTCTCATATATCAAAATAGTAGAAATAATCCTCATGCAAAGTGACACTTGGTGACAAGTTAGTTTGTTCATAGGATTATAAATACGTATCAATTCCTTTTTCTAGATAAATTTTAATTCAACTCTGTTATTTTACTTATTACTCATTTCCATTTTACTCATTTTCTTTTGCTTTGTGTAAGATTATTTTATAGTGTATGCAGATATAAATTTAGAAGGATTATTTCCATTTTAGTCATTTTCTTTTGCTTTGTGTTTAATTATTTTATAGTGTATGCAGATATAAATTTAGAAGCATTATCAGATGTCCTTTTAGTCAACAGTCTTTACTCAGATCTTGTTTAATTCACTTGATTGGCAATTGTTTTCTCTGCTATTGTCTGGATAATCCCAAATACCCAGACAGGGATTGTCAAACACATTCATTGTTCTTTCTCTTCCTTGCTGTGCTACTGCACTTGCTCTGTGTTAATGTGACATTACTGTTAGAAAGTTTTCAATTTGTCTGTCACTAAAAGTTTCACTGCATTTTTCTGTGGCAGTTTAATCACATGCCCTGGGATGCCTTGTCACTTACTTGCAATCACAGAGCTAAAGTGATTTTGGCATTTCTCACCTGTAAGTTTACCAAAATACACTGCAGCCATTTTTGCATTAAATATGATATTTATTTGTCCTTTAACTTTAAGTAAATAGTAAAGTGATCACTACTTTATTTCTATTTCTAAAGCTTAACTACTCCCATTAGCTACCAAAGTCCTTGCTTCCTGACTCCTGTTTCCTGGAAGATATTTTGCTAAAATGTGACATTTTTGGAAACCAAAAATAGCCTATTCGCCCAAATAGAATGATTTCTGGTGTTGTTATTAGGAAAAATAGAGAAGTAGACATTTAGCCTCAAAGAGTTTAACATGGAAATTTAACGTTTATTTACAATTACCTCCAATTTCCTAACAATCAGACCACTTCAAGAGAAACAACAACAACAGCAGAATCACATGGAAATCATCATACATTTTTGAAGTATGGTGAAATGGGATGCTTCTGAAAGGGTCAAAATTCAAAATGGCTATTTTACACATTTTAATACATCCTTTTACACAATGAAGAAATCAATACACCTACCATGTGTAGGTCTCCAGCCTGTCTCTCATTCCATGGGATAACGTTAATTTCTGCTCCTATGATATTAGTATAACTACCTTGTGGCACAATGTGAAGACAAGACAAACATGCACAAAGTCATGCAATGATTATCTCATCTCTGCTTGGAGGTTGTTTTATCCTTTATGGTGATGAGCAAATACAGGCAGAATGAATAAACGTTAGAACACATTTTCCTTGGTAAAATATAAAATAGCTTATCAGGTTTTAGAATACTAACCAGCCATAATTTTAATTTTATTTAAAATGTAATAAAATATTACATATAATGGAAATAAAATAAAATCTATTTTAATGAAAATACATAATAGAATATTATTCAGCCTTTAAAAAGAAGGAAATACTGCCATATATGAAAACAAAGATTTACCTGGAGACCTTCATGGTAAGCAAAATAAACAAATACAGAATGACAAATCCTGCATGATCTCATATGCAGAATCTGAAAAAGCTGAACACATAGAAATAGGGAGTAGAAAGGTGGTTACCAGAGGTTGGGCAGTGAAGAAAATGGGGAAATTTTGGTCAAAATGTACAAATTTCTAGTTAAAATATGAATAAGTTCTAAAGATTGAATGTACAGCATTGTGACTACAGTAATAATAATATACTGTATGATTGATATTTGCTAACAGAATAGTTCTTATTCTCACCTCACATACACACACAAACCATGTGAGGTCATAGATACATTAATTAGCTTTATTGTGGTAATAATTTCACTATATATAAATATATATTAAAGCATCACATTGTGCACCTTGAATATATGCAATTATTTGTACAATTTATGGTTCCTCAATAAAGCTGAAAAAAATATAAATAGTACTGTTTGTGTGGATAGATCCCATTCTAAATCATACTTTAGTCTGAGTTCAAGGGAAGCAGCAAGAAAGGGAATATCAAATGCTTCATATATGCTAGGCAAGTGAAATGAGAAGAAAATGGATTAGATAATAGTCATCTTAAAGTAAAGTAATTAAAGGGAATTCCTTTCAATATAAGCTATACTTAGCTATCCATAAAACTGGGCTGCATAAACAGGGATGGAAGGGCATGATGTGAACTTTTCAAGCCACTCATTGAGTCATCTCTCATGACTCATGGAAGTTCCCTAAAAATATATATTTTCCATGAATTGCTTAGGCTTTTAGAAATCATTGAGCTTTATGAAACTTTATTAAAAATTTCTGATCTTTCATAAGTAGTCCTAGGGCAATGAGTCTCTGTTAAGATAGATCTTGACCCTTTACCCTTGAGAACTCACTGGTCAATGTGGTAGCCACTAGCCATGAGGCTAATAAAAGCTCTTGAAATGTGAGTAGTTCAGATTAGAATATGCTGTAAATGCAAAATACATGCTGGATTTTGAAAGTTAATTTGAAAAAAAGTAAAATACATTTTGAATGAGTTTTATATTGCTTATGCATTGGTAACAGTTTGCATATATTGGATATTTATTATTAAAATTAATTTCAACTGTTTCATCTCACACTTTAAGTGCAGCTACTAGATAGGATAATAAAAAATTACCTATGTGGCTTCTATTTGTTGCTCACATTATATTTATTTTGCAGTGATGATCTAGATTTTTACTGTTTCTGAAAAAATTTTAACTTGTTTCAAAATTGCTTAATAATACTTAAGTTCTTAGTTAATTAATGAGATATGTTTATCTTCAATATTTCTAGTGAGAATTGAGATGGAAGGACATACACATATCTAATGTGATTTGAAATTAGGAGAATATATAATGCAATGTATTTGATGGTGCAGTGCTTTTAATTTACTATTTGAGCTGTCAAATAACTGAAATATGGAGAATAACAAAGGAGTTACTGTTTAAAAGGGAAAGAGGCAGAAAAATGTTTCCCCTGGGTACTCTTTGGAAATACGAATAACCTTTGCATTCACTTACCACATCTGTGGCTTAGCTAGAGATAATGTTTTATATGTATTAGAAGGAGATACAGTTAGGCTCTCAAAAGGAAGATTAAAAATAAGTCACTAGCATTCTCAATTACATTATAAAGGACAAATCTTTGTTAGTTGTTGAATGAAATAGCCAGTTTATAAAAACTGAGTAATAAGAAAAGACCTTGCATAAGGAAAAAACAAAACAAAACAACAAAACAGTTGGTTTCCTAGGAAGCAATTTGCATAGGTATTCCGCAAAGTTAAGAGTTAGTATTGAATCTTGCATTGTTAAGTAGTTTTGCTCAGGAATTTTATCGACATAATTATGATGTATTTTTCCATTAGAAAACCAATTTTCACTTAAGTGGTGAAATCAAGCTCCAGCTTGATTGTTATGATGAGAAGGATTATGCTGTCAAATCAGATGGATCCATGTAAAAGCAGTGTTTTTGTTTAGACAAATACTGAAAATTATTTGAGTGCAAAAGATCAGGACAACAATAAACTTCTAACTTCATCCAAAAAACTTTAAAGAAAAATTTTCTTTCTTAAATGAGTTTAAAATAGACTACAAAATGTTATGAAGCAGAATTTTTTCATTTTGAATTCAAAAATTTGATTTTGATTTATTTATTAATTACATGGAATACCATATTGATAGTGTTTTTCTTTACTTATATTGTTAATATTTTGTACACTTCCAATATTGCAAGGAAGACCAGACATTCTGATCATATCAGCCTGTTTCTAATAGCACTGCTTATATCACACGGGGAACCATCAATCCCTTCCCTCTCTGTACTGAATGGTGCTTCTGAAATAAATAGGTGAAATGTCATCCTTTCTTTTAGAATATGGCCTAGCTATAATGACTCAACTTTTTTGGGTTTGTTTTTTTTTTTCTGGTAAAACATGGCAGAAGTCACTTTATAGAATGCCTGTAATTTCATAGAATGCCTTTAATTTTATATGATGCTTTCATTGTTTGTAAAGTACATCATGAAACCAGTAGTGGTCAGTGGGATGAATTCATATCCGTGCACACTTTGCTCTTGGACCTTTATTTTAATTCTACCCCAAGATCGCTAAATTTAGTTTTGAGATTTTTTTTTTTCTGGTATTCCATCCTTGGATTTTTACAAGAAACTTATCTTGCCTTTTTGGCTGTGGCAATTCCAGGCTCCAAATCTGCCCCTGCAAATGAAGCAAATACTCACTACATGGCTGAATAGCTGGGCATCCTAACCTAGAGTTTTTTGAAAGGCTATTGTCATTAGTGAGATATGTTTTTCCATGGTTCCTGTGAATTATGGAATTCTGGGAGAACAGTAAAATTACTTAACACAACTGAATTCTGTGATGAAAAATAAAGTGAGTTGGTTATGTTGTTGGTAGGAATTGTGTGTTGGCAGCAATGTGGATGTTCTTTGAGGTGACTCCCATTTTACATAATCCGAAACTAAAAGTTGGGCAGTGTATGCATTATACAGATGAATTTGAAATTGGAGAGCCTTGAAGAACATCCTAAAATCTGGCATCTCCATTAAAAACAATGAGGTTTGAGGGTTGGGGACAGTGGCTCACGACCATAATCCCAGCACTTTGGGAGGCTGAGGTGGGTGAATCACTTGAGGCCAGGAGTTCCAAACCAGCCTGGCCAACACGGTGAAACCCCTTCTCCAATAAAAATACAAATTAGCTGGGCATGGTGGCTCGTGTTTGTAGTCCCAGCTGCTTGGGAGACTGAGGCATGCCTTGTTTGAACCAGGGAGGCAGAGGTTGCAGTGAGCTGAGATTGCACCACTGTACTCTAGCCCGGGCAACAGAGGGAGACTCTATCAAAAAAAAAAAAAAAAAAAGAGGCTTGACAATCCACAGAATTGGAAAAGCACATAGACAAAATGAGTGCGAGGAGCTGTTGTAGTTGGGGGAAGGGGGCAAATGCATGGGATGAAGGATATTAATATATCAATGCAAATAAAGTATGTAAAAGAGTAAGGCCAGGTGGATGATATCATGGAAGTATAGGTATTAGGAAGTATTAAAATATTGTTCTACTGAAAATATGTGTAGATCCTTCCAGCATTTTGAGTTGTTGTGGTTGTCTGACTGGCAGGGACATCACAAAACATGCACAACATGAGGTTAAATTGCTGGTGGAATGCAGTGTCAATTGCATTGAGACCAATTACACTGACAATTGGTGGGCACTTATCTTTCTGAAACTGTATGAGGAGGTAGGCACCACAGAGATACAATTTTTAAAAGAAACATACTTTAAGATTTGGGAACCACTGGATATTAGTTTTTATCTTGACTTGTAGCTGCACTGAGCCCACAGAAATGCAAAAGTAGGAGGGAATTTTTTTTTTTTTTCGTATGAGAAATACTATGTTTTTCACAGTGGAAGAGGAAGCTTTGATGAATGCCTGACAAGTTGATCTCTCTAGACTAGTGCAGATCATATGTCAGACACGGAGAGTTTATAGACCTACTTTGAAGCACATGGTCCCTAGGAAACAAATCCTAGTTATATATAGTTATTGATCATGATAGACCACATTCTCTTCCTTGTTATTGAAAATAAATTCTCCAAAGTAATACTTTTGTTCAGTGCTTTGGGTTAACTAAGGTTGCATAACTGACCACCCCAAAACTCTGTGGCTTTAAATGATAATTTATTATTATCTCTCAGTACTGTGGGTTGGCCAGGCTCAGCTGGGCAATTCTCACTTGAGGCCTCTCATGCTTTTTTTTATAGTTGGATGATGGCTAAAACAGGAATCATCTGGAGGTTCAACTAGGCTAAAAGCCAAAGATGACCTCTTCATTTCTATATTTGTCACCTCTGCAGAATTGGGTGCAACACCTGGAAGATGGTTGGGCATCTAGCTCTCTTTCTACAGTTTCTCCATATGTCTGCTTCAGACTTCCTAACAGTATGGCAATCCTAGGGAAGTCAAATTTCTTAGTGCTGACTGGCTTATCCTAGAATAAGTTTTGCAAAAGCGAAAGTCACAGAAGACATAGGCAGAAGCTGTGAAACGTCTTATAATTTAGCCCTACATGTCCTATAAAGTCACTTCTGCCATGTTTTATATGAAAAACAAGTCACGTTTTGGGTAGGCCATATTCAAGGAAAAAGCAATGAGATTTTACCTCTTGATTTCAGGAACATCATTCAGTATGGTGAATAAAGGGATCATTAGTTTTCTTTGTGACATAAGCAATGCTAGTAGCAGCAGGTTGATATGATCAAAGTGTTTGGGTTCCTGAGAGATTACTGGGTAACGAGTTCTCAGATTAGACAGAAGAAAATTAACAACAACAACAACAAACTTCTTAACATTATCTACATAAAACTTTCCATCCTGTTCCCACAAATGGTATAAGTAGAATATGAATAGTCTTGGGTATCATTGATCACATAGTAAGGGACATGCACAGGCAGTCATCAGCACAACCTTGACTCCTTGGGCCTACTTGACAGGAGCTTGGCCTGTGCAATGATGTAATATCCTCAAGACCATCATGACTTTAGTTTGCAGGCAGGAACTAACCTTCCTGCCACTTCTATTTTTCCTTAGTTCCATTGTCTTCCTTCCTTGCTTACTTTTCTTTATTTTTCCTTATATCCTTTCTTTCTACTCTTACTTAACTATTTTATTTTAATTCAGTGTCTGTTATGTACCAAGCCCTATGCTAGGAATGGGTAAAACAATAGTTCAAAGAATCAGACATGTTTCCTGTTTTCGTGAAGTTAACCTCTTAATGGTAAAACAAAAACAAAACAAAACAAACAAACAAAAACCAAAAAAAATTCCTTAAATACAACACTGAATTTTATTTATTTATTTATTTATTTATTTTTGAGAGAGAGTCTCACTATGTCACCCAGGCTGGAGTGCAGTGGCTTGATCTCCGCTGACTGCAAGCTCCACCTCCCGGATTCACTCCATTCTCCTGCCTCAGCCTCCGGAGTAGCTGGGACTACAGGCGCCCACCACCACGCCCTGCTAATTTTTTTTTCATTTTTGTATTTTTAGTAGAGACGGGTTTCATTGTGTTAGCCAGGATGGTCTCGATCTCCTGACCTCGTGATCCTCCTGTGTCAGCCTGCTGAAGTACTGGGATTACAGGCGTGAGCCACTGCGCCCAGCCACAACATTGAGTTTTTTAATAAAATTAGGGTTCGGGCTCAACATGGTGGGCTAGAAATAGCTTGTGTGTTCTGCTCTCACAGAGAGAAAACAAAGTGGTGAGTGAACACTAACTCTGCAAGTGGACCACCTAAGAAAGCACATTGAGACCCATCAAGGGAGTGAGGCAACATGAAGAAAAGAGAAGAGCAAAACCGGGCAGCCACTCACCCAGGACTTTTACGGAACCAGGAGAAGCTCTCTAACATGGAGAAAGAGTGTGAAAGTGAGAGCCCTCAGAAAATTCATACCTCTCACAGGAACCTGTGCAATCCTGGGAAGAGGAGAACACCTCGCCCCAGCCACCCCCGCCCCCCAACCCTGGACCTCTGGACTGATACAGAGAACCACCTGGAGTTGACGGGGAGGTAGCACTCAAGTCCATGGGGATCCCCACAGGCCTTCAATCCCTGAAAAGCCCAGTGACAACTGCATAGTCCCAATAGAAGCCTCAGTCGCAATGCCAGGGAGCAGCCAAATTGCTCTACTCCTCCTTGCCAGGCCACACTTGGTGCTAGCTTTCAGAATGGCAGGCCAGCCTCTGCCTGAATTATGTGGGCAGGCATGGCTAGGGACTGGGGAGGTTTATAAGGTATGTGGTTTTTATAGTTTCCTTGTTGAATGCTCAGAATCACTTGTTTTTCTCTTTTGCAGGGGTTTTAACTTTAATCTAACTCACTAAAGAAGCTAAGAAAAATGAGTTATAATTCCACAATCTGTAATTTCATAAGTTCATGGCAATAAAGAAAAAAGTAATCTCTATGGGCGGAAGTAATTGTTGAAGGATCATAGGAAGACACTGGGGTAAAAGTTAGAAGATTTTAGTTCTTGCCCAGTTCTGCCATTTAATAACATTATGACCTGGGGTCTTAGTTTATTCATCTGTAAAATGAGGTAATTATCACACCAGGTCTTTTCACTAAAACACTGTATAACTCTCCAGCAGTCCATATGGATCTGTTGTTTTACTGGAGGCTTCAAACCCAAGCTACATACTGTGTCTTCGCATTTTACTTACTCTAATATATATATTTATATATATATATATTTTTTTTTAAATGAGGAAGAATATATGTATAGTTTTTGGTAGCCACTGGGCTTTACATCAAGTAACTTGATAGTTTTATACCTAGAGGGTAAAATAAATCAAAGGGATGATCTACTTGGTAACTCTTGACATATTTTATGTTGTCATTTGGATGCATTTTCAGCTACCTATGCCAATACTAAGGTTGTACTCCACATCTGAGTGTATATTTGGGCTTTTAAAATGAAATTGAGTTTTCTGTGCCTTTTGGTATTTTGTACACTAAAAAATTATTGATATGGGGTGGTGGTAGTTAAATGTTGCTTGTAGTAACAGAAATTGTATTTCTGCTGGTGAAAGAGAAAAATGCTTAAAGGTTGTGTAAGGGTGTGCATAGGTATACATGTATATATATATATATGCACATTTGAACAAACTATAATTCCCACTAGCAGAAGTAACACAAACATTAATAACCCTCAGTAATATATTTCAGTAGAATTGATTTGTTTTATGAATATCCAAAAGCTCTGTGTTATACAACCAATCGGATCCTAAACCAAGTCTTCCATAAAGTTGGTACTGTTTTATTTGTTAGCCTAAAGTACCATAGACATCTACCAAAAGTAAGGAAGGGCAGCCTGTTATCATCTTTATTATGCCCCTCACAAAAAAATTGCTATATTTTCTTAGAATCTAGTTAGTTAGAGGGACTTTTGGAATCATCCATGGAAATAACTTACATTTTAGTCAAAGAAAAATATATTTTTCTCTATGTAGCAATACACATTTCTTTCTATACCAATGACTCAAGTGAGGAGCTGGCCAAGAAGTCAGAAATTAAAATGAGCCATGATATTTTTCCTCTATTTCTCTCTTTAAAGCTTGCTTTGTTTGTGGAGTACACAGATAAGTTTTCAAATCAAAACTGACTATATTATCAAGACAAGAATAGGAACTAGCCAAAGAACCACCTATGAAGAGGCCGGGCACAGTGGCTCATGCTTGTAATCCCAGCACTTTGGGAGGCTGAGGCAGGCAGATCACTTGAGATCAGGAGTTCAAGATCAGCCTGGCCAACAAGGCAAAACCCAGTCTCTACTAAAAATACGAAAAAATTAGCATTCCTGTAGTCCCAACCGCTCAGGAGTCTGAGGCAGGAGAATTGCTGGAACCCGGTAGGTGAAGGTTGCAGTGAGTGGAGATCATGCCACTGCACTCATGCCTGGGCGACAGAGTGAGACTTTGTCAAGAAAAGAGAGAGAGAGAGGAGAGAGAAAGAAAGAAAAAAGAGAGAGAAAAGAGAGACAAAAAAAGAAAGAGAAAGAGAGAGATGTATGAGGAGTTGCTACTGGTAGACACATATAACTACCTTTTCTTCCCATCCTAACTGATAACTTGTTATATTAGTATTCCATGGTGTTGCGCTTATAGAATAGTAGAGATCACATTGTCTAAAGTCTTTATTAGAAAGTCTTTGTCTTGGCTTATTTGGGGTGCTTGGACTGTTTCTCCTCTGGTCATCTGATTGATTCTATACTGTCTGATATTGTGATACAATTACCAACAGAAAACACATGGGGTTTTCAAACAAGTATGAGTGAGGTTCTTGGGTTTGTTAAGAACCCTGCAGAAGGATGGGAGTGACAAAAGGAGTAATGACTCAGCAACTGTACTCAGGGCCAAAGTCTTGAGGCTGGATTACAAACAACGGTTTATGCAATCTGCCTATGGCATATTCTCTGACTCTCTCTAAGACAAGCGATGGGTCTAGGCAGGTGGTTTTATATACCAGACTCTTCATGTTTCCTGGGTATATGAGTTTTGGAAAGTCATAGGACTGAGACATAAAGGCATTGGGAACTCTGTCAGGGGAAGTCTGTCTCAACAAGAGCTTAGTGTAAGCTGTAACATAAAGACTTGGTCTTTCTAGCTGTTTTTTTGTGGATGATTCTCACAAAGAGAGACAACCTCCTCAAAGTCACATAGTTAATAACTTGGACTCATTCCCAGGTCTGTCTTACTTTAGAACCTGGGCTTTGTACCCCATCAGTGGTTGCCATCTGTGCTTGGAGATATTCCCACAGCTCCAGAGAACTCCTGAGAGGTCTGGATAGGGTGGAAGTTAGAAACTAATCTAAACTTTTATCTGATTCACATATTTGATTTTTAGATAGGGTGGCTCTTAAAAAATGATACCATTATTTTCACTACTTTGAAAACCTCGCAATATTTTTGTCTAATATTGCCACTGCCGTATTTCAAAAAAATAGAAGTAGATATGTGGATATATATGTCAGTGCAATTGAATTATCTTCTTCCCCCGATCATATATGCTCCGCTTTAAAAATATATGCATATTTTTATGTATACATAAATGGAGAGAGAGAGAAAGAGAAAGATGCATTCCATGTTTTTCCCTACAACCTTAACCACCTGCTTTAATTGCCCAGAAGGTAATATTTGTAATACTTTGGTTTAGTATGAAGGTGACATTGTTAAATCTGGTGGCATTTTCTCTTCTTGTTATCATTTTATTAACAAGCAAGCTTTGGCATTGTAGCTTTCTTTCCCTTCAGATCCACTTTAATTCTAGCTATGAACACAGAACATGCAAAACTGTTTTGCCCTTATATCATATGAAATTTGGAGGGGGGGTGTTATGGTTTTGAAAATACCTGGTGATAAAACAGAAATCCCAAGATTCTTTGGGAACTGCATGTTTGGTAAAGAGTCAAAGTCTATCCTTAATGACTACCAACAGTGTCAATAAAAAGTGATGGACTTTTTTGTTTTGCTTTAAATATGAGGAAAAATTGGTTGGGAAGTAAAAGATTTCATGAATATCTACAGTATTAATTACTGTGTAGTAGAGCGTCCCAGAGCAGCTGAGGTAGTACTGCATTTTGCCCCTAGGTGGCAGAAGAGTACTCCGGGATTGGTGGAAGTCTGTGGTTTGCGACCAGGGAATCACGGATTTCAGTGAAAGGGTCTGAGACCACAGCCATAAGCTGTGAAAGCCAAGAGGACAGCTAAGGACTAAGGAATTGACACTAAGCCCGAATCTGGCAGAAGAGTCAAGCCCCAAATCGTGACATGCACACAGGTATGGAACTGAAGGGGGTCGGAATGCAGTTTTTTAGCCATCATGAGCAATTAAGGGAGCAGCACAGGTCTCTGAGTAGGTAGTTTAGAAAGCTTGAATGTTTCAGAGCAACTTTCTTCCTGATTTTAAGACACTGGATCAGAAAGAAGATCTGGATTCAAGATCTACCTTCGCCACTCATTATAGTGCAACATGAGGGAACAATGGGCTTCAGTTTTCAGATTTAGAACAAAGGCAGCTCAAAGGTTTTTCAAGCTCCTCTATTTTACAATTCTCCCAGTCCTGGCTACACCTGGATGTTAAATCCGCCTGTGTCTTTAACTGCATTCACCTGATTTTGTGGATTTTGTTCGTCAGCCTCCCTTTCAGGTTTGAGTTTTCATCTGGTTCCTTGTTTTCTGGCCCTCATCTTGCTACACGAGCCTCTGGATTATCCTTGGTCTTTGATCTGGGTGTGCTTTGGTTTGTTATCTCTTTTCCTTTGTTCCCTGTTGGAGACCTGTCTCAGGACTGGTTTAATCTTGTCCTTCTTCCACTCCCACAACGATCTTCCCAATCCAATCAAATTACCAGGGTTTAGGTATCTTAACTCTAAAGGAGGACAACGCAGAAAACAATTGCTTGTTTTTTAGTTTTAGGTACACTGAATGGCCATAGAATACAAATTATGGGAAAAAATGAAAAACAAGAACTCTGGAAAGTCTTTTTTGTTTAACATAAATAAATTATGCAAATAAGTTAAAGAAAGCATGAAGAAGCATTTGGCATGCATTGAAAACATCTGGGTTTAACTGAAAAGAGAAAACAAAACATTTCATAAAACAAATATTTGAATTTAAACAATGAATTTATTAATTTTCACATCCTAAGTTAGATTTTGTGATGGATTCTCTTTTTCCTAAGTATGGCAAAAAGTATTAAGAAATAAAAACATATATATAAACATAAAATGTGAATTTACGGGGAAGCCTTGATGATACAAACAAAATCGGTCATCTCCAGAATTCTCTATGTGAAACCTGTAACAGGTTCCTTGGAATCGTTCCCACGACATCCTCTGGCTCTTGCTATGGCTTAGCATCTTTTACTATGCTTTCAGCCTATACCCTGGTGTATCACATTCTTTTTTTGCCATTTTAACAACACTAAATTTCCATTGCAGAGTCATTTCTATCCATCAATTAGGCCTTCTGTTGACACATCTGCATTTTGTAGACGGGCCACTATGGCATCCTCAAGTGGAAATTTGTAGCCAGAAGCATCACACATCAACCTATGTGGCAGATTGCGGCGGACTTCTGCAATGATTACAGTAATGTTATTTTCGTATTGGATGACGATTACAAAAACTGTTCTCTTGACATAATGTGGTTTGGGGTGTTTAGCAGTTAAAGAAATACTGGCTTTAACTTCCGTGTTTCCTTACTGGTTTCCCAAAGCTCTACGAAGCTACATTGCCCTGTGGAAAGAGATTGAACTACGAAGTTAGGAAAATCTAGATTTGAATTTATGCTCTGCCCTTTATAATCTGAGCAAAGCTTGGCGAGCTCTTCATCACTTCTCAGCCTGTGTTTCCTCTTCTATTAAATGAAGACAATACCTTGTAGTAGGGTTTCTTAACCACTATTGACATTTTGGGCTGGATAATTCTTTATCATAAGGGCTATTCTGTAGTTTATAAGGTTTTGGCAGCATCCCTAGCCTCGCCCCACTGGATGCCAGTAGTTCCTCTCTAGTTATGACAAACAAACATGTTTCTAGACATTGCCAAATATACCCTCAGGGGTAAAATTTCCCCTGGTTGACAACTCCTGCCTTACGGGATGTGAGGATTAAATATGATATTTGTGAAGTGCTTAATATGTGGAAATAACTACTTATGCTCTCTTGGATATCATATCCACCTCTGATTTGAATTTGTATTTTGAATGCTGAGAATTAAACTACACAGAGCAGAAAGACAGGATCCAAGAGCCTGATGATCATTAGAAGGGATTTAAAGGGTCATTGAGCTGGAGTTAGGCATGAAAGCAATTTGAATAATATGTTTGGTGGCATATATTACAGTGTGACACTGAACATCTGAATCTCTAATGTCTCCATCAACCTCTCTTAATTAGGCAGACATGAGGGTAATGCATTTTTTATAAGGGGGTAAAATACTTAATTTAGGGACACAAAGAGCCATTTGGGCGTATAACATTAGCCAGTGGTAAACCTGGCAAACGTCTAAGAGTAATAACAACAAAAAAATACCCAGAGCCATCCAGGAGACTGTCTTCCTGAGAGAAATACATTTTGCAATCCAGGATCTGTTAGTCTTTCAGCAAGATCTTAAAAATGTTTCTCAAGAGAAGATTTCAGTTTTCAATTGTCTCTTCTCTGTTGTTGTTTTATTGTGTAATATGTAATATTTCATCGTGATTTACAATGTAGTATGTGAATTATTAGTTGAGAGATCCAGAAACCTGTACCCATATTCTCCCATGCAACTATAAATATTGCCTTGGAAATCTTTGTGGCAATACACTATATACTCTGGGTATTGCTCGATGTAGTGTGGACAGTTTTATAAATTAGCTTGAAAGGAAGAGGGTAGTAAATGTGAGTCATGGTACTGCATGCTGCTATAAACAAACTGGGGTGGGCCCAGTGACATTTTGAAGTCATTCAGAAGTGTTTTGTGAAGTCACCTGTCCTATTAGATGCATATTCTTATTAATGGTTTTTTTGCTTTTTATTTTTATTTTTTTTGAGAGGCGACAAAGAGGAGCTAGGAAAGGAGTAGAGGCAGGTGGGAGGAAGTATCAGGACTTGCAATTAAATTTATTAACTCAATTACCTAGGATACCAATAAAAGCTGTAATCATGAGGCCATCTAAAAGGCATTAGCTGTTTTACTGCTAATGGAGCCCTTGCCAACAGGAAATAGAACCAGATGCTCTTGGTGGGTGCCGGCAGCTGTTTGGTAGCACAGAATCAAATAGGTTGGGCTGTGATAGGGCATATGGACTAATGCCAAAAAACATTTTGTGTTCATAGAGTATCTCCATTCAAAAAATACCAATATATAGTTTGCAAAAATGAGTGCATGAATCCTTACAGGACCTCCCCTGGGGAGATAGCCATAAAGGTAGGATGATGATTTTTATGGATGAAAGGAAATATAAGCGGGAGCACATTGGGGTGTGCCTTCCCAAGCCATCTGTGATGGAATGAGCTGTAAAATCATAGCTGAGATATGCCCCAGGTTTTCCTTTTTCTTCCCAGCTTTCTAGGTGGGGATGCTCTAGAAGTTTTAGTGCCCACTTTAAACTGTCAACCTAACTAGCCAGTGAGCTGCTTGAGAGGGGACATCTATTCTACATTCTGAGATCTGGAATCACTTATTTTATGAACAATTATAGGTTGGCCCTTGAAATGCTAAGATATAAAGCATGGCATCTAAATATTTAGATCCTTTATTCATTTACTGTATATTTATTTAAATATGCTAAGTGCTAAACATTGGGTTGGAGAAATGAAGTCAATGAAAACACAAAGTTTTTTTGCACAGAGCCCTCAGGACAGCCTACAACAAGGGACATTAATAATATATTGAGGAAATTATGATAGATACATATAGTCTGGTACATTCATGGATGGTTAGGAGAGACTTCATGGCAGTCATGAGAAAAGCATGTCAAAGCTAGATGAGAAGGAAGAACAAGAAATATCGAGGTAAAGGGTGGAGAGAATAGACAATGCCATGTAGATGGCTGAGCATGTCAAAAGCCTGGTGGCAAAAAAGCATCTTCTGTTCCAAGAATAATAAATGAAGAAGTCAGAAGATAGGAAAGGAAGAGAAGGAAGGAAGGAGAATGGTGGAAGGTGAACTGGAGAATTATTCATAGGACTAAATTATTACAGGCACATGAAGAATTCAGATGGTGAGATCAGTTGGGGAGGACACCCAAAGGTTATTCTGCTGGCATTCTGGAAATGAATAAAATTGGAGACAAGAAGACTAACAAGTGGTGGCTGTAGTAATCCAGAAATGAGGTCATGAAAATCTGGTAGTGTGCAAGAAATAATGGAAGGTTTCAAGAAGTACATAGCAAATGGAATCTTCAAGACTTAGTGATTGTTGGATGAGATCTATTTCTGAGTCTCCCTTACTCTGGGGTGTAGCCATCAGGTCCTAATTCAAGGTGACTTGAGTGTTCCAAGGCCCTACATCTTGAACTACAATATTTCCCTGTAGCTCACTGCAGCTGGCAAACGCAGAGCCCAGATTCTGTCACACTTACAAATTCAGGAAAGGCATTTGCTTTCCATTTCTTGGAGATAGAAAGCTCCCTTTTGATAATTACCAGTTAAAATAGCCTTGCAGAATGTTCAAAAGCTTAACAGACTGTAACACCAATTTACAGCCCTAAAGAATTTCCACATGGTTTTCCTACATTGCAGTGATAGCTCTGATGGGGCAATGGAGAAGATAAATAAAGCCTGATTTTTTTTTGCCTCTGTTTTCTATAAGGCAAGCACTTCTACAAATGGTATATGGAAGTGCCCATCTTGTTATTCTCCTCTCAAAAGTACTGAGTACTACATTAGGATTAAAATTAAATAAAATTTTCCAATTCGGAAGATAGAGTGATTGATTTACTTGTCATTATTTTGTTAATGAATTGGTAATGAGTTGAAGTCGGATATTTTGAGTATCATCATACATCATATTGGGTTTGTTTTTTTTTGTGTTTGTTTGCTTTTGTTTTTTTTTTAGGCAGAGTCTCACCCAGGCTGGAGTGCAATGGTGTGATCTCAGTTCACTGCAACCTTCTCTGCCTCCTGGTTTAAAGCGATTCTCCTGCCTCAGCCTCCCGAGTAGCTGGAATTACAGGCACCCACGACCATGCCCGGCTAATTATTGTATTTTTAGTAGAGATGGGGTTTTGCCATGTTGGCCAGGCTGGTTTCAAACTCCTGACCTCAGGTGATCCACCCACCTCGGCCTCCCAAAGTGCTGGGACTACAAGGGTGAGCCACTGCGCCCAGCCCATATTGGTATTTTCTCCAATCATTATGTTCTTTTATTTGTGATGATTTCTACTTTTAAAATTTAATTTAAAAGTTTTACGGTGGCATACCTTAAAGTGAACTTTGCTGAATCATGCTGTTATAAAATTCTCTCCTAATAGAATATGACAAAGGTGGTGGAAGTATATTGCATTATATAATACTTCCCCTTAGCAAACTGGAGTGGGAGCTTCCCTGTCGCTTTGAAGTAAGCTGCCGTGTTGTAAGAGAGCCTCTTAGAGGAACACTTGGGAAGGAATTACTACTGGCATGTGGGAGCTGCGAGTAAAATCTAGCTAATACCCAGCAAGAAAATGGGAACTTATGTCCTACAATCAACTGGAACTGAATTCAGGTAGCAACTGTGTGGTCTGGGAAGAGCACCACGAGCTCCAGAACACAGCCAACATGACAACTCTATTGCAGCCTTGTTAGACTCTGAACTGAGGAGCTGCTTTATGCCTGGACTCCTAACCAGTAAAAACTGAGATAATAAATGGAAGTTGTATTAAGCTGCTGGTGGTGATTTGTTACACAGCAACAGATAACTAATACAGTTTTCATTGGATCAGATTTATTTTTGTGTGACTTTTCCACTGTTTAAATTCCATAGAAATGCTCTGCCCACATCAAGATCATTAAATAGTCTTCTAATAATGATGTGTGTTCAAGTTCAGATTGAATGCTGGACATTCACTAGGAAATAGGTTTAATAGGCTCTATGTTTCCAATTCATTCATTTATTTATTCTTTGAGTTATTCATTAAAAAAATTGACCTCAACATCAACTGTTTGCAAAGCACATGATGAATAAGCCACAGTTCTTGTTTTTGAGAGGTTGTAGTCTGGTGCAGATAGAGTCTGAACATAGACAAATATTTTCTCTGTAATAGGTGGAAAACTACAAAAGAGGCCTGTGCAAAAGTTAATAAGAATACGTAGAGAGAAATTTAATTTTTTTAAAGGATGATATAAAAAGTCTTCAAAGAAGAGATAATCCTGGCCTGCATCTTAAGATATGCAGATGAGATTATCAGGCAGAAAAGAAGACAGGAAGATATTTCAGAAGGAGAAAAAAAGATTTGCAGATACATCGAAACATTTGAAATAGGTTTCAGGCTCAATGAAGTTCGATCCATTTCTGGCTCTATCACTTTCGTCCTAGCACATAGCACTTTTCTTTGCCTAAGTGAGCTTTTAATATGCTCTGGATACATGAAAGAATGAATGCAAGCAATTGTGCAGGAAATAATGAGAAGTAGTTCAGGAACAGAAACTTTTTTGCTATGACTGGAGCACAAAATGGTCTGGTAATGGGATGTGAGAGGGAACGGGAATGGGAGGTAAAGGGCCTCGTTTATGTAGAACCCTCACACCTGACACCCATTCAGGTCTGAACGAAATGACTGGCCACTTTTATCTGATAACAGAGTGAAGTTTTGCTACTTTACACAAGAGCTTTTTAATGTGATAATGGTTAAAAAACTAAAACTCCTGATTTCTTTGGCTTTTTAAACTTTTGATTTCAATCTATTAATTGTTTTTTTTTCTGACGATAATCCAAACATATGATTAAGATGGTAGAGTTTTGAAAGCATTGGCAGGGATATATTAATGTATCTATGCTGTAGAAAAGAATGTGAAATTACTGTCCAAGCAGCAAGGTTATTTGTTACCTTGATTCCTGCACCGTGAAGCAGATTTTGTCCTTTCCAGGTCCTGTTGGTTTTCTCCATGCCAGCAAGGCTGATGACTGTCTCTATGTAAAACACTGACGATTTTCATGATCTCTCTTACCTCAGAGTCTTAGTGTGATGTAACTTGTTGCTGTATACTGCAAATGATGCCTATAAAATTTGGAGGCTGATTTCTGAAGTCATTAAAGTGCACCTTGTGATGTTATTTCTGATATTATTTCTCAAGAATAACTACCATAATTTATCATCTTCTCAACTCCCATAATCTGGAGTTGAGAAGCCTTTTCAGTTTAACACATTATGAAGAGAGAATTAAAAGGAGTTGGTGATAATATAATTTTCCCTTTCTATGCTGCTTTAGGAATTTAGTTGACAAAACATTTCCTATGTAGGGAAAATGCATTACTGAATAAAATTTCCAGGGATGCTTTCTGACCAGAACTACTCATAATGAGATAAGATTGCCTGGCTTAGATTGAGAAGAAAATAATATATCAGACAGAAACATAGATGAATACACACACACCATAAATATAGCAGCTTTGAAGAGATTTTGCTGAACTGGTATCATTTAAATAATCCAGTGATCATTTTTGCAGTCCTTCAGCACCCCAAGAAGCACTCCTGGGTCTTCAGCATTTGATGATAATAAAAATATGTTTGCATATCTGTGCTCATTATTGGAGGCATTCTACCATTGGGAAATGGTAGAAATTTTTTTTGAAAATTTTTTGAAATTCCCATAAAAATGCAATGATTCTGGAGCTGGCGTGGACATATGCATGAGACAACAAGTTAACAATCAATGCCTTCTTAGATGTAGCTGTGATGGTAGTCTCCTATTAATTCTAGCAGGAGGCCGTATTAACTCCTCATTAATAATTTCCCTTTCAATGAAATGACTTTCAAAATATAACAGGTCAGAAACGTATTTGTTTTTCCATATCATGTTTGGTAAATACCCCAGTTTTGAGTGTCTTTAACTCAGCGTTTTGGCAATGGATTTGCACTGGTGCTTTGTCTTCTTGTCGTTCTCTGATCCTACTATGAGGGTGTTTTCTCTTACTTGAGGAATTTATAGATGTATAATTGTTAATTGTATGATTATGAAGCCCCTGTTTCAATAACTTGCAAGTTTGTTCAGATGAGATTTTCTGGAAGTCAAGAAGGTCTGTGTGCAACGACATGAAAGACTTATTACTTGAATACAGATATGGCAACAGGGAATTATCTGGCTGTTTGCAAGTAATACTAAGTTCTGTGTATGCTTCATAAAAATCACCAACATAAGTTCCAACTCCACATAGTCATAAATGCCCATAGGATAGAAGCACACAATGTGAAAATAAGGGTGATTGGCTTGAGTTGCTTATGCTTTTGGTTCCTTGCCATAAATTTGTACATGTGTTGTTTGTGTGCATTAACTAGGGAATAAGGGGCAGCAAGTTCCCAAGAGTCAATAAAAAAATAGAAAATTTTAAAAATGATATATATTAAATTAAAATAATAATTAAAATTTTAATAATATTAAAATTAATGTCATAACACCATCCATATATCCTCCTAAAGAATGTTAAAATACCTCTAATATGTTATATTAGCCATGGTTTACCTCACTGCAGCTGCCACAGTTTCGAGTATGACAAATCTACTATTCTAATTTGACGAACTTCTGGAATATGTCATAATAACATACAAAGCAAGAAATGACTTCTATTTAATCTGGGTGAAGATAAATTCTGAGAAAAGGAGAAGACACAAAAGCTCATGGAGGAGAATATTAATTATTACACAAAATAATTACCTGTGAATTCTCTACTGAATAAAGTAAATAAGGCACAAAGCACTGTTGAAAACATCTGTCTCAGACTGAATCTGGGTAGGTAAATAGCACAGTTAAAGCTAATTTTTAAAATGAAAAACAAAAAAAGACAAATGAAGTTTAAAGATAAATTTTCTTAAGTAAAAAACTCTATAGGCTTCCAATACCTAGTAATGTTCTAAATGTCAAATAGATACTTGAATAATTGCTTGTCTAAAACATAAAAAGGAGATGACATATTAAACTATATTGACTTACATTTGCATCTTGACTATGACTTGGAGAATAGTATATATCTTTAGATATTTTTTATTATTGTTTTATAAACCAGCATTTTATGATTTAAACATCAGATTGAGAGTTGACTAGTTACCCTAGTTGTGCCACATTATACCATAAGTTCTATGAATCACTAAAAAATTCTTAACCTGACTTATTTAGTGTATCTGCCATTCTGTGGATTTGTTACATAAGGATGATTAATTATGTATTTACTACAGTCATATCCCAATTTACCTTAAGATTGCTGATATGTGTTTAGAAAAGTATTTATTATATTTGCATCTTTGCTTATTTAATAATGTGATCATTTTGCTGTTGTGCTGTCATGAGTTCTAAAATTTGCACTCAGTACTTATTTGTTTTGTTATGTGGAGATTAAATCTATTACTTCACATCTTCAACTATTGACTCTTAATTGGTATTTCATCTATAAGTTTAGTAACAAAATTAACATTTTTGTTAATAAGGTAAGAACTCTAACTTCATTAAATATTAATACTATAGCTGCTAAAGAAACATAGAAGAGTAATCTAGTTTTGAAAACTCAGGATTTTTTTCTTTTATTTCAATTAAAAGAAAAAGGATTAAAGAAACTTTGGTATGTATGTGGATCAAAAGTAATGGTCATAGATTTTAAACACATTTAAGGGTTTACTATAATATTAATCTCCTTTTCCCCACCAAATATTATATAAATCCATGAATTTTAATTTGTTAATCATCCACAGAAGAAGTAAGTAAACATTATCACTACATGACTTTTGTCTTTATTATTTTTTTAATATGAATTAGTCAAAAGCAAAAGCTACAAAATAAAGGACTAAAGATAAAAGTTTTTAATCGTTACGATTGTTCTAAAACAATACAAATGAAAGTGATCTCTTAACATCAAATATTTGTGTGCCAGAAAGCTATACAAGTGAGTTACATGATATGTGCATGTTTCAAGATATTATTACACCTAGAACAACTGCAATCTTCTGAAGGGATTTTTATGTTCACCTCTCCATGATCATGAGTGTTGGTTAGAAGAGTCTCTCTCTCTTTCTTTCTCTCTCTCCTTCCCCGCATTGCATCACAAAAACTCTGGAAATATATACATGCAGATTTGATGTGGTAATCAAAATAATATCTTTTAAAACCAAATTTATGTTTTATTGGTTTGGTTTTGCATTAATAATGATGGAAGCCAAAATTAAGTCTTTTAATATTCCATATCTTGCCCAATATTATTAGGATTTAATATTTGAATGGAGCTAAATTTATTTTTTCCATAGATGACTGAGTTGGTCATATATTACAGTGCAGTGAATAGTTCAGTGTCTACTTTTTTCTGAGTTTTAACATCCAGTCCAATTGACAAATAAGCCTCTTAGGAGTCTTCTTTTCACTATCTGAAGAATAAAGACGATTTCAAAACACATAGATTGTTTATTGGGGAAGTACTTGCCATGTGAATCTTAAACTGCTAAAAGATTAAAAGAGAATAAGGAGAATTAAAATCCAAGATTCTCTCCTGAAACAATAAGAATTTTTTAAAAAAAATCGATGGGTCTTCTGAAGTGAAGGAAGCTGTTTCATTTCTTGACTTCTCTTTCTAGGATATATATCAGTAGGGAATCTTAATTTCATTTTCACTGTTCCATAGAGGCCACTACCCCAAGGCATAATGGTTAAGGACTAGGACTAGAATTCAGGAAACAAGCTAGTGAATTCTGATCCAACTCTGTTTTCAAAATTACATTTAGAGATCATATGTCTGGAGTTTTTATTTTGCATAATCATAATATAAATTGATTATGCCATGGTGTCATATATATCAGTATACTATTTAATGTGCCTACCATTTTCATAGCTGGTTTGATAATTTATTGAATAAACATAGAAAACTTTGTGCTATATATACAAAGAATTATTTTTGCCACTACAGTAATTAATGTAATGTCTTTATAGTCTTTGTTTTGCTACTACTAAGGACCTGTATTAAAAAGTAAAATTCTTAAACCCCTGTGGTTGATTATGATGTAATGAACCAAATTTACTCATGCATTCCTCTGACCATTACCTTGGGTATTCCCTTCCTAAATTGAATCTTGACTTGGCCATGTGGTTTGTTTTAGCATTTTGGACAAGGGGTTGATATCAAACATGACAAAGGAGCAGAGATTTGAAAAGCGCTTCTCTAATGCTGCTCCCTGTATAGCTTGTCTTCTTTGGTGACTTGGGAAAATATTTCACCTTTAGATTCGTCCTCCATTAACTTCAAATTATTCAATCTCTCCTTTTCTAGCAATCTAATTCTAAATCTAATTCTAAGGGTGACTTTGTGGTAAGAGAAGTTTCTAGTAAAGCCTGTCAATATCTTCACAAAAGAAGGTCAATGTGATGATATACAAGCAGATGCTGTTTTTTCTTAAAAATTATTCTTAATGATGAGGATGCTCCTCATTAATAAGATTATAGAGACAACTCATTTGCATAACCATAGTAAAAGGGAGCTAAAGAGGGCAGCTCTTCATCTTCATGTGTGAGAAAAATTGAAAATAGCAATATGCTCAATAGGCTATGTGCATGTTCTAATCACAGGGCTCTGCATGTCACTTTTAAAATTAACATATAAATAGATGCTATTTTAATCTCTCTCTTTGAATGAATTATCACACATCAACTAGATATTTCAGTTAATGAGATAGCATTGCATAATATTATAGAAAATGGGTATCTCTATTAGGACTCTTGAAAATTGGAGGAAATGATGAAGAGTGTGGCAGATGTCTTCTTCAAAGAATTGTTTGACATACATGCAAATCCACCCTGAACTGAAGTGCCTTGGGAAATGGGAAATGAGCCAGAATGGTGTGAGTGATAGAGTTGTGTACGCATTACCCATTATATAAAGATTTGTTTATTTTATTTATTTATTTATTTATTTATTTATTTATTTAGAGATGAAGTTTTGCTTTTGTTGCCCAGGCTGGCACGCAATGGCACAATCTCGGCTCACTGTAACCTCTGTGTCCCGGGTTCAAGAGATTCCCCTGCCTCAGCCTCCCAAGTAGCTGGGATTACAGGCACCCACCACCACACCCCGCTAATTTTTGTATTTTTAGTGGAGATGGAGTTTCACCATGTTGACCATGCTAGTCTTGAACTCCTGACCTCGGGTGATCCACCTCGGCCTCCCAAAGTGCTGGGATTACAGGTGTGATCCACTGTGCCCTGCCCTGCTTATTGTTTTTTAAAAGTTTAATGGGATTTATTTTACGATAGATTTTAGGCAATGTCATTTCCTTTGAAGACAAGACTGTATTTGACAGCAAGGGACAGAAGTTATGTACGGTCATTATTATTTACAAAATATGATAAACTAAGTCATTGCTATCTCTTTTTGAAAAACAACTGGTTAAATGTTCTGTCTAATAAATATCATAAAACAAGTAATATAATTTCATGGGATATACATTATATATAATAGAAGCATACTCCAGGGAATTTAAAAAAATTTAATTTTTAATCAAAGGAAAAATTATTTTTCCTGGTCAACAAAAATAATGTAATATGCAGCAAAAGTTTTGTGCTAAACAGTGAAGAGAAACAGGATGGCATGTCGTTACCTCAATAAAATCAGAACATTTAATTAAAGCAATATTTCTACATTAATTATATAGCTATTTTGAGTAGAAGCATACTTTTATGCAGCTCAATCATATATATTAAACATGTAATTTTATATTTAAGTTCCTTATGACTTTATAATAGAATAATATTTTATTTCATAGCAATACCTGCATGTAGATGCTTTCAACAAATGTGGGTACTATATATCCTAGATTTAAAAAGATAACTCCAGTTTCAAATAATACTTCTCTGCATCTATCAATGAGTCATATCACTTTAGTATTTGCCAATATTGATGAATTTGCTTAATAAATGTTCCGTAATGGAAGTCTTATCAGTAGCATATGAAATTTAAAAAAATAATGAGGTGATATACTGAAGACCTCTTTATAATCACGTCAGCTTTTGTAGGTCCTGTTAGAACCACAAATCCTTCAGTGGTTAACTGAATGCAATGAAGTGGGTATAGTTTTAATTAATATTATCGGACTCTATGATGTTGACATATCTGTAGTTCTAGTTACATTTTTAATCTTGAAGTATTCTTTTAAAAAAGAACACTGTGAAATTTCTTAATTACTATCTAGATTTGATTCAGATTTCAGTAACTATAAATGTTTTGCCATCACTTCTAAAGGCAACAGACTCACTGAATTTTATTGTATAAAGCTATTTTTTCAATGTCAGTGCCTAATTTTCCACATGAGACTGAATAGCACAAGTTTTCATTTAAAAGACTTTCAATATTTTTTCATTAGTATATGTTGGTCCAATTTTTAACTTGTTGCTTGCTAATTAAATTTTATGAGATTGGATTGGATTATAGTTAAGAGTGCTTCTGACAGAGGTATTTTGATTCTAGGTTGATATATTTTTAAGTTCTATAACAAGAATTGTGGTGATTTAAAATATTTACTCATATAAACATTTTTATTCCATCTAAGACAATTTCCCTGCTGTTTTCATATATTATGCTTTCTCCTGTAATCGTTTCTCTTCTTGCAACAATTTTCAGCTCTACATCTGTCAAGTAATTATTTTTCCTTTTTTGTTCCAAAAACACTTCACTCTTCATCCTCCATAATAACTCTATATAAATATTTGCATATATTAAATATTTGATATATTTAGTCACAGCATTAAATTTGTATTTGTTTCTCCTTCTTTTCCTGTCATTAATCTAAATATGCAGAAAGAAAAAAGAAAACATTGGAGTAGACTTCTATTATCCCATCAAAAAATACTAAAGCATCATCACTTTAGTTGGTTGAATCAAAAGACATTATAGCAATATAAATTGTTATATATTAATACCATGTTCACAACACACATATGGGTCAAATAATATCGTTGCCTGTATGAGGTGTTAACGCAAACTAAATATGGCCTGAGGACTCAGTACTTGTATATTTGAATCCTTATGGATGAACTACAACCTAACGTAATAGGTAGACAAGACTGAGAACCTAATTGGGAGTGTGTGCCTGTAACAGTGGCTGGGTCTTGGCCAATCCCTGCAGCCATACTTCAACCACTCATACGTTGTCGAGTGTTCAAATGGTGTTTAAATAAGGCAAACGCTGAGCTGTAACCAAGTCAGTTGTTTCTGTGTGTCACTTCTGATTTCTGTATGTCACTTCTTGTTTTTCGTCTATAAATCTTCTTCCATCACGTGGCTGTGCTGGTCTCTCTGAATTTGCTGTGATTCTGGGGGCTGCCAAATTTGCAAATCGTTCATTGCTCAATTAAACTCCTTTAAATTTAATTCAAGTGAAGTTTTTCTTTAACAGAGGAAAGAGTAAAAAAGTGCTTGCACAATTTTCTAAAGATCACAGTCTTGAGACTGCTCTGAACCACCACCCTGTGATAAGTAAAGTTCAGCCTATTTATCCAGCAGAAATGTTTCCCAAGGTTTATTTCCCAGATATTGTTAATTCACTGCACCAGACTTATTAAAGATTATTGTTGCAAGTTTCTCATTTCTCATAGTTGTTTTCTTAATATGTGAAAAATACATTATCTTTGAAAACTGACACATGAATGATTCCTAAATTAAATAATATTTAGATAACTTCACAATATTACTTTCAATAATAGGTAACAGTTTATGTGTAAAGTCAAAACACATTTATATTAATGTTAAACTACCTACATGTCAGATATATTTTAAAAAGTGAAAACAAACCAGATTCTCAGTATTTTACAGCAGGGTTTATTATACAGTAAATTGATATAAAGGAGGGTGGAAATTGTGTTCAGAAAATTTACTGTCTATTTGACTCACTCATTCAGATACTCATCTACAAGTCAACATACCTAGGAACTAAGTAAATTTTACTTGACCTTACTCAGCAAGGGCTTCCTTCACTGAACCTTCACACGCACATAGATCTTTGATTCCCTTTTCCTGACTTCATAAATGCATGCAGCCAACTGCTATGAGCTCCTATGGGAAAGGTCACAATAAGCTCTCTCTTTTTAGTTTCTGTGTATTTATATATTTTCTTCTCCCTTCTTTTAGCTCTTTCTTCCCGATTCTTTTTGAACTTCTGCTTTCTCCAGGAACATGTCAGAACCAGTTCCACATGTGTCTTCAGCCCCTAGCAAGGAAGTATAGCACAAATCATTTAAAAATTTGCAAGGATGATCTGGAGAGAAAAATAATAAGTTCATTTTTTTTAGTGAACCTAGTTATCTTAGCTCTTTATTACATTGTCATAGTAGTTTAATAGTTGCAAAATACTATAGTATATTTTAAACAGGACATATTGGAAAAAGTTTAACATGAACCACAAGATCTTTGGTGTGTATTTATTCCTGTACATGTGTACACAAACAAGTGACAAATCCTAGGCAGAGAAATCTAAAGGTGATCTAGTAGATGTGTTTCTAAAATCATGGAGCTTATTTTTGAGTCTTGTACTGAAGTGTATCATGATTTACAATTCACTGGAGTCTGCAGCAGTGCTCTATAAATACTTCATGAAATATTCTATTGAAAGTATTAGCATTTTGAGATACAACAGAAATTATTTATATGCCTTTGCTTTTGGAAAACAATTTTTGTCAGTATATACGAAGACATGAAAAACTTAGGTTTTGTTTATAGTTGGGAAATCTTGTTTTAGAATTTACTGTAAGCTGAGGCTTTGCATGTTGAGATTCTGCCTTCATTGCAATAGAAGCAAATTCTTATACATATCCATGGAGATATAAATATGTATATATATTTCTCAAACATATCCACATACATATGGATTAGCATCATTAAGAAATGCTGCATATTTTGCAAATTTGAATTTAAGGTATTTTAATACAAATATTTAATATTTTTAGAAGCATTAGCTTTTTCCTATGGGTAACAAACACATTTTCTTTCTTCATCCAAACTTCAGGAAAGAAAGAAGAAAGCCAGCCTACAAAAGTTTGGGTAAGAATAAAAACTGTCATTACAAATAAACATAAAGGACACACTTTGAATATTTAATTTCTAATATAATTTAAAAATAAATATTTATATGTAATGTCTAGAAATAGATGTTTTCCCATTTCTGTCCAGTCTTTATTCCCTAAACCCATTGTATTTTTCAGTTATCAGCAATTTGGGGTAATTACATCTAGTCATCAATTTAGAGAGAATAAGATGAGGAAAGAGGTCTGTTTTGTTCAGTAAACACCTATCAAACTGTTGCTTCAGGCTAAGCAATAGGCTTAGTGCCAAGTGTACAAAAATGAAATACCATGTGGCCCCTGCCATGGACTACTTCTAATTTAGTAAGTAGGGGAAAAATGCCTACATCATAATAAAAATGTTCAGAAGTAGTTGTGACAGATTAACAAAGTGGTGTTATAGACAATACAGAGGAATGACTACTTTTAAACAGAGAATTAGAAATTATGAAATTAAGTTGATAATACTAGCATCCAGAAATTTCTAAAATGAGACTAATTTAAAGGTCTAGGGCAAAGATAATTCTCTCCATGGTAGCAGAGTAAACATAAATCACCTTTTTATCTAACTTATTGTATTATTTTAATATGTATTCTATTAGGCTTTTTTTCTAATTCTAAGGAGCTGTGGAAATGACACAAAAGAGAATATGCTCTATATATTCTTGATATGTTAGTGATTTAATGTTGAATTTGTAATCACCTTCATAGTTTGATACATTATGTTTAAAAAGTTCTATAACAAAATTTTTCTGTATTGTGGTTAATATTCACCACTTTAATTCCCTCTTGTATCCAGATAATACTCTGAAGTGCTCTATATGCACTTAACAAAAATTAAAAGTATGCCTTTAAGTCTAAAATAAATGTCTGAAGATACTAAAGAATAGTCCACTTTTCCTTCTCTTCTTTCAGACCATACTAAAGAATAGTCCACTTTTCCTTCTCTTCTTTCAGACTATTTCATAGAAGAGAAGATCATTGAATAGACATCTATATATTCAGATGCCCTGATCCCTGCATGACTGTTATCCTTCAAGGTAGATTTGATACTTGAGGGAATCATTGGTTTGTTTATTTGCTTGAAATTGATATGTATACTATTATGTAGAGAGAATGTCTGTGCTAGCTTCATCCTGTCAGTCTGTGGACAAGAAAAAATCACATTCTAATTATTTGTTAAAAAACAAGCAAATATGAAACTAAAATTTTAAAAAAAATGAATAACCAACAAAACACCCTCCTATTTCAGATTTTTTGTTTTTGTTTTTTTGCATAGGCTAACTTTCTTGGATTAATAGCATATAGATTGAGAACAGTTTATGAATTTATTTAAATCCTGTATTCATGGCCCTTATAAAAATTAAATCGTGATATCTTTATTTGAGAGAGTGGCAGATAACGATTTCTCAAAAACAAACTTTCTGTGGAACACGGCTTATCTCTTTTTTATGAAGGACCGGAATATTTGAAATTCCAAACTCTTTTGATGGTTGAATCAGTGATGTGGAAATCTCTGCACAAAAGAACCATATCAGAACCAAGAACCATGACTGATAAACTATGTTGATCCACTTACATGGGAGACTTGAGCAAAGTGCCTATAATATTTCAGAGTCTTCTGTAGGAATTATAAGTAATATATGACCAAAGACAATGAAGAAACTTAGATATCATCAAGGCTTGGTGCTTACAATTTACTTACTTATGTACTTATTTATGATTTGGTGTCTATGGAGGTGTTTGAAACACAATTTTGGTGGTTGGGATTTAGAGTAGTCTACTGAGAAGTGATCATGAATGTGGGATAAGGTTAAGAATGAGCAATCTCAGGCACATGGCCATGCTTGGGTAACTTACTTAGTAGTTCTGTTACCAAATTTCTATTTCATTCCTACAAAAATATCTTCTAAACCAGTGGGAATTTACATTTTTCATGTAAGATAACGAAGCCAGTGAACATGCTTACAGTGGTCTTTAGAATTGGTGCTAACAGCTGTGATTTAGGGAAACAGTCAGCATTTAAATGGGGAAAATTAAAACATAAAATAACTTGTTGTCACATAAATTATTTTTATGATGTACTACTGTAGCTATGTTATGCATGGGCATGTTCTCATTTAAAGTTGGGTTGCTTGAATATTGTTTATGCCTTGAAAATATGCATGCTTTTTTGCTTTAAAAAGATCCTAAATGCTTTTTGCATATTCTATAAGCACATCCTACAGAGCTTTTAATAAAACACTGACTTAAAGGTTAGGAGAGTCACTATAAATTTGTGACTTTGTCCCACTCTCTTCTGCTCTTCTGCTTCATGGCCTCTAGGCATTTAATTTGTAAGAACAGATAATGAGGAATGGTAAATGACTGTCTATACCAGACTGATTCAGAGGCACAGTAATATAATACTGGCACATGCTTAATGTTACTGCTGTTGAACAACAATATAGTTATGAGGAACATTATTTTCCTCATAACTGTATTTTTCTTACCATGGCAACTTTAGAACTTCTCTCATGTAACATAATTTGTCAATATATACCCAATTAAAATTCTAGTTGCCTTGTTTTATGTTTTCTAGATAGGCAGCTATTGGATCAAAACCACAATATGGCTAAACCTGGCTGTACTATGTTCTAATCAAAGAGGCCAATTGAACAGTCAATTAGAAGAAAAAAAGTAGCTTCATTAACAATGGTTTTTAGGTGCAGAGTATTGTAGGTGTGTTTAAAATGGTGTTGAGTTGTTTAAAAATATCTCTACTTTAAGTATGAATTATGAAATAAAATTGTGTGAGTTATTGATATCTTGAGATAATGGTTTAGGGATTAAAGTACAAAAGGCTTGTTGAAAACAAACCTTCCATATTTTCCGGTTGGCTAAGTCTCACGTATGGTTTAAGTTGTTCTCTGCTATTCTCTCTCTCTCTCTCGCTCTGCCTTTTTCTCTGTCTTGAATATGTAAATTTAATGTATGGATGCTGAGTCTTAAAAATTATAAGACCTTCTCATTTAGCCTAAGCCTTTTTCACCATCAAGAATTCTTTAGACACAGTCACAAAATTGGCAATATGAGGCTTGCGAGATGCATGAAGCAAAAGCTTTGTTTTTTCAGTCCTCACCCCCTTTTAAAAATTACCTTGGTATAAATATTGCATTGCCAAGAAAAGTCTACTTTTACCCTTCCAAGTTCACCATGCTTTCCTCTTCTATGGTAACACCCATTACAATCTGTCCACATGTCTCTTGTACTTTCCACATTATGAAGTGATAACATCACCCCATTTTAGGTGCACAACCACCCTTGTGCCTGGTAAAAGGGCAGCATCTCTGTGTTGTAGATGCAGAGGCTCATGTCCAGAATGGCTAGTGAGTGGTAGCACTGAAACTAGAACCCGTATCTAGTAAACAATTTCAGCGCTCTTCACATTTTGGCTGCACAGCCCATCACCCTCACACTGTGCACGTGCCAATCCTAGACTTTTAAAACGGGAATTGTTCTAGCATCACTTAACTAGTCTCACTGCCTCTTCTTATGATTATGCCCCATTTCTGAAAGTTGAAAAGTGTTCTCTTTCAGGGAGAGATGGCCCCTGTGGATGCATTACATGTGTAGCAAAAAGTTGTGTGAGGCCAGGTGTGGTGTCTCACGCCTGTAATCCCAGCACTTTGGGAGGTGGAGAGGGGATCACCCAAGGTCAGGAATTACAGACTAGCCTGGCTAGCATGGCAAAAGCCCGTCTCTACTAAAAATACAAAAATTAGCCAGGCACGTGGCAGGCACCTGTAATCCCAGCTACTCGGGAGTCGGAGACAGGAGAATCACTTGAACTCAGGAGGTAGAGATTGCAGTGAGCCAAGATCGAGCCACTGCACTCCAGCCTGAGTGACAGAGTGAGATTCCATCTAAAAAAAAAAAAAAAAAAGTTGTGTGGGTGTGTGGGTACGTCTGTGTGTATGTGGAGGTAGTGTACAAAAAAATGCAGCTGTGTCTTGGTGAGCAATGACTCAGCCTGTTAGTGGCGCAGTCAGGACAAGTAAGAGAGTGCATTGTCCTCCGACTCAGCCTCAAGGACAGGGGCTTCCTTTCCCATTGCTGACCACCCCCAGCATTTCCATTACACTCAGCACTTCTCTGCGTCCTATCACACTCAGCTTCGAAAGTTACTCAGATTTCGTTTTCAACACTTGGCCAAAATATAAATAAAATGTTTCTCAATGCCTGCATTACACTCTTGTCAGTAGTATTTTCAGGTATTTTGATCCCTTTTATATCTGCTTTTTCATTTTGTAAAGCTAAAATTATTTTTGAAAATATAAATAAACAGATACATAAGCAAAATGCAACATTTTCTGAAGTTAGAAAAATATAATTTTACCATGATGAGATTCCTACAGATAGAAATTGAGGATCAAAGATAAGACATAAATTATGGGTATGGATACTCCTTGGGGTTCAGCAATTGAATTTTTCTTAAACAAATTATACCCTTTCAATTTCCTATTTCCTTTTTCTTTGTGCATCTTTGATGTTTTAAAAGATTTAGTGTAATTCTATGGATTTGGAAAACAACATAATTGATGTGTTATTTGTATAAACAAATTTGCATTAATGCAAAGTTAGAAATACGTTACAAGTGAGTTTGATTTCTAAAATTTGCTTTCTCAGATGTGACTGGTAATTGCTCACAAGGAGTAACTCACTATTTCCTCTTTCAAGAGACTTATGACAGTTGAGCAGCAATCAGGAATGAATAAACCCAAGGGGGGTGAACAATATTACATACCCCAACAGAAAATAATTGCAACATTTATTTCTCAGATCTGTGGTAAAGCTTATGAACAGATTCTCTTAAACTTTGTTACAACTTGTGCTGCAATATGGATTCTATAAAAATGAAATACAACAACTCAGTTTTGCTAAATTACATGTATACTTTAAATTTTTAAGTCAAACTGCTTTGATTATAAAGTCAATATAAAACTGAAACAAACAAATGCCTAAGAATACATCAAATATGTCCATGTATCATTCAGCAGCTGTGCTTCAAGGATACAACAGTGTTTTTTCAAGTCCCTGGTTTTGGGAGGCAAGACAACTTTCTAGCTTTGAAAATTATGCAATTTTGGTATTTGGCATCAACTTCTCCTTGTGCACTTCAAATGATTCTCAAAAATAATTTAAAAAATAAACAAGCAAAGGTAAAGCAGTACTTATACAGATAAATTATATAATAGCTCTTGGTATTCTACAATCAGGCATTAAAATAGAATAAATAAAGGCACGTGCTTTCCAAGATTTTTGAAATGGTTTATTTCATCATCGCCAACCCTATGTTTGGTAAAAAATAGTTGAAGGTATTACCATTTTGTTTTAGTGTTTTTCTAGAATCCTGAGTTTTGTGACTTAACATAAAAAGCTTCAACGATGGGCAGTATTCGTTTTTTCACTTTAGCAGTCTACAAGATAACATCAATGTTAGGTCAGTAGGAAGTAAACAGATTCATTGGAAGCCAACATGAATGCTATTAATTAGAAGATTAACTGTGTTTTTAAAAAATCTATATATTCCATCTGATATATATTATATACAATATATATTTATATACATACAATTTAAATATATATAATTTTAACCACTGTTTTTGTCAAAGTAGGCTAATTGCCATAACAATCTATCGCATAAGAAACCTAACATAATACAATTTTATTTTATTTGCCTAAGTAATTACCAATCACAGATATTCCTAGTTGAGCAGCTCCCCTTCAGATTGTCATTTTGTGTCTTGGGCTCCATTCATTTTGGTTCTTTCCTTCTTTAAAATCAGAAAGTTCTTTATTAAATGGGCAACAAGCAACCTAAAGTATTAAGAGTAGGTAGAATGAGAACTGAAACTTTAACCAACAAATATGTTTCCTTGTAAGAAATATAGGGGCAGAGAAGAGCAGGCAGAAAGCCTCAGGGTTCCTACTTTTGAGGGTTGCTCCATGTGACTACTGCTACCATTTGATTCTAACCATTCTAATCTCTTTAATTTGTCTTGTTCTATTCCCAGCAGCCCTCTTATGCTCCACTAGTCTTTCTCAGGAAACTTTCCTCCTTTTCCCAAGACAAAGAACCTCCTCTCTCTTTCCATCTTGAAAATGCTGATATAACAAACTGTTTTCCTCTTTCTCCAAGGGCAAACAAACATTCGCTTTAAACAGATTACTATTCTTCGAGAATAAGACTGGTTGAGTTACAAAAATGTAAATATATTCATTTTATTAACATAGTTTTTACTTGTTCTTTGTGAAAATCAATCCTGGTATCATTGTACTGAGAATGAGCTGATGCTTTGATTAGAAGAGTCTCACTACATAGGTCTCCACATTAGAGGCAAATGCTTTTTAGTAATTTGCAGTAGATGACACATGACACCAACTACAAATTTTATCTTATATCCCTTATATTTATACCTTGCTATAAAGGGGATGGGAATCTCCATTTTGTCACATTAGAAAAACCTAAAAATTGACCACTCTGTACAACTGTATGAAGATTGAAAGCTGATTATTAGTTCTTGTGTACTGGGACAGATTAAGTATGTAGAGGACACATGCCAGAACTTTCACAAAGCCTTGATATTATTTCAGAAAACTGCCAAATGTATTTCTTTAAAAACTAAATGCATGTGATTATTTAGTAATATAGTCTGCATGTTAACTAAAGTAAAGGATATGCTGTCTAACTTATGAAATATTCACTTACATGCTAATTTAATTGAAAAAGCTCAAAATTTGACCTTATGAATTGCATTTAAGAGATAATTTTGTTGCCAGGCATGGTGGCTTACGCCTGTAATCCCAGCATTTTGGGAGGCCGAGGCGGGTGGATCACCTGAGGTCAGGAGTTGGAGACCAGCCTGGTCAACATGACAAAACCCGTCTCTACTAAAAATACAAAAATTAGCCGAGCATGGTGGTGGGAACGTGTAATCCCAGCTACTTGGGAGGCTGAGGCAGAAGAATCGCTTGAACCTGGGAGGCAAAAGTTGCAGTGAGCTGAGATGTGCCATTGCACTCCAGCCTGAGCAACAAGAATGAAACTGTCCAAAAAACAAACAAACAAAAAAAGGTAATTTAGGATCACCTCTAGTACTTTTAATCAGACTCAACTGCCTACCTCAAAACATCAACAGCATTCTTACCACTGTAAGAGAAACATGATGGTGCTGATGGTGGTGATGGTAGCAGTAGAAATGGGAGAAGAATATTTTAATTAATTATTTAAAAATTAAAATGCAATTGTTTAATATAACAGTACAGGATTTAAAAATGTCTGCAGATATAAAAACTTCAAGCAGCTCAGCCACTAAAACAATTACCAAAATATAAACATTTCAAAGGTTGACATTCTTATAAATATAAGATGATTTTCAAATTGATATGCAACATGTATTTCTCACACAATACACAGGCTAAGTATTTATAGTACCTTTTTTGCTCTTTATCAAAACATTTGCTCAAAGACTAACACTTTCCGAAATGCAGATTAATCATCATTATTACTTTAAATGACTTGCAAAAATAATATTTTTTATGTCTGCATTGTATTCTTCTCTTCACTACTAACAAATTGACAAGAGAGTTTACCAAACCGAGGTTATCTTACTACATGTACCCAAGAGATTTTTATTTATAATTCTGTTATTACTATTCAAGGAACTTAATAAAAATTGCCGTAGGATCAATACTACATTACTCTCCTAATTTTAGCTTGCACTATAAGCCTTCTGCACATATTATTCTCCTAATTTTAGCTTGCACTATAGCCTTCACAAACTTCATGAGACAATAGATCACTTTATAGTTAAAATATTGAATATATGAATTATCAGGAAGTGTTTTTGTTTGTTTTACCCTTACTTTACTCAAGGTCATACATCTAAAGTTTTTAGGATACTCTATGAATTAGCATATCCTAAAATCTTATTCTATTTAATTAAAGACCTGGGTTTATAAATAAGGTTAAGTTTAGATCAGGCCAGTGTGTCTTGAATTCATTGCCACCTTCGATATCAGCTCTAACTTTCCTACTTTAAACATTGCACATCTTGCACATGCATTATCACAATGATTTCCCAAATGGCTCCCTTGTCCTTCTCTACTAAAAATATCTCCTCTAAAAAATCTTTCTAAAAAGCCGATGAGATCATCTGATTATGTCCCCTCTCTGCATCTGATTTTGCCACTCCTTTTGGTGCCTGTAAAACATGGACACTTCTTTATTATTCTTTGCTTTCTTTATAATCTCCACGATCTGGACCTTATCTACTTCTGCTTTTCTAAATATCTATCTTCTCACCTCTCCTGCTACATCCCTGACATAGCACATTTCTGGCAGTTTCTTAAGATGTACAAGTGTGTCACATCTTTTATATTTGTTGATCCCTGTGCCTAGGGCACTTTTATTTGTCTGGTAATATTTTGATTACGCACTGATGCCCAGTTTAACTGTCTCCTCCACTGATTTGCTGCACCTTCTTTGAGTCATCTTTGCAAACATGTGCCTCTCTATAGTAGCATTACTATATTATAATTATCTCTTAACATGTCTAGTGCCTCCACTAGTCTGTGTTTCCTTAAGGATTGAAGAGTGGTGCATTTATTTCTGTGCCATGACTGCATAGACATGCAACCTGGCATACAGTAGGTGCTTTTTTAAAGTTTGGTGAATAAATGAATATTGCTGGAACAGCATTTAGTTCTGATGGCTGGCTCACTCATGGCCATCACATTTGTAGACATCACATTTACTTTGAGCCTGAATAAGAAGAAATCTGAATTAAAACTGCATTTTCTGGCATGATTCAAAGAGGACATATAATAGTCCAGAAAAGTTTTTAATGAATGAATATTCACAGTAAGAGCTCTGCTTCCAAAATGCAAAAAAGAGAAGAAATAACAATAAAAGCTCAGTATACTAAAATTTGATAATGTACAGTTTGTGTTATTCAGCTGATATTTATGATTTTAGGCTTCTGTTCAGATTTAATTTCATGTTTTCTGGCAAAAATATTCATTAAAGACATCTGTGCTCTTCAAATGCAAGTACTATTTGTATTTTTAGCTTGGCATTGGTATCTGTATGAAATAGAGGATTTGTGTAATATATCTGAATTAGTCTATTAAAATAAAAAGTGTATGTGATCTGTGGGTGTGGCTTGTAGGTTGGGAGGATTTACTGGTACTGCAATGTCAGATGTATGTGAAAACTTTTGTTATTGAGGAAATTAAATTGTACCTATGCTATATTTTTAATGTAAGTGTTAAATTATACATCATTTTCACAACTAGTTTAGTGTCTATGGTTTAATTAATGTCTTCAATATTTATTTCAGAGTTTTTATCACTAACCATGCTAGAGGTTAAGGTAAATTGTTTTTAGGTTTGCTGGATGAAGTTTTTGCGCTGGCAGTTACCATATCCTCAAGAGGAGTGGGAGCCGTATGCTTATGATGATGGTTTTTATCAGGTACATTTCTGTTGTTTTTCACTTCACAGAAAGCTTTTGTTTGCAGTAGTACAAAAGGCTTCTTCAATGTTTTTTATTCCTTTTTGTTTTTAATATCAGTGGAGTGCTTATGTTCCTGTTTTCTTATGAGTCATTAAAATAGGAAGGGTTTTTAAAGTCACACTTTCCTATGTCCACAGATAATGAAAAAGATTTAAAGTTTGAAGCTGATAATACGTGAACAGATTTATTATAAAAGGCCATATTATGCTGCTGATATTTCCCATTCTCTGTGTGTGTGTTTTCTCCCTTAAAAATGTGACAATAGAAAACACTTACCATTGGAATAATAAAAATCATCTGTCTGTGAATATTTAAAACTATGTAGAAACACAAGGTAATAATTGGGAATCATTTCTACAGATGTTGCAATGAAATCAATTGGTGACTTTATCTTTAAAATTGGACTTCATGTGCCCTTATACTTACCGACTAGATTGCTTATTATGTATTCACTGGATCTGTTCTGTTTCTGAAAATAAAATAAATAAGAAATGCACTTCCTCTAAGGAAGACAGGACGAGCCAGTTTATACTTTAGCCTTATGTTTTCTAACCTTAGGAGCATCTGCCCCTGACAGTAGGTGCTTGGCAGTTTCATGGGACTTAGGAGGAGTGTGCTGCAGAAGAAGGATGACTGCATTGTGTCAGGGCCAGTGGGTGCCACGCTCATCCTGGAAGCCATCTAGCAGACCTCATGTGGCAAATGATGATAGGGGAAAATATCTCCCACACTATAAGCCTTCTGTTCTTTTAATCCACATGCACAAAAAGAGAAAGAAAGAAATGTGTATACATGTTTTCTTTTATTCTTATTTCAGAGCAGGAGTTTGAGCTTCAGAAAAGTTGGTTGCATTATCCCTGTTAGGATGAGAAAAACTATTTGAAAGGGTGATCAAACAAATTGGAGAAGAAGAAAGACATGCAAGGAAGCCAGATAAAAGAGAGTCTCTGAGCACCAGGTAGAACTTATCTTGCTGAGAAAATGAGACCGGATTTTCTTGTTTTGTTTGTGTTCTCCATCTCTAGGACTATGAATCCTTAAAAAAAAAACCTCTTTTGCCCTTGAGAGCTAATGTTTCTGTTTAACATGAGCTGCTTTAGCTATTTCTTATTGTTCCGAATGTACAATTTTAACACCTTTTTATTTAAAAATGCTGCCTAAAAATCCTATTAATTACAATTATTTATTTAAGAGTTCATCTTACTGTTAAAAAGATAAATAAATGCTGATAGAAAAAATAGCAGAAGATGGGTGTTTGCATCCTAAGACTGAGTAGGCTATACAAATGTTAAAATTCAATTATGTATTGACTATCATTTTCTTTTTAAGATTTGGCATTACAGCTCTTATGTAAACATTTTTGAAATTTGTTAATTAAGCCAGCACAGTCAACATGGTCTTCTAGTACCTATTGTTAGTGAGTTCATATTATTGAAAAAGCACACATGTAGATTTAAAATATGTAACCACATAAAAATTTAAAATATGATTTTATAAAAATTTTTGAAGGAGTGAAGAAAGTCCACAGAGCTCTGTACTAACAGGGCTACATTAATGAAGATTCACCTCTAGTTTCAAAGATATGGCTATGTAAAAATGTTAGTAGTTCTGATAGGGAAACAGAGATTGCATAAATTAAAGAATAAAGTTTTCGGCCGGGCGCGGTGGCTCACGCCTGTAATCTCAGCACTTTGGGAGGCGGAGGCAGGCGGATCACGAGGTCAGGAGATGGAGACTATCCTGGCTAACACGGTGAAACCCCGTCTCTACTAAAAATACAAAAAATTAGCCGGGCGTGGTGGCGGGCGCCTGTAGTCCCAGCTACTCCGGAGACTGAGGCAGGAGAATGGTGTGAACCCGAGAGGCGGAGCTTGCCGTGAGCCGAGATTGCGCCACTGCACTCCAGCCTGGGCGACAGAGCGAGACTCTCCTCTCAAAAAAAAAAAAAAAAAAAATACAATTTTCATAAAAGTAACAATTGTCTATTAAGTTTCTAGCAAAGGATTAATATTATTTAGATTAACTACATGGAAACTATTTGACAACCACAGCAGCAGCAACAAGCATTTATTGTTGCTTCCTATTTGCCAAGCTCTCTATTAAATACAAGTTACCACATTTAAATCTCTCACTAACATATGAAATAAAAACCAAGTTTATCCCCACTTTAATTTTTAGAAAAATCGAAGAGAGAAAGGTTGAGTCACTTGTCCAACATGTGGTGGCAGAGTCCCTAATGGAGGCCGACTGAATTTAAAACCTATGTTCTAATCCATACTCTGAAGTGTGTTAATGAGGTTAAGTAAAGTATAAGTCTTAGATCCCTTGTGATAATAACCTCAAAATACACAACAATAAATGATTAAGTACAGATCTTTATATGACAGGTTATGCAGTGGAATTATATGGAAGAAGGAGGTCAGTGAACACTAGACTGACCAGTAAAAGCTTTTCTGGTAGGTATTTTGAGCTGACCATTGAAGAAGGGACAACATTTCATTATTGTTTGTACAGGTAATGGGGATGGTGGAGAAAGAATTCTCATTTAGGAAAATACATGAAACATAGCAGGGAACATAATGTACTCATAAGACAGAATTTGAATAAAGAGTATCCTTTTGCAGAATTTAATTCAATTCAAAATTGCTTTTTATGTCCCCTCACCTTCTTCATAGCACAACCCAAGAAGATATTTTGGCAAAAAATCACAGTATTGTGAAGTAAATTGCGGTAGAAACAAAATAAAGAAAGGAGCTATTTGGAGTTTATTATTGAAAATGACTCATTCAACTCTGTATGATTTTGTTTTCTTATTCTCCAGTGATTGGCTGCATGGCTTGAATAGCTCTGCACATTCAAAGAATAAAAAATCTTTAGACCTGGGAAATAATGACAAAATGCAGTGGGCACTAGGACAAAGATGTGTGCATTTTCAATGAGAATTTTTCCATAATGCAAAATGTTATTTTCTGGAGTGACCACTCCAAATAAGGTACAATATACTGTCCACTTCAGTTGCTTCTTCAGAGGTAAAGAAAGTAATATTAGGCAGTGTAATGAAACAGGAGAATCAATTCAGTGTAGAAGAGTTCTACTCAAGGTGAGATTAAAAACCTCAGGTTCATCTTTAGACGTTAACTTTTTATTATACCACATATATCCCTAAATAGATGTATGCCTCCTTTTTGACAAATACGAAACCAAATTTTTTCAAGTTGTTTTTAAGTCAGTGAAGTCGAATACAAAAAAAAATTACCTAGATAATTTCAGATTAAATAGCATATCCTATATCAATGCAGTCTATGGATGCTAAGAAATAATATGGATGTAGACATAAGGTTGGCAATCTTTAATTTTTTTCAAGGAAGGATATATAATAAAAGCAAAATACTGCCACTATATCTTCTCATTTTTTTTAGCATGCAGAATATTTAAATGTAAAGTAGAAAGTACACAATCTTACAATAAAGGATTGTCATGAAATTGAATGAATTAAATCAAATATACTTGCTACATTTTTCTTATTTTTATTATACTCTGATGGACAAGCAAAATGTTATCAGTGACTAGCTCTGGTTTGTGGATGGGACTGGAATCACCTCATTCAGATTAATAATTTAAAATCGTGTTACAGCCTGAGTGATCAGGAAATATCTATTATGCTACTCTCAGTAGGATACAATATGGAAATAGCTTTGTTTGTTTCCTCTATATACTTCAAACCCATTTTCCAAAATTTCTCTTCCCTATTATTTCTCAACATCTTAAGCATGTTCCCAAAGTTTTCTGTTTATTTTTGTCTATTAGAACAGTTTTATTTCAGTTATTATAAAGTGCTAATAAATTTGAATCAAAATATTAACCTCTCATTCAATTCAAACTTACCACGCTTAGCAACTCAGGCCACCGTTAGAATTTTCATAACAGCAGTGGGAGAGGGACCATGATCTGTTCTTTTTGTTCTTATTATTCTTTTTTTTTTTTTTTTTTTTTTTTGAGACGGAGTCTCGCTCTGTCGCCCAGGCCGGACTGTGGACTGCAGTGGCGCAATCTCGGCTCACTGCAAGCTCCGCTTCCCGGGTTCACGCCATTCTCCTGCCTCAGCCTCCCGAGTAGCTGGGACTACAGGCGCCCGCCACCGCGCCCGGCTAATTTTTTGTACTTTTAGTAGAGACGGGGTTTCACCTTGTTAGCCAGGATGGTCTCGATCTCCTGACCTCATGATCCACCCGCCTTGGCCTCCCAAAGTGCTGGGATTACAGGCGTGAGCCACCGCGCCCGGCCTGTTCTTATTATTCTTACTTCCCCATTTGCTCTGCTGTTTCTGGCACCTCCAGAAAGGGATCGGGGTAGAGTCACCTAGAGTCAGGGTGAATTAAATTCCTCTTTGTTTGGAGCTGATGTAATTTGGCACTGTATGTTATATGACCAAATTTTGTCTATCTCTTGCATGAAACTCTTTTGCTTATTTTTTGAAATGCTTTCTTTGAGGGCTGCTGCACTGAACTTATTACCTGTTGTAAGTAATGCTCTATTTAAATAACTTCTCATATGGCCTCCTATATTCCTAACCACTAGCACTTCAGCATTTCTATTAGAACAGGGGTCCCCAACCCTGAGGCCCCAGACCTGTACCTGCTCATTGCCTGTAGGGAACCAGGCTGCACAATAGGAGGTGGGTGGTGGGCTGAGTTCTGCCTCTGGTCAGATCAGCCATGGCATTAAATTATCTTTTTTTTTTTTTTTTTTTTTTTTTTGAGACGGAGTCTGGCATTAAATTATCTTAAGAGCATGAACCTTATTGTGAACCACGCATGTGAGGATCCAGGTTGTGTACTCATGAGAATCTAACTAATGCCTGATGATATGAAGTGGTGCAGTTTTATCCACAAATCATTCCCCTTCTGCCCCGCATCTGTGGAAAAATTATCTCCCACTAAACCAGTCCCTGGTTCCAAAATAGTTTGGGACTGCTGAACTAAAATAGCTGCAGCTGGAAGGCAGATATCCTGGGACAAATCTCTTTAAAGTAAATCCAAATGTCAGAAAGCATAAAGCCATTGGGATTCCTGCAATGTTGTTCCAACAAACTGGAGGCACAGACCACACTCATTATTCTCCCCTTTCCTTGTCCTAATCCATTAGCAGCTACAAACAACTGCTCTACTTGAGAATTCAGGGGACGGTCAAGTCCAAATCATTATGTCCTACTATAACTCCAGAGCACTATGTCAAATTTTGCAAATATTCTTCCATAGTGCTCAGTGATAATATTATAGTAAAGCCATATCTGTTTTACAGATTAGCAACTATCCATCTAGAAACAAATTTTTGGTCTCCTGTCTGGAAACGAATCCTATTTCAAAATCACTGTTATAGTCTCTCCAAGGAATTCACTTGCTGCTCATTTTACTTGGCTGAAAGTGGATAAGGGAATATGCCTCAGTTCTCTCTACTCTTGCAAATTGCCTTAAATGATTATTTTCTCTCCTAAGTGAATCTATGGCCTTTTATCTAGCCTGCATATGGATGTCGGGACTGTTTTGTGATACCACTTAGTAAAACTTGAAGGGGTATACTTTTATGTGTGGAAAATCATCCCCCATTTTATATGTCTACATCTAAGGGAAAAATCCCTTAGACGTAGAAAATGTCCTGTCAGAAATTCATTAGATTTGTTTTCACATTTTCTGAATAATTTATTTGAAGTATTGGGAAAAACACTGATCTAGACAAACCAGAGTTGTAGACTTCAGATATTACTTTTTTAAAGTTAAGGTTAATTGTAAAGTTTATATTTATAGAAATTGTAGTAAATGGCTCAGCTCTTCTTGATTTGAGAATGGGCATACATAAGAACATTATTCTTCTGTCTTCTATTTGGAAACATTTATTTACAAAGCCATTGCTGGGGAGAAATGGTTCCATGCAGTGTCATCTTGAAGCTGAGTTTTAAAATTTGGTGTGTGCTTCCCCATACATATTTTGAAAGCACTGTTATTCAATTCTAACTAAGATGATGAGAGTATTTTATTTTATTTATTTATTTATTTTTAAATTATACTTTAAGTTCTAGGGTACATGTGCACAACACGCAGGTTTGTTACATGTGTATACATGTGCCGTGTTGGTTTGCTGCACCCATTAACTTGTCATTTACATTCTGAAGGAAGCACTAAACATGGAAAGGAAAAACCGGTAACAGCCACTGCAAAAACATGCCAAATTGTAAAGACCATTGATGCTAGGAAGAAACTGCATGAACTAATGGGCAAAATAAACAGCTAACATCATAATGACACGATCAAATTCACACATAACAATATTAACCTTAAATGTAAATGGGCAAAATGCTCCAGTTAAAAGACACAGACTGGCAAATTGAATAAAGAGTCAAGACCCATCAGTGTGCTGTATTCAGGAGACCCATCTCACATGCGGAGACACACATAGGCTCAAAATAAAGGGATGGAGGAAAATCTACCAAGTAAATGGAAAGCAAAAAAAAAAAGCAGGGGTTGCAATCCTAGTCTCTGATTAAGCAGACTTTAAACCAATAAAGATCAAAAGAGACAAAGAAGGCTATTACACAATGGTAAAGGGATCAATTCAACAAGAAGAGCTAACTATCCTAAATATATATGCACCCAATACAGGAGCACCCAGATTCATAAAGCAAGTCCTGAGATACCTATACAGAGACTTAGACTCCCACACAATAATAATGGGAGACTTTAACACCCCACTGTCAATATTAGACAGATCAACGAGACAGAAGGTTAACAAGGATATCCAGGACTTGAACTCAGTTCTGCACCAAGCAGACCTAATAGACATCTACAGAACTCTCCACCCCAAATCAACAGAATATACATTCTTCTCAGCACCACATCACACTTATTCCAAAATTGACCACATAATTGGAAGTAAAGCACTCAGCAAATGTAAAAGAACAGAAATCACAACAAACTCTCTCTCAGACCACAATGCAATCAAATTTGAACTCAGGTTGAGAGTATTTTAAAGATATTTGGATAGACAGTTTGATGTCTCTCAAAGTGAATAAGGCATTCTTTTATTTTTTCCTGTTTAAATCCTTTTTCCACTTTCTACAGTTTATTTTTTCCTCTTTAAATACTTTCTTCACTTCCTACAGGTGCTCCTATATGCTTTATTTTACTGTCCCAAAACTTCCACCTCTCCAAATCTACTTTTTGTATCTTCAGCTCATTTAAGTTCTATCCTTTTATCTTGGAAACCTTTTTATGTTTAGCCCATTCAAAATAAATTTTAAAAATGGTTTATTTTTAAATTGTCTAATGAATGTGAGTTCTTGAGGGATGTAGATCTTGAACTAGGAGTGAACTTGGTGCACAGTACTAATTTCTTGAATGCATAAAAGATCTCCAACAAATAATTAGAGCAAATAATAAGTGAGGATAATTTGCATATAAGTTAATTGAGAAAGTAAATTAGAAATTTAGAGAAAGATGCTAAGTTCTTTTAGTTTCTGATAAACTGGTATTTAAAGACTTAGTTGTACAATAATCATTACTGAATATAGTGGAATGATTTAGATGAGTCAAATTATTGCAAGATCAGATGTAAATATAAACAAAATCAATTTAACAAGTGTACCTTTAAAATATGGATATAATTTCATGTTTATTATATAGACCTTTTATAAAATATATGAATTACAAGTTAGTAGTAGTATTTTTTGTCCAAGAATTAAGCAAAGTATATCAATGGAATTTAATTATCCATATTATATGAATAATATAATTCCTTTGCTTCTACTTCTTTTGATTATTTTATTTAGGACTAGTGTACTACAAATAATAAAATACTAATTTAAATTCTAATTTTCAGTTGGAATTTGGGGGGCTTATGTAACTGCAGAGTTCATAATATTCAATCTAGCTAGCTTCCGTCAATCTGGATTCAGGATCTCAAATAACAATATCCAAACATGATCTCTTCATTTTGTAGCTCTACTTTTCTTTTATTCTCCTTCTGTTTGAGATAGTTGACTTCATACAGTGTCTGATATTGTCATCAAAAGTTTTGTTTTAGCATTCCACTGCCTAACAACTTACAGAAAGTAAGTGGCATATTGAATAATATTAGCATAATTCTTGAGTTTGACTTTTATTGGGATGACTTGGGTTACATTTCCATCCCTGGGATAATTGTTTCAGCCCAAAGAATGGAAGATACTGACTGGTCAGGCCAGAGTTCTGTGTCTACTACAAGGTGGGGAATGTGTTGAGAGGTTTGGGGAAGTCAGCACTGTCCCTGCCAAACCTACATGAAATAAGTATGGGGAAAGGATGGTTTCTTCCCCCCAAGAAAAGACAATTATCAAATAGTAAAATGGATAATCATAAACAATAAATGAGCAACTCAAATATTAATCTATCTAATCTATCCAGTATAGATTAAGTAATAAAACCCAGATAAAGTTATTTGGCTAAGATCATTAGATGGCTCACTAGAATTAGTGATAGCTAGTAATGCCATTTTTGTGATAGCACTGGGATCAGGGGATATGGGTCTTTGGCATATTCTGTGATTGTTTCTTTAAATATGCATAGTGTCCCATCTTTGAAAGAACTTTGAATGGTACAAATTTAAACCATTACAATAATGAGCAAATATATGAGGAGAAACCAGAAATGTACACAAATCAGAATGTTCTACATAATGTACCTGAGCCCACTCTCCTCCTTTGGAAATCCTAGAACTCTCTAAAGCTAAGGTTTAGAGGGTACAAGTTGACTTAATCCAAGGAAACTATACCTTTGACTCTCTAGAATATTCCACATAGTTGATAATGTTTGTACTTGGACCATATCGATAAGAAATAAAATTAAGTTATTGCCATCTTATTTTATTTTATATTTATACTTCCCAGAAATTTAAAGACTTCTTAATAGTTTTCTATAAAGTATTCTACTATTTTTTCTTATTGCTATTACAGAAAATGATACTTTGGAAACTAGTTTTGTTTATGAATATTTTGGAGGAAATCTGTGATACGAAACGTATGAATAACTGTCATAAACATGAAGTAGCTGTTATATCAAAGTCAGCAATTTTCCTGCATATGTTCTATTTCCTTAATTATTTCATGAGCAAAAGATGATGATGTCATAGACTTTATTGGTCATCACAGAGGTCAGCTGGTATTTCTGATTGCTTTATGACAAATGAAATTGCATACAGAAAACTGAAGCTCTCATATAGAAATTTAATTCACATTGCAATTAGGTATTTCAGTCTCTCTGCTGGGTGAAGAGAAGTGCAGTGTTTACAGTTTCTGCATCCTTGTATCTATTTTCTTATATAAGACATTGTGTAAGAAAATGCATTTTCTTAGCAAAAAGAGAGCATGATATTCTATTCTATTTAATTCACAAGCCCTTTTGTTCAGAGGAATATTGTGATTGATGTCGCACTGCTGTACTTTTTTCCCTAAAGCCATCACTGTTTCTATTGCTCTGAGTTTGTGCAATGCAGGCAATTCTGTTGTCTTTCTCCCTTTTCATACTTTTGGATTTCATCGTACAGAGATTGTCAAGAAACTCCAAATAATTTCTCATTCAGCAAACTCTAGAATTCTCAAAAGTGAATTGTTATCTGTCTTCCTATATACAGGCTAGATTTACTTCTCATCAGAGTAAACACTTTATCAGCATACTCTTTTTAAAAAGCTTGTGTTTACACATAAGGTATCACTCTAAGTGATATATTCCTGGGCTTTATACCCCCTTATGCTAAATGTATCCGGGGTTAGAAAAGGGAAGTCTGTTTTACAGGGTTGAGTATACATTCTAAATAGTAACTATCCCTTGCTTTTTATTATTTCTCTTCTTACCTCGAAGCTTGCAGGATGAGTGCTGTTCATGCCTGCCTGGTTAGGGAATTCTAAATGTGTTTTAAGAGTTCCAGGAACCCTCATGCTGAGCATTTCATGAAATGCATACCACGAAATCACAGAAAGTGTGTACATTTCCTACTGTCAAGACTGATGATGTAGAATGCTAATCAGGACAAGGGGAGTCTAGCCCTGCTCCCTTTCCCTAACAACAGCAAAACAAAAATAAATTTTACCTGCTAGAAGCAGCTTATATCTTCATGGCTGAGGTTGTGTATTATATAGGGATTATACTGAAACTATGTTTCAGTAAGTTATGATAGTTCAGTGCATGTGAACTGTAAGGTGGAATGTATGTTCTAGTAGCATATGATCTGAATATACGCACGATGCTTTTTTGTTTGTTTGTTTGTTTGTTTAAGACAGAGTCTTGCTCTGTCGCCCAGGCTGGAGTGCAGTGGTGCGATCTCACTAACTTCAACCTCTGCCTCCTGGATTCAAGCAATTCTTGTGCCCTAGCCTCCTGAGTAGCTGGGATTACAGGCACACGCCACCACGCCTGGCTATTTTTTTTTTTTAATTTTCAGCAGAGATGGTGTTTTGCCATGTTGGCAAGGCTGGTCTCAAACTCCTGACCTCAAGTGATCTGCCCACCTTGGCCTCCCCAAGTGTTGGGATTACAGGCGTGAGACACTGCTCCTGGCTATACAATGATTTTAATTATGTGCATGCCTCAAAGAGATAAAAACATTGAATGAACTTTTGACAGTATGTCATCCAGTAACTTAAGTTAGCCTCCAAAATTTGACAGTGTGTCATCCAGTAATTTCTAAAATTTCCTGTTGCAACAAATTAACCTTACCTGTAGTTGGATAAATTCTATTTATTTTTAAGGAGTAGTGGAGTCAAGGTTCTTTTACTTAAAAGAGGGGAGAAAGAGAGAATGCAGGGTAGGGGGAGGACAGAGAGAAATAACAATGATTGGTATCTTGCTACTTTCTAAATACCTCCCTGATGACTATTTTGAGAACCAGTCGGGAAATAAGCTCATGTTGCACAAGATGTGATGTTCTCATGACCCTAACAGAGGCTCACCAGCGGTATTCCAGGATAGGAGCCACCTTCAGATAATGATGTAGTTGTTCAGGAATATCATCCTAAATACAATTCTGCAGCAAGTTCTCTCCCTTGGGGTGAAGAGAGACCCTCTAGTGGCAAAACTTATGCTGTTCCAAGATGCTAGAGTAGCAATAAATAAAACATATATATACAAAAGTGTTCAGATTGACCTTATGTATCTTACAGTATGAAAAAGAACTGGACTGGCATATTTATATTGATTTATATTTATATTGATTGTTATACCTCAGCCCTACTAGAACTAGTCTCAGAAATAATATTTAATAATGAACCTAGAATTTGTTTCCCTGTTAATTTTTTTATTTTATTTATTTAGAAATTTAAGGAGAAAGAGCCATTCTGACTTCTTTTCCAGGAATTGAGGGACCACAAGATTGGAATGTTAGAAGTCAGTTAGAATTTTACTCAAACAGGGGTGTGTGTGTGTGTGTGTGTGTGTGTGTGTCTGTGTGTGTGTGTTTGTGTGTGTGTGTGTATGTTTCCTTTACTCCTTTTTTTTTTTTTTTTTTGAGATAGAATCTCGCTTAGTCTCCCAGGCTAGAGTGCAGTGATGCGATCTTGGCTCACTGCAACCTCCTCCTCCCAGGTTCAAGTGATACTCCTGCTTCAGCCTCCTGAGTAGCTAGGACTGCAGATTGCGCCATCAAGCCTAGCTAATTTTTTGTGCATGTAGTAGAGATGGTGTTTCACCATGTTGTCCAGGCTGGTCTCCGGCTCATGACCTCAAGCGATCCACCTAGCTTGGCCTCTCCCAAAGTGCTGGGATTATAGTCATGAGCCACCGGTGTGTGTGTGTTTTCTATTATTTGATAAGCAGTACATGAAAGCTAACATAACATCAAGCCTCTGAGCATCCAAAGATGAACTTGTGCCCTGGTCTCTGGGTTCATCTGCCCTTGGTTGAATTTTCTAGGGACCATGACCAAGTATAAGGAAGCAGCAATGGTGGAAATCTCTGAGAAACCTTCCTTCTAGTCTGCATGGTGACAGTTTATTTTTCCAAGGAATATGGTTAAATTTGCTCTTTTCTTGAGTTCCTTAAGAAGATCTGTGTTTATGGAAGGGAGAGGGGCTGTCAGAGAGGCAGATAAAGAAGAAGTAGCTAGAAATAAAATTATGTGTTAATAATCTTACTATTATATATCCTTGTTGAACATTAGGCCTTCATTAACTTGTCCCTGTGAGCCAAATACTAGTCAAGTTCTCTCTAACTCTGACCAAGCAGCTCCCTCAGGTGAAATATGTCCTCATCCTATACCTGCCTGCATATAGTATTATAGATTGTTTTCCAGTTCCATAGTTGCTGCTTTATGACTTGGAATGTGATATTTGACATCATGGTAGGTATTCTTATTTGAATAAGAAACCAGAAGAGGGCAATGTTAACCTTATATTTTTAAATCAGGGAAAGTTTTGTTTTTATTTGAACACATGCTTCTCGTTAGATACTTTGTTTTGCTGCATGGTTAGAACATTTTGTATTATATGGATCTCAATTGGTGTTTAGCATTTTTTAAAGTTTCCAAATCTTAGTTAAAAATAATTTTATTAGCTGTTAAATAATAAAAGTGTAGTACTAAAATTCTTGTATTTATTGTGGAATATCCTATGAAGATATTTTTTGTTTTTAATGTGAATGCTTGCTTTTTATTAAGCAGCATATTGATCAAGGGAAAAACTACATTGATTTAAAGTTTAAAAGAGCTAAGATAAGTATAGCAAGCTATAATAAGCTATAATATATTTAAGATGCATCTCATTAATGAAAAGGTTAGCATTAATATAATATGTTTCTCACCCATGAAAATGTGGAGATATGTGAATTTGGAGAAAAGAACGTCAGTTTTCACTTATAAGTTTGTCTTATGTATGATTAGCTCAATTATATGAAAATCTAATTTGGTGCTGATAACCTTCCATGCATTTACTCTTTCCTAAGTTTACTGTACTGATTTTATTGCTCTTATGATAGGATTTTAAAATATAATTACTTACGTTCTATTTAAAAAGAAAAAAGCCATGAAGGAGAACTTCTTTTTCGTTGTTTGGCCAGTACTTCTTGAGTCTGTCTTCTTCCATGTTTGCTAGCAAAGCATTCATTTTGTCATGAGGCTCTAATTACATGCTATTTATTTTAAACATGTCTCACCTAAGGTCTCCCATGCAGAATGGGAGTAATAATACTACTTATTTTAAAGGCTACTTGCTTTTGGAAGTGTAAGTATAATGCAGTGTGAGTTTCTCCACCATATCTGCACTTCCATGAGCTTCCCTTGTAGCTCAGCTCACAGGCACCTTCAACAGAAGGAAGTCCTGAGTTCCTGCCTCATCAAATTATCAAGGACATATGCCAAAATTCCCCAAAAGAGTTGTCCTAACAGAGTTTGTCAGGCAGTGGCCAGGGAGAGAAGGAAAGGTATTTAAACATTACAATGGATAATATTTTAGCAGATTTTACCCAGGTTAATTTGGGATAACGTTTTGGTCAATAAACAGAGTTCTTACAGGCTTCATTTATAAAATATTCCCTTTTGGCCAGGTGCGGTGGCTCACACCTGTAATCCCAGCACTTTGGGAGGCCGAGGCAGGCAGATCACGAGGTCAGGAGATCAAGACCATCCTGGCTAACATGGTGAAACCCTGTCTCTACTAAAAATACAAAAAATAGACCAGGCGTGGTGGCGGGCGCCTGTAGTCCCAGCTACTCGGGAAGCTGAGGCAGGAGAATGGCGTGAACCCGGGAGGCGGAGCTTGCAGTGAGCCGAGATCGCTCCACTGCACTCCAGCCTGGGTGACAGAGCGAGACTCCACCTCAAAAAAAAAAAAAAAAAAAAAAAAAAAATCCCTTTTTCCCGTATGGCTTAGGCTATATCTAACTTTTTGAAAGGGGTTTTTTCTCTTAAGAGGAATGTTCAGTGTAAGAATTTTATCTACACAGAAAAGGACATTAGGTCCCCCCTTCCCATTTTTTTAATTTCACAAAAGTATATTTTGGCTTGCAGTTAATGTGTTTGTTAAAGCAAAAAAAAGTACAGGGGCTAGTAAGAAAGACAGTCGTAAGAGGTGTGATAGCCCTTGTGTTGATTCTCAGGAAAGAGGTTGAAGAAAGGTGACCTGGCCTAGGCCTGTGACACAGCATCAGGCCCAAGGCAATGAATAGCATCCTCAGGCCCATCCTAGTACAGTACTCAAGTGGGCAACAGAAGCAAAAGCACCCCTTGCTGCTGTGAAAAACACATTGATGTATCAGGATACATTGCAGGAAATGTAACATATTAACTTACATTAATGATCCATAGAACTAAAGTGTGAAAGTTTATTGCTTTCATTGGTGTCTTCAATTATATTACTTTATTTTTCACCTACTTCAGATATGTATAATAATGTATTACAATTTTTTTCCTCTCTAATATGTGTTTAGTTGTTCATAATAAAGTTATTACTTTTAGTTAAACACTAAATATGTGTTTCATTGTTCATCATAAGTTATTATGAACAACGAAACACATAGAACTAAACATTCTGAATTATTTAGGGACTGAATAAGTCCCTAATCTATGGTCTCCAAACTTCTTCCTATAACTTGCTTCTCTTAACATCCAAAGTTAGCTCACATGTGAAATGGAATCCGTTTTTCTCTCTTGACACATACCACCCACAGGGATATCAAATCAAATAATCTTTATACCTAAAGGAGCATTCAGAATCTCCTTCCTTTCTTAATGTAACGGGTACCAATGGCCCCAGTTGCACTTCTAAATCTCCATTTACTACTGAGGCTATGCCAGCGCCACAGAATTAAACAAATTGTCACAATTATATATGTTTTTATTTTCAAACCTAAGGTTAACTGACAATAATTGATTTTCTTTGAGGCTATTTATCTCTTAAATCCAAGAAAATAGGTTAGATAGAATGCATTGAACAATTTGCTGAAAGTTTCCCTCAGCTTGAAACATGCACAGAAATGTTCTTATTGGAAGAGTTGCGCCACAAACACACAGTGTTCTCTCAGATTACCTGGATAATATTATTTTGAAATTGATTATCCCATACAACATCCTCCAAACTGTTCTTTATGATTTGCTATATCATGATTTTTCTTATTACTGTGTTCCATTTCCAAATTTATGATTCATTAAATATTGTTTAAATGTTTGTTGCTTTGACACTGTTAGGCAATCTATATCTTATAATCTATTTTTATATATAAAGTGTGTGTGCTATATTAAGCAGTTTCACTGTGACTAGTTACCAACTTATCTTGTGTGGTAAGACATAACACCCATGTGCACAAGTTTCACAAAGTGAGTTTATTACAGATAGCAGCGAGGGACAACAGAAGCCTAAGATTCACTGTGAGCTGGTCTCCTAGGGCTCAGGAAAGCTGCCCAGCTTGGAGATGGCGTCTTGATTGCATGTGCCCCACTTGCATCCTAGCTAAGGGACCCTGCAAATCACTCTGACTTATACAGCCCAGGGTTATGTGAATCATTGGGCAAAAGCATTGAAGGGCATTCTTTTCTAAGAAGGGACTGGAACAGAACCTGGGCTGTTCTGGCCAGCTACTCTCTTATCTCGCCATATTGCATTCCCAGTACATCCTGCAGTTACATTCTTGGGAGCTACAAGCAAGAAAGGGAAGAGAATTGAATTAGTCCAAGGCTACCTGGAGAACAGTCCAGCAATATTGACTTGCCTTTAAAATATAAATATATACTTTTTTCTTCCATGTTTATAAAAATTAATGCATGTACATTCTAAATAAGCAATACAGAAAGGTTTGACTGAAAAACGTTTATAATCTTATCAGCCAGAGATCTCCTTAATGTTTTGCTTTATGTATTTCTAGACATAATTCTGCACATTCATATTCATATCACACACACACACACACAATCATACTTTACCAAGGTGCATTTGAATTGTATATGCTGTATCAAAAATTATTATTTTCATTTAATAAATTATGGGCATTGTTCAATATCAATACTTACCCCTTTGCCTAGTATTTTATTATTTGATGATACACTAATTAAAACCTAATTTTACCATAATGACTTGAAAGGTGTCATAAATTTTGCATTTTATGTTCACATAAAATATTTTCATCTATATTTTCAAAGCTTGTTATATCTAGTCTATTATGTAATTAAAGCCCCAAATGTTTTCTCCTCATTGTACAAAATAAATTATGTGTTCAAAACTTTTAATTTTATGAATACTTCTGCATTCTGGAGTTCTTGACTTGGGAGATAAGCTTTATTATGTAATAGTATATCTGAAATGCACTCAAGAGATGCATGTGCTTTTTGTTCTTATATGCTTCAATATAAATCTATGTGGAATATGTGTTTCTGAAAGGAAAAGAAGATAAGTTGAAATTTTTAGATTAAGTTGTCTTCAAATCAGATCTTCATAGACAATTGTTTGTTTCTGCATTCCTCTATGTTACTTGTCTTATCTTTAATTTCTCCAGAATGTATATTGGTGATATTCCTTTTAATTCGTTTTTTTAGACAGTTTTGCTCTTGTTGCCCAAGCTGGGGTGCAATGGCTCACTGCAACCTCCACCTCCCAGGTTCAAGTGATTCTCCTGCCTTAGCCTCCTGAGTAGCTGGAATTACAGGTGCCTGCCACCATGCCAGGCTAATTTTTGTATTTTTAGTAGAGACGGGGTCTCACCATGTTGGCCAGGCTAGTCTGGAACTCCTGACCTCAGGTGATCTGCCTGCCTTGGCCTCCCAAAGTGCTAGGATTACAGGTGTGAGCCACCATGCCTGGCCTATTTCTTTTAATTCTTAGCCCATAACAAACTATATGCTTACAATTTCTACATTCTAAATTTTATTCCAGAAAATGTATTATTACATTATATTTTCCTTTTTATCATTTTCCCATTTGTTTTGTAAGGAACATTAAATACATGTGAACAATAAAGTACATTTTGAGATTCTTTTATTTTTATTTTGTTTTTATTCTTCTGTTCAGGTATGTTTAATCAATTTTTATTTTTTTGTTTCAAAAATGACCCTTGCAATTTGTAACAATTTCCTCTATTTAACTTTTCTTAAGCTCTTCCTCACTCACCTTAATTGTTTTTCAATGCTATTTAATGACTTTTGCAATTTTTAAAATCTCTACTCTGAGATTTTTTTCTCATTTAGGCAAAGATTGTATTGCCTAAGATGTTCTAAAACTAAAAAGAACTCTATATTTTCCTGTCTTTCTTCTTGTAATATGTATTTTTCTTCTAACTTTTCTTCCTTTATCTTTATATTCAGAACCAGTTTTTATTTATTTTTGTAAAATTATTTCTAAATTTTACTCAACTTCAAAGAAAGGCTGACTTTCAAGTCTATTTATAATAAATTAATGTGTATTTGACTTAAACAAATAGATAAGCGGCCAACATTTAATAAGTGATTTTAAAATTGGACAACAGAGAAGACAGGACTGGTATCTTTAGAGTAGGGAAACAGACATGATAAACTACAGGTTCACCCAAGCTTTCTGTCTTTGGACATTCTCCAAAATACATCACACAATGAGTAAAGAAAAAACAGATTGATGTTTGAGGCTATTAAATTAAAATTTGAGAGGAAAAGTACATAAGAAAAGGCATGCCAAAGAATGAGAGAAGGAGAGAGAGCAGAGAAAGAGAGCCAGTAATATTCACAGGTTCATCCTTGAGTCTTTGGTCAGTTACTAAACTGCACATACACAGAGTAAGACTACAAGGTTTTGCAGAGATGAGGTCCATGGAGCCTATGAGCCAAATAAAAATTCCAGTGATAACACAGTGCTGTGGGACCTTAGAATCTGGCCATTGAGAGTGCAAAGATGCTTTTGAATACCCCTAGAGGTACTCAATAAAGCCTAAAAACAGATTTTAAGAGGATAAGTCTGTTTACCATATACTATTTTTTTTTTTTTTTTTTTGAGACAGAGTCTCGCTCACTTGCCCAGGCTGGAGTGCAGTGGCGCCGTCTCGGCTCACTGCAAGCTCTGCCTCCCGGGTTCACACAATTCTGCCTCAGCCACCCTAGTAGCTGGGACTACAGGTGCCCGCCACTACGCCTGGCTAATATTTTCCTATTTTTAGTAGAGACAGGGTTTCACCATTTTAGCCAAGATGGTCTCTATCTCCTGACCTCGTGATCCGCCTGTCTCGGCCTCCCAAAGTGCTGGGATTACAGGCGTGAGCCACCGTGCCCGGCCACCATATACTATTTTTTTAAACGAATAAAATTTGCCCCTCTTTAGAGAAAGCAGCAAAATCCAGAAACTCAACAATATAGTATTCACAGGGCCAACATGCAACAAAAAATACCAAATGGGTAAAGAAGCACAAACATATGAGTCATGACAAAAAAAAAACCAAAAAACAAATATGAATATATTCTGAGATAAGCCACATGCTGGATGATTAAACAAGAAGTTTAAAACTACTCTTATACATGAGTTTAAAAATACAAAACAAGATGAAAAGCTGTGAAACAGGTGAACAGATGCAATATCTCATTAAATATAATAGGAGTCTATGAGTCTATACTGATATAATTAATTAACTAATAAGTAATTACAAAGAAAGTCTCTTTCATAGAGTAGAAAAATAATGTATAAATGATAAAAATAGAGTAAGAACTTTTCAGGGTAGCATCCCCCATAATAATAATTGGTACAGGCAAACATAATCAATGGAAAATAAAATTAATGAGTGAAAATTGCAAGAGTACAGACTATTCACATGTTCTCAAAATGCCTCTCTATTAGATACTTATTTGTCAAAGGATTATACTAACTTTACAGTGGAGAAATCTTTCAGGTATCACCTAAATTGTGATTCACCCATAACATAAAATTAAATGAAGTTATTAAAAATGACTGTCCCTTTCTCTTTCTTTCTCTTTGTGTTTTTTTCTCTATATATATACATAAATATATATGCACATAAATACATATAGATCTCTTTATATATACACATAGATACATATGGGTGTCTATATATATGATATACATATTATCTCTCTTCTGTGTGTGTGTTTGTGTGTTTATGATATGATATGGGTTGGCTCTGTTTCCCCACCCAAATCTCATGTCAAATTGTAATCCTCATGTGTCAGAGGAGGGTCCTGGTGGGAGGTAGTTACATCATAAGACAGACTTCCCCCTTGCTGTTCTCATGATAGTGAGTGAGTTCTCATGAGATCTGGTTGTTTGAAAATGTGTGGCACTTGTCGCTTTGCTCTTTCTCTCTCCTGCTGCTATGTGAAGAAGGTGCCTTGCTTCCCTTTACCTTCTGTCGTGATTGTAAGTTTACTGAGGCCTCCCAGTCATGTTTCCTGTTAAGTCTGTGGAACTGAGAGTCAATTAAACCTCTTTTCTTTATAAATTACTCAGTCTCAAGTAGCTCTTTATAGCAGTGTCAGAACAGACTAATATAGAAAATTGGTACCAGAAGAATGGGGCACTGCTGTAAAGATACCTGAAAACGTGGAAGTGACTTTGGAACTGGGTAACAGACAGAGGTTGGAGTAGTTTGTAGGGCTCAGAAGAAGACAGTAAGATGTGGGAAAGGTGGGAACTTCCTAGAGACTTGTTGAATAGTTTTGACCAAAATTCTGATAGTGATATGACAGTAAAGTCCGGGCTGAGGTGGTTTCAGATGGAAATGAGGATCTTCTTGAGAACTGGAGCATAGGTCACTCTTGCTATGCTTTAGCAAAGAGACTGATGGCATTGTGCCCTTGCTCTAGGGATCTGTGGAACTTTGAACATGAGAGAGGTGATTTAGGGTATCTGGCAGAAGAAATTTCTAACCAGAAAAGCATTCAAGATTTAACCTGCCAGGTTCTCACAGCATACAGTCGTATGCATTCACAAAGAGATGGTCTGAAATTGGAATTTATGTTTAAGAGGGAAGCAGAGCATAACAATTTTGTAAATTTGCAGCCTGACTATGTGGTAGAAAATAAAATAACATTTTCTGTGGAGAAATTCAAGCTGGCTGGCTGCAAATATTTGAGTAAGTAAAGAGGAGCCAAGTGTTAATAGCTAAGACAATAAAGAAAATATCTCTTAAGTCATACCAGAGATCTTCACAGCAGCCCCTCCCATCACAGGCCTGGAGGCCTAGGAAGGAAAAATGGTTTCATGGGACAGGCTCAGGGTCCGACTACTCTGTGCAACCTTGGGACATGATGCTCTGTGTCCTAACCCCTCCAGCTTCAGCAATATCTAAAAAGGGTCAAGGTGTAGCTTGGGCCATTGCTTCAGAGCGTGCAAGCCCGAAGCCGTGGTGGCTTCTACAAGGTGTTCAGCCTGCACATGCACAGAAGACAAGAGTTGAGGTATGGAAACCTCTGCCTAGATTTCAGAGGATGTATGGAAATGAATGGATGTCAAGGCAGAAGTCTGCTGCAGGAGCAGAGCCCTCATAGAGAATTACTACTAGGCCAGTATAAGAGAAAAATAGGTTGTAGGAGCCCCCACACTGAGTCCCCACTGGGCACTACCTAGTGGAGCTGTGAGAAGAAGGCCACCATCCTCCAGACCCCAGAATGATAGATCCACTGATAGTTTGCACCATGCTTCTGGAGAAGCTGCAGGCCCTAAATGCCATCCTGTGAAAGCAGCTGCAAGGGCTGTATACTACAGAGCCACAGGGTTGGAGCTTCTCAAGGCTTTGGGAGCCCACTCCTTGCATCAGCATGCTCTGCATGTGAGACATGTAGTCAAAGAAGATTATTTTGGAGGTGTAGGATTTACTGACTGCTCTGCTGGGTTTTGTACTTGTATGGAGTCTGTAGCCCCTTGGTTTTGGCCAATTTATCCTTTTTGCAATGGGAGCATTTACCCAATGCCTATACCCACATTGTATCTTGGAAGTAACTCACTTGTTTATGATTTTACAGGCTTATATGTGGAAGGGACTTGTCTTGTCTCAAATGACACTTTGGATTTGGATTTTTGGGTTAATGCTGGAATGAGTTAAGACTTTGTGGGGACTGTTGGGAAGGCGTGGCTGTTTTGAACTTTGAGAAGGACATAAGATTTGGGAGGGGTTAGGGGTGGAATGAAATGCTTTGGTTCTGTGTCTCCACTCAAATCCAATCTTAAATTGTAATCCCCATATATCAAGGGAGGGGTCTAGTGAGAGGTGACTGAATCATGAGAGTGGACTTCCCCCACACTGTTCTCATAACAGTGAGTGACTTCTCATGAGATCTGGTGTTTGAATGTGTGTGACATCTCCAGCTTTGCGCTCTCTCTCTCCTGCCACCATGTTAAGAAGTCGCTTGCTTCCTCTTTGCCTTTCACCATGACTATGTTTCCCGAGGCCTTGCAGTCATGTTCCCAGTTAAGATTATGGAATGGACTAATATGATATATATCATGTACATCATATATTTTATATATATATATTATATGTATATAAATTAGGTAGAAAAGGGAAGAGAGAATATATATATATAGTCTCTGTATAGTATATATACAAAGCTACAGCATATATAAATACAATATATATGTATATATGCACATATTTATATACAAAGCTACAGTTTGCAATTGCGTAGTAATTTGTGTAATATAATTACCTACATATGTCATGGTTTTTATGTTGGTAAAAAGAAAGAAACAAATAAATATTGCCATAGTACTGAAAGTGATCACTTAGTACAGATTAGGCAAACTAAGACTTAAAGGCAAATCTGAAATTTGTCCTACTATTTTTGTAAATAAAGCTTTTGTAAATAAACTTGTATTAGTCACAGTCATTTAACTATAGTCTATGGCCACGGTGCACTACAACAGCAGACTTGAGTAGTTGCAAGAGATCTTATGCTACATAAACCTGAAAATATTACTATCTACCTTTTTGCAGAAAAAATATGTGGGCCACTGGCTTAGGAAGACTGCGTTTTCAGGGGAAATGACCCATGGGTGAGCGCTGTGGCACAGTAAGTACATAGTTTTGGTGGAGAGGAAACAATAAGCAAAGGGAGTGAGAAAATATTTTTAACACAACTTGAAAAGTTTATGGTTGCCCTGACATAGACTTTACCCTGAGATTCCCCTAAGTGAAATCAGTAGTGAGAAAATGCAAATAATCTAAACATCATTAGGGTATTCTTAAATTATTATTTAAAAGGTACATGCTATTACTGGATTTACAAATGAATCTTCTCCTTGACATCCTTTGTGTGAGAACATTCTGACTCATAAAACAAGCATTTCTGTTAATTTATTTAAAAGGTAATTGTGTTCCTTTTGGAAGAAAAACATACATACACATTTATGCATATGCCTGCCTGTGCAAACGTGTACACACACACACTCATATTCAAAATATAGATGTGCCAAATAATTGTTTAGGAGTTGACAGAATAGACAAGCAAATAAAAATTACTCAAAACAGTCTTCAAGTTCAGACCTGAAAATTCATGGAACATAAATATTATATCAAAGAAGACAATTTTGTAAGTCCTGCATGTCAAATATATACATATGAGGCTCTTTAAGAGAACACACACACACACACACACTCAACACATACACACAGACACACACACACACACAGAAAAAGAGAGAGAGAGAGAGAACTTTGAATAATACCGTTCCACAAAGCATATTAAAATACTAAGAAACATTTGAAAATTTGGTTAAAAGGCTGAGGTGAATCTGTGTACTTCTAGGGTTGTATAAAACATAACCATTAAGAATATGGTTACTTTATGTGTCTTTATATTAATAATAAGAACTTTGCATTCATCTTAATCAAGAGCCTAATACAATTTTTTGGAAAGAAATTTTTAAAAATATGAGTGTGCCACATATGTATGTGTATGTACAAAATTTACTGGGAAAAATACTTGTACAGACAGACTAGAGATGAGGCCAAGTCTGTTCTAGGCAAAATGGTAGGTGAACACACACATAGAAGATTAAGGACATTGAGAACCAGTTGTCATCATATAGCCATTTATTTTCTGCACCTAAGTGTATTCCTCTTATACTCCTTTACTTGGGTACACTTAAGTTTTGTTTTAATTTTGCTTGAAGCACTTTTTTTTTTTTTTGTGACGGAGTCTCGCTCTGTTGCCCAGGCTGGAGTGCAGTGGCGCAATCTCGGTCACTGCAAGCTCCACCTCCAGGGTTCACGCCATTCTCCTGCCTCAACCTCTGAAGTAGCTGGGACTACAGGTGCCCGCCACCACGCCCGGCTAATTTTTTTGTATTTTTTAGTGCAGACGGGGTTTCACCATGTTAGCCAGGATGGTCTTGATCTCCTGACCCCGTGATCCTCCCACCTCAGCCTCCCATTTTGTTTTTTTTTTCTTTTTGAGATGGAGTCTCGCTCTGTTGCCCAGGCTGGAGTGCAGTGGTACGATCTCGGCTCACTGCAAGCTCCGCCTCCCTGCAAGCTCCGCCTCCCGGGTTGAAGCACATTTTTAATGTACAAACATTTAATGATATAGAAGTGCTTTTGCACTTCACCTTATTACGTTACCTTATTAAGTGGATGTATTCCGGTTTTTGTAGGATAAACTGTTGGTCAAATTCTTATGAACACAGAAAATAAGTATTTACTTTTTATTTTTACGGGGTAGAAAGATATTATGACAAGGAATGGAAAGCCAAATACGGTAAATAAATGGCATCATCCTCTTGGTGATAAAGAACGAATTACCAAAGTTACTCACTTAGCAGATGTTTTTCATTCAAGGTTGGGCACTCCTGTAATTGGCGCCCTAGGTTGTGATCTCCCAGGGTGGAAAAGACAGATCACCAGACATAGCCAGCAAAGAGAAAGAGAGAGTTTCGTTTAGCTTGTGCACAAGGAAAGTCAGCACCGTGAAAGAAAAATGGACTGCTCCCCAAGGGTAGATTAGTTTTACAGGGCCCTTCTATAGGGAAGGGTTTCATCAGGGCATTTATAGAAGGAATTTCTCTAGTGCTTTTGCAGTGGTTTTACATGCCTCTTTATGCATCACATGTAACATTTTAAATCTCCACCCTTGGGAAGGGGTGATTATATGTTGAAGTTTAAGTCTAACTACACATATGGGGCCCCGAGGAAGTCGCTAGCCCCCTAAAGCAATAACTTGTGCTTAGCCGCTTCCTTTATCTTTTGTTGTGGAATGGCTGGAAGTTAGGAAAGCTACGGCTTGAATAAAGAGCTTTTGCTGTTTTCTCTAAATCACATAAAAATGGGAAACTAAGCAGCCTTTCTGTCTCATTCTGAAGCAGCAATGGCGATGGCAAACTATGACAAAATTGATGCAGAGAAAATAAGATCTTAGAGTTGGATAAAATGAGTAAGGATTATGTATCCTTTTAGAATGTGGATAATTACATTACGAAAAATTAAAGAATTCTTGGTTTAAAAATAACAAAACAACCAAGTCTTTTTTTTTTTTTACTCTCTTTAAATAAGCATTTATTTAACACGTTAAAAGAAAGACATACCAATGGATCAGAGACTTTTTCAGTCCTTTGTCTGAAACAAACAATTTGCCTTCTCACCAGGAAGAAAAACTTGCAAAATTTCCATATACAGTAATTGTGGTATATTGTACTCAATACTTTTTAAAAACTGTATTCAATCATCACCTATTTAATAGCATTTTCAGAGCTTCTCCTTCAAGATTATCTTGAGATAGCCTATTATATAGTACACGTACAGTAGCCATTTAAATGCATGTTATTACATGAACCTTTTTGTAAGAATGCTCTGACCTGTAGACAAAGGAGAGTATTTCCTAGGAAACTGAAGCAAGCAATGTGGTCTGGTGTTGTACAATGCAGTTTTTTTTTGTTTGTTTTTTTAAATTTTATAGGTGTATCTCACTCACTGAAAGATTGGTACAAAACCAAATATAGACACGTTCTGTGGTACAATGCAAATACCCTTGAAATTTAAAGATAAGCCCAAAGATCTTAAAGACTGTTTGATATAGTCAAAATACACTTGATATGGTTGGATTTGTGTCCCTGCCCAAATCTCATGTCAAATTGGAGGAGAGGCCTGGTCTGAGGTGACTGGAACATGGGGGCAGTTCCCTCATGCTGTTCTTGTGACAGTGAGTGAGTTCTCACGAGATCTGGTGGTTTAAAAGTGTGTGGCACTTCCCCCTTCTCTCTCTCTTCCTCCTTCTCCACCGTGGTAAGACTTGCTTGCTTCCCCTCCACCTTCAGCCATGATTTTAAGTTTCCTGAGGCCTCCCAGCCATGCTTTCTATTAAGCCTGCAGAACTGTGAGTCAATTAAACTTCTTTTCTTCATAAATTACTCAGTCTCAGGTAGTTCTCAATTTCAGCAAGATGTCTGAGAGCCTCAATTGGTTTGATTAATTAATAGTGAGATTCCCATTAAGGAAGTAATTTATACAGAATGTGGACCTTCAATTGGTAGAGATATCACAGCATATAATTAACTAAATTTGCAGTTGGAATCAAATAGTTTAACATATTTTTCTAATGTTCATGACTCTAGGTGTCTTGTTTCTTTGTTTACTTAAAGACTTGAAACTTCTACATTCACTTTTTATAGCTATGATTGTTTTTTCATTGTTTCCTAATTGCAACCAAGGGTCATTATTCTTTAGCTCAGAATTCCATAGTCTTCTTTCAAAATTCAGCATGAGTAAACAGTTCTTATTTATGTTTCTTTTTCCTCTTTTTTGAAAAATAATGAGTTGCTTATGTTTTTGACATTTTGTGTCTATTTTCTGTCTTAATTTACTTTGTATTATTTTTGAAATGCAAATTTCTGGATTTTGAAAATAGCAGATTCCTAGATTTTTCCAAAGCTTCAAAATATTTTCTTATTTGTAATATAAAATGTGTTTAATTTTGACTTTTTTCCTTAATTTGTTTTATAGACATAGAGATGGCACTCACATCTCTTTTTCTACACAAAGATCCTTTCAGATATGTTAAAGCACAGGTCGAAGAAAGGTATATATTTGTAATTATAGACTAAACAAGTAATCAGGGCAAGAAACAAAATTGCTAATATCTAAAACCATTTGTTACAGTGTATACAGTTAATATTAATGTGAATATCACTACTCTCAAGGTAGGCAAAAAGCTTGTGTGGGGAAAGGCTTGCTTTACAAGCTAAAGCTGTGCACTTTCTGATTGACTGGAAGTAGTCATCAATGGCTCAATTGTCATTTAACAAATGTTTAAAATTCTAAAAATAAACAGAAAACCTAGGGTAGAAGCAGTGATTGTTTGTAATGCTTGCAGAACATTACTTCCTTAAATGTTAGGCCATTTTTGCTCATTAATTCCTTACTTGGCTAACCTTCCTGCTGTGAACAACTTACTATGAAAAGCAGGCTCTTGCATGACACAGCTGGAGACCAAGCATAACAGGATTTCAGAACCCAAAACATTCTAAAATTTCCTGTGATTTCCGGACACACTTACCTACAAGTGCTAAGGCTTCTATTGTTTACCATTTTATGTTCATGTGGTTTCTGATTAATTATACTACTTGAAATGCTTCTTGAAAAACATAATTGTGAAAATATATGTGGAAAGTATCAGATTTTTTTTTTCTGCAGAATTTAACGGATAGGGTTGAGTTTCATTGTATAGGTAGATTTGGGGAAACATATCTGTTTATTTTTTGAAGGTAAGATAATTAATCTGTCACCATAATCAATTTAATAAATTACTTTCTGAGATACTGAAAATTGTATTAAGGACGCAGGCCTTTTCTTTATGGGTTAAGGTTTATTTACAAGGCAAGGTTGTTAGATTAGATTACCTTTGAGTCAGTTTTCAATTATAAAATTGCATGATTCTAAAAGGTAATGTTTGACATTATTCTCATCCATAAATAACAAATATTGAAGTCATGTCTTTTTAAAAATTTTCTCTCTTTCTGTATAGAAACTTGCTGGATGCAAGTACAATGTCAACTGTAGAATATTCACATAGGGAAAACCTATAGCAAGTTTTTGAAGTGGTGTGATACTTTGCACAATACTAAACTATTAGGAAGTTCAAACATAAAAGTATATTCAGATCAAATATGTAAAGAACTTGTCACCACTCATTTTCTTAAAACAAAGAAAGGCTGGAAAATGGAAAATCAGTGAACTAAAGAGAATTAAAGTCAAAGAACAAACCGCCATCTGAAAATCTGCAAAAAGACACAGAGGGACACAGGAATCAAGATCTGCTTATTTAGAGCAAAAGCTGCTGGAGATACAAATTGAAAAAAGAAAAAAAAATACTCCTTATTGTGATGAATTGCTGTGTGCACCCACACTTTCCTGAGCCCCTTTTCAGGTGTCCTTTAAGTTCTTCTTGTGGCCTACCAGGAGGATGAGAAAAATAGACAACTATGCTATTCAATTTGGATGTTTCAACATTACTTTGTCAGTAATGATTAGAGAAAGCAGGCCAAAAAATCAGTAACAACATGGTTGCTGACCCTTAATTTAATTGGTGTTGCTAAAATACTGATTCTAACAACAACAGAAACCATATTCTTGTCAAAATCACAAGGAAAATGTATGGTGAAATACTATATTCTTTACCATAAAACACAGTTTGACAAAATGACTAGAAATAATACAAAGTATATTCTCAGATCAAAGTCAAATTAAGCTAGAAATTGGTAACAGAATATTGGAAAACCCTTAAATACTTAGACATTAAATAAAACATTTCTAAATGACTATTGTTTAAAGAAGAAATCTGCAGTTGCACTTTTCTTTTTCTCTTTTTGTGGAGAACGGGGATTTGCTATGTTGCCCAGGCAGGTCTCAAACTCCTGGGTTCAAATTACCCTCCTGTCTCTGCCTTCCTAAGTGCTGATATTACAGTAATGATCCACCATGCCTGGTCAGAAATATGAAAAGTAATTTTAAATATTTTTAACTAAATCAATATGAAAATAGAACTCATCAAAATTTTTGTTATTCAGCTAAAACTGTAGTTAGAGGGATATTTATATCATTAAATTTATATGTTTTAAAGTAAGGAATATCTAAAATTAGTAACCTTAGCTTCTACCTTAGGAAAATAGAGAGAAAAGAGAAATAGTGCTAGTAGAAATAATAAAACTAGAGCAGATGTTGACAGAGTAAAACAGGAAAATAATAGAGAAAATCAACAAAACCAAAAGCTAGTTCTTCAAAAAGATCAATAAGATTGATCAACCTATATCAAGGTAACCAAATAAAAAGAGAGATTACACAGGTTACCAGTATCAGAAATGAAAAGGGAATCATCAGTAATGTCATCAACAGACATTGAAAGGATAATAAGTAAATAATACAAACAACTCTATACTCACAAATTCCATAATGTAGATGAAATGGTCCAGATCTTTGAAAGATGCAAACTACCAACTGACTCAAAGAGAAATAGGGTAACCTGAATAGTCTTATGTCTATAAAAGAAATTGAATCAGTAATTAATCTTCCAAACAAGAAAGTACTGGGCTAAAATGGTAAATTCTATCAAAGTGTTAAGGACGAAGTAATACTAATTCTCCTCAATGTATTTCAGGTAATGGAAATAGAAAGAAGACTCCCTAATTAATTTTATGAGGCCAAAATTACCCTAATATGAAAACCACATAAAGTTATCATAGAAAAAGGAAACTATAGATCAATATGTCTTATGACCGCAATTGCAAAAATACTCGGCAAGTATTTAAAAATCAATTTGGTAATATATAAAAAGGAAAATGCATGCTGACCAATTTGGCTTCACAAAAGAAATGCAAGGCTGATTTAACATTCAAAGATCAGGAATGCATTTCATCATATTAGTAGACTGAATAAGAATATATATATATGTGTATATATGTTTATAATATTAATGGATTCAGAAAAAAAGTAACACAATTTAAAACATATTTATGGTAAAACTCACCAAAAATCCCTACAAAATAGAAGGGAAATTTCTTAATCCAGTAAATCATAAATATGAAAATTCTCCAGCTAACATCATACTTAATGGTGACTAAACATAGTCACTTTCTAAGATTGTGAAGAAAGCAAGCATGTCCTTTCTTATAAGAAAAATTAATAAAAAAATGTAAAGACTGGAAAGAAAGAAATAAAAATGCCTTTATTCACAAATGACATGCTATTGTTTGTACAAAACTTCAAAGAACCCACCCACACACAAAGAAATCCTGAAACTTTTAATCAAGTAGAACAACATCACAGGATATAAGGTTATTAGACAAAAATAAATTGCTTTTATATATGTAAGGAGTACAAATTTGGAATTTGATATTACTTAAAAATATTACTATATACCAGAAATTTAGATAATTAAATATAAATTTTAAAATATATGCAGGATTTGTATGGGAATAACTATAAAAGAGTGATGAATAAATCAAAGAAGAGCTAAGTAAATGAAGAGATAATTTATATTCATGGATTGGAAGACTCGCTATTGTGAAGATTTCAGTGATTTCTAACCTGATTGATAGATTTAATACAATCTCAAACAAAAGCCCAGCAACTGATTTTATGTTTAGTGACTTACAGATTCTATAGTTTAAATATAAAGGCAAAGGAAATATATTATCCAACAAAATATTGAAGAAGCATAAGGAAATAAACAAAAAAGACAACAACAAAGTTGAAGGAATTGCACTATGTTATTTCAAGACTTGGTAAATGCTTCAGTAATCAAGGGAGTTTGATATTGATGTAAGAATAGATATATAGATCAGTGAAACATAGAGAGCCAAAACCAACAGAAATATAATCTACTAATTTTTAACATAGGTGCAAATACACTTCAATGAAAAATGGGTACTTTTTGGTTCAACAAATGGAGTTGAAGCAATTGGGCATTTACATGCAAAAAAATGAACTTAGATGACAACTTTGCAGCTTATGCAAATATTAACTCAAAAGTGCATTATAAACCTAAATGTAAAATGCAAAACTAAAACATCTAAAAGAAAACAAGCATACGGGTAAAATCTATATGACGTTGGTTTTTTGGATTAGATTTTTAGATACGATTAAGAGTACTATCCTTAAATAAAAATGATAAGCTAGGCTTTATTAGAATTAATACCCTTTGCTCTGACACGATCAAGTGAATAGAAACAAAAGCCCCAGACCAGGAGGAAATATTTCTAAATTATATATTTGATAGAAGACTTATATCCAAAATGAACAAAGTACCCTTTATCACAAAACATACAACCTAGTTTAAAAATTAATCAAGTATATAAGCACATAACTCACCAAGGAAGATTTTTTAGATGGCAAACAAACATATGAAAAGATGCTCAACCTTGTTTGTTATTAGAGAAATGCAAATTAGAACAACGAGACACTACAACATAGGTAGTACAATGCTTAGAATTAAATTAACAAAAACTTGAAAAACTAATAGCTGGTGAGAACGTGGTGCAACAGAAACTTTCATTTGTTGCTAGGAGGAATGCAAAAGGTGTAACCACTTCAAAAATCGGTTTCTTACAAAGCTAAATGTAGTCTTGCCATACAATCCAGCAATCACCATCCTAAAAAATTTTCCAAACTCACTGGATAAACTATGTTCACACACAGTCTTGCACAAGAATTCATTTAAAGAAGATTTATTAACAATTGCCAAAATCTTCAGACAAGGAAGATGTCCTTCAAAAGATTAATGCATGATTAAATTGTTAATTAAATCCACAGAATGGAATACCGTTGGGTGATAAAAAGGACTGAGTTAACAAGTTTGTATGCAAAAGCAAACAGAAAAACCCAATGATGGTACATTTTAAACCACAAAATAAATAAATATTGGATTATACCCCAAATTATATAATCCATATCCATAAGTCTATACTGACATAATTGGAAAATAAGTAAATAGAGAAAAAAGACAAATTTTCCACACAAAATTGAATCAATTTATGTAGATACTCCCCCCTTAAGTAGGTAGACTCTCACATCTCACTCTTTAAGTATAAACTGCTCATACTGACTTCTTTCCAAAAAGTACATTATTAAACAGGGGAAAGAGATTTAGTGAATGAGTAATTTTACAGTGGAGAATACGCTCAGCCAGGTGATCAAGGTAAGCATCAATAGTGGTAAATCATATTGATTGTATGTACCCTAGACATGATGTGGTAAGAATGGCATCTTACTTCTGTGGTCTTCCTCCTAAAAAAAACATAACTCCAGTGGGATCATGAAGGAAGGAAGCATCAGGCAAATTTTGGTTAAGAGACATTCTACAAAATATCTAACCAATACTCCTCAAATTATCAAGGACATCAAAACAAGGAGAGTCTAAGAAACTGTCAGTCTAGAGAAATGTCAGGAGATATCACAACTAAATGTAATGTAACATCCTGGATGGAATCCTGGAACAGCAAAACAACGAGATAAAAACTAAAGAAATAAGAACAAAGTCTGGACTTTAGTTAATAATAATCAATTAATATTGTTTCCTTCACTGTGATAGATACACCATATTAATTCACATTAATAATAGAGTAGACTAGATGTGCTGTATATAGTGATTCTCAGTCTACATTCTTAAGCTTTCTGTAAGTCTAAACTATTCTAATTTTCTTAAATTAATTTAAAAAGAGTCTATTTTGCCATTTAAAAAGTATATTAAAGTCTAGCCATTAAAATATCTTTTTGGATATTTTCTTGCAAATAATGAAATTAATTGCTGAAAAAAAACTGGTACATCTACAGCAAGGAATAAAAAGGCACAAATTACCACACACACACAAATTGAATGAATCACCGGGAAATTATGCTGATTGAAATATAGAATAAATTGTTTGTTACCAGGGATCACAGAAGGGTGTGTGTGGCTGTAAAAGAGCAACACAAGAAACCAGTCAGGAAATTGTTCTGAATCTTGACTCTGTTAATATCCATACTCCGGTTGTAAAATTGTAGTATAGATTTGTAAGCTGTTACCATTGTGGGGAACTAGATGATAGGTCAATGGGATGTTTTTGTAGTATTTTTTACAACTGCATGTGTATCCACAATTACTCTATATAAAAATAAAAATTGTATTGAAAAAAACCGTATAAAATATACAATAGAGTTACTAAATGTTCAGAACAAACTAAAGCTACAGAACCTAAGTGAATTGCAAGTCAGTGGCATAACTACTATAAGAAAATAATTATTCCCAGTACATTTATGCTGTATGCACTAAATTTGTGGGATATAGGTATATATGGAGGTATGAAAACAATCCTCTGATTGCTTCCTTTTTTTTTTCAATGAAACAGAAGGCAAGGAGATCAGTTGAGGATGAGGGTCAGTGTGAATGTGTTGGAGCTGAATTGGGAAGAAGTAAGAGTGAGTGGACCATAGAAATGAGATGTGATTTCTGTATAGCACTAGAATCACACTTGAAGTGAGTAGAGATGTATTTAAAGAGATGAAGATATAAGATGAGGTTAGCAGTTGTGTGTTTTTCTCAAGTAAGGACCACTTGAAGATCGGTGTTCTAGGTAGACAATTGGCTTAAAGCAGGATAGGGTTTGCCAGGCTAGTATCACAAACGAAAAAATCATATGTCTGGCAGTTGAGGTTGTATGCAAGAGAATAGTGATAACGATGGACTGCGAAACTTAAGGTGGATAGTGAGGGTAACATGAAATTAAGAGTATTGGCAGTGAAAAGGTCATTCTACTCAATGAATAACAGGATGAAGCTGGGTCCTGAAGTGAATCCCCATCTGCTGACCGTAGAACCTGAGAAATCAGCAACTTAGCTATCATCCTCCTGTGTGTACAGTAGTCTTCCTAAAGCCTCCTTGAGGCATGGTACTGAGCCTTTGGCATGCCTTATGTTCTGAAGTATTTACAAGTGGTAGCTTACGTTTACAAGCTACTGAGATTATTAATTTTTGTTCATTCACAGGACAAAACTTCTTGGTGGTTTTTAAAATTTTTAAAAAGTCTGTGTATAAAAATAGCCCAAAAGACCATTATATGGATTCCTTCTAAGAGAAGACAATATTATATGTATCATCAGATATTTCCTAGAGAGTCTATCTACAAAATGTGAATAGCATATATTCATCATTCTAGATTCGGTAATAATAAGTACCTAGAGGTAAATGGATGAAAATAACTTCTGCATGGGCTAGCTAAGATGCAATTCTATAGCACATTTGTATACAACAAAGCTAAATATTAGAATACAAGTTATTATCTTTTTTTTGCAGCTATACCAGCTGTGCCACTTGCTTTAGAAGAGGATTAGGAAGACTGAAAGACCTAATTGACTCTTACTAGAGATTGGAACAGAAATGAGCAGTTTACAGTGAAATATATCTATAAGCAGTGCTCTGAATAGGCCACTTCTTTCTGTATATTTTAAAAATATTTGATGTTTTTAAAATGCCAACATCACTCGTTTTCAAAATGAGTCATTTTCCTTTTTATTATTTTTATACAATACCTACTCTGTGTAGAGTATTGATCTATCTGTAAAATATGATGTGGTGACAGAAAAAAAATACAGCATTTACTCACTGGCATGTAGGAGTTTTATCTACTATAGGATAAAGGTGCATGCTTTAGTGAATATATATCTATGTTTATTTTAGCAAACATTTAGAATATGTATAATAAGCATTGTGTTAATTGCTAGAAATTAAAAAAAGGATACATTTATCCATGATTTGTTTAGCAATAAAAAAATTAAATTCATGATGTACGTGGTGTTGCTCTAGGTGCTAGTAAATTAGAAGTGAACAAGGTTGGCACATTTCTATTTATAAAGAGATTATGTTCTGGAGCATAAATAAGTTTATAAACAAATTATGGAGATTATTTTTAAGCATTATAAGGGAAGATAGGAAAGAAAACAAGAAAATATTAAGAAGTTTAGGAAAGTAGTTATTTTGTTTCAGGTAGAGGTGGGTGAAGGTGAGGTGAGAATCATGTCATTAGTTGATTGCTGTGTATGTCTCAGATTTTGGCACTTTTGCAGTTTAAGATGGCTATGTGAATGATTAACAGTGAAGAATTCATAAATCTGTAATGAAAATTATGTGTCAAAACAAGTAATAATGATTGATCCAATTTTGCACATCAGGAGTCCAAAGAGAAAGAAGGAGAAAAAGAGAATGAATAAGAGATCTGTCTATTCTATGTTCTTTCCTTCTTTTATATTTCTTTGAAGTTGATTGATTCCTTTATATTAGGTTCCATTTTAGTTGAGATGTTTACAAATTTATTTAATCCCAGATATTTTTAAAATAAAAATTGATGGATATTCTTGCTTCCTCAAAAAAAAAAAAAAAAAACACTCACATTTCTATTATCTCAAGCCCTTAAACTATTATTGTCATGTATTTTGGTTCTCACTCATTTCAACTCCAAAATATTTATTCCTCTTATTTGCTATAGTCACTTGTTTAAATATACCTGAGTATATTTTTGTCTTTTCATTTTTTATGTAGCAAATCTTCCAGCTGTGATTTTTTTTTCTCTTAAAAGGAAAACATTTAGGAGATTCTCTATTGATGTTCTGTTCTATTGATTTTAGACTCTCTCTCTATATATATATCTCTCTTCTTAAATGCTTCCTATTGATCTATGTACCCATCTATTATTTTTATTAATTATAATATTTCCAGTTTAATAAATAAGAAACAATAGTTATATTACATACATGTTATGGAGTAAAGAATTAACTCAGCAGGCCTGGTTTGTCCAAACTTTGCACATTCCAAACATGGACAGGGAACCAGTAAGCCCTTGGAATATCCTGCCTGTGAAGAGTGTGTTTGTTTACCTGAGTCCTCGAGCCACACCATATGACTTATGCTAACCATGTGATTTATGGTATGGTCCTTGGGCCATGTAGTATCAGCTTGACCTCCAGAAAGGATGGAAACTAAAGGTCAGCCACTCATCTAGTCAGCCATGCCTATGTGACAAACCCCCAGTAAAAATGTCTGGGCCAGGTGCGGTGACTCATGCCTGTAATCCCAGCACTTTGGGAGGCTGAGGCAGGCAGATCACGAGGCCAGGAGATCGAGACCATCCTGGCTAACACGGTGAAACCCTGTCTCTACTAAAAATACAAAAAGTTAGCCAGGCATGGTGGCATGCGCCTGTAGTCCCAGCTACTCGGGAGGCTGAGGGCAGGAGAATTGCTTGAACCCGGGAGGTGGAGGTTGCAGTGAGCCGAGATCGCACCACTGCACTCCAGCCTGGGTGACAGAGCAAGACTCCGTCTTAAAAAAAAAAAAAAAAAAAAAAATCCCTGGACACTGGGCCTCAAATAATCTTCCCTTATTGGCGAATACTCCTTTCATGTCATCATCATTTTGATGGGAGAATGAAACATTTTCTATATTTTTTCATTGGATGAAGACAATCAGAAGCTTGTGTCTGGTCTTTCCTGCCCTATGTGACTTTCCCATTGCTGACTTTAGTCTGTGTCTTTTCACTGTAATAAAACATAATTGTGATTATAACTATTTTTCTGAGTTCAGAGAATTCTTCTAACAAGTCAATGAACTGCGGGTGGCCTTGAGGATGCCTAAACACATAGGACATATGATAATTTTTTCTTCTAGGCTGAACCAGCATAAAGAAATGCACTCTAGGTTCAGACTCATAAAAATCATAAATATTTGTCAATATTAAGCTTTGCTAATAATTTCAAAATACAGATAGTAAAGCTGCTGACACAAAGCATGTCTAAAAAATCACACATAGTTATCCAGGTCTTTTTTTTTTTTCTTCTCTTCTTTGGCACCAGCAATCCGGTCCACAACAATAGGTGAGATTACAAAGTGAGAAACCGCTAATAACTTCAAAGGAGAGGATTCATTTATGAAATTTCTTCATTTTATACTCCAGATCATGTGACATTTTCCAGGGAGCTATGCCTCAGAAGCCAAAGATTTTATTTATTATACATAATCTTTAGCCAAATACATCCTCCTAAGACCATTTCAGAAATAAGGACTGTTGCTCCTAGAAAATATCACTAATCTCTTTATGAGAAGAAGGTTAGATTGGGTTACCTTCTTTCTTTGTTTTTCCTCTGGTTAAAGAGATTAAATAGACATAAGGCAACTGATTAATAACCTTGTTTCCCAAAATAGATTCTGTATGAACTGTGATAATATTTAAGTTGGACAATAATTTATATCTAAACATGACAGTAGATCAGAACTTGTTCTCTTTTCTAAGTTCCCTGGGATCTCTCATGATTTTTGAAACAAAGTTTACTGTTAATATTTTATTCTTAGTGTTAATAATAATTATTATTATTTTTCCATTTCTGTTAAAACCCTTTTCACCAACCCTCCACTCTGTTTTGTCAGATAAACTAACACATTCTTTTTAACCAGCTTCTTTCATAGAGTCATATACTTTATTATATTAATTAGCTATTGCTGTGTAACAACTTACTACAAAACCTAGTGGCTCAAAACCACAATAAACATTTATTATCTCTCACAGTGTTTGTGGAGAGTAATGTTTCAGTAGCTTTGCTGAGAAGTCATGTCTAATCCCTTCTGATAAGGTTGTAATTAAAATGTCCACAGGGATGTCAGTTTGAATATTTGGGGATAGAAGATCCACTTCCAAGGTGGCTCATTCACGGGCAGGCAAGTTGGTGCTAGCAAGTTGGCAAAATGTCTCAATTTTTCCCACAGGCCTTTTCATAGAGCTGTTTGGATATCTTCACAACATAGCAGCCTGCCTTCTTCAGAACAAGCAATTTGAGATAGAAAGTGCCAAGCAAAAAGTATACCTAATTTATGACCTAGTCTCAGAAGTCACATAATACCTTGGCCATGTATTATTTTTAGTCCCGAAATCTAGCAACCAACAGTCAAGGGATGGGAAATTTGGCTTTACATTTTGAAGGTAATAGTGTCATATAATTAGTGGACATATTTTAAGACTAACACATTTAATGTTGAGAATAACCTTCAACATAGCACAAATTCATTACAACAACTAGAATTTTTTCCCAGGTCTGTTTCATCAAAAGGTTATTACCATTATGCTCAGGGATGATATTTGAAACATTTGGCAATGAAATCACAAAAGGACTGAACAATCAGTATAGAAGGCAGCTCAGCCAGGATGGTGTTCTGCACTTTCACTATGCCCAGCCTTGCTTTGCTGTTTGTAGGTTTCTATAAAATTTGGATAGTGTCTTAATCTTTACTGGGAAAGCCTTACTTATTATCTCTTACAAGTTTGCCTTACCTCTTTTTTTGAAACTTCAATTAGATTTTCTCACTTTGCCCTCTGTATCTTTTACCTTCTTATTGTATGCACATGTGTTTATCTATCTGGGGTAACTTTTAGATAACGGTTTTTTCAGTCTATCTTCTTCTTAATTTTCTCTTCAATAGTAAATATTAATAATACTTTGTTAGAAAGCATACAGAAAGCTTAAATTTCCACTGCCGTATTTTTATATCTAGAAGTTTTTCTTGATTCTCATTTTTCAATGTAGTTTTTCCTTTCATATTTAAGCTCTTTCATTTTTATGAAATACATTAGTTTTTACTCTATATCTGATAATTTCTGTGTTTGAATGGTTAGATTTAAAAAAAATTTCTGCCAACTCTTGCTTCTGGTACTGTAATTTCTTGTGCATTTACCAAGTTGCCATTTACGGGTTTTACTGGCAAGAAAAATACTAGTATGTTTTGTGAAAAGATCATATATGCAAAATGAACCCCAAATGTGGAAGGAGCCAAGAAACCAAAAAATGAGATAGATAAATCTATTTTGGTGGTAGAGGGTAATTCACTGGGGAACTTACAGGCAGAGGCATAGTACTGGATGGCAGCAAAACAGGTAGATCTCTGTACCATTACTCCCCAGACCCAGGACTTGCATACCATAGAGAAAGAGGGTACATGCTCTATGGAGAAAATTAACAGCAAGCCTCCAGAACAGGCAAGAATGCTGTATGTGTTACAGCCCCTAATTTGTGCAATAACATCAAGATTGATTTGATGTAAGGACAAGATTTATGGTAAGTACATGTTCTTACACTAAGGATGGTAAATAAAGTCGAAATTAGAAGGCATTCCCAGGACTGAAATTAATCAAAAGGCTTTGGTCTCCACATTCTACTCCTCTAATTTGGTTCTGAAAATCTCACATACCCACCTCTTCTGCAATGTTCCCTGAGCCTCTAGTGGGGAGGCCAACGTGGGTGACAAGCTGCTCCAATTTGCTTTCTACTTAAAAGCAGAGGTGACAGCAACAATACAGACAACAGCAGACAATGACACTTACGGCAAATATAAAACACAGAATCAATGATGCCTTTTGCCACCATGTTCCCCAGGATCCAAATCAAGAGGTATAGAGGAGAACAGCAATATGAATAGAAAACTATGGGCAGAAATACAAGGGATTGGTAGGTACTTGGCGAGGCAGCTCTTCATCATCAAGCAAAATGATTGTGATAGCTTCATCTTAGTCAGGACATAGGCAGCCAGAGGAGTATGTGCTGGGCATGCATGCCAAACATGTTGCCTGAGGGGCAAAGGTGCCTGTGGCATTATCTGTAAGGTTACAAGGGTGGCAGAGGACCATGTCAAATGGGCAACTAGAGAGTCTTTTAAAAGGGGCTATATTCCAGTGTGTTGGTACATGGAACATCTTGGTTCAGACACCCACAGAATCAACAGAGACCACTTTAGTTAGCCAGAGAATTCCTTGCTTTGCGATAATTAATACCCTATTTAACCTGGGAGAAGTTGTCAGTCCAACCCCCATTTAGGTGTTCCTTCCCATGGTTCAAGGTCTTGGGGAGTCCTGAATAACATTTGTCATTGGCCTTTTATTAGTTCCAGTAGAAAGGCATCTGGGTGAACTTTTTTTACAATTATGGTTAATAGACCCTTCTCCACAATGGTCCCATGTCATTGGTATGGTGCCACCCCCATGTTCATTTCAATCGAATGAAGGTTCCTAATGGCTTGAGACAAAAACTTTGCCCACCCATGCAAAGTATTAGATTGTAATGTGTTTGCAATTGGGCCTTCAAAATGTTATTTTTTCTTTCAATCAATCCTGCCATTTGGAGATTATGTGGCAAGTGAAATCTCCAGTATATATCTTTTTCATGTGCCCAGTCTTGGGTATCATGTCCATTGAAATGTGTGCCTTGATTGCTGAGGATATCCATACATGACACTGGGTTGCTACAAGCCCTTAATGGTAGCTGTTTGGTTTGTCCTTTTGCAAGAGAAGGCCTGCAACATTTTCATGGCAGTATCAACGCATTATAGTGCATACTTTTATCCTAAGCTTACTGATGGGTTTGATATAGTCTCTTTGCCAGTCTCTCATGAAGGCAGCTCTTAAATATGTGTTCTGGTGTGTGTTTGTGATGTTGCAGGGGCACATATAGGAGCAAACTAAGCAGTTGGCTATTGCTGCCACTAAATCTGTAAAGTGGAGGGGCACTCCTACTCTTCTTGCTATTTGCCAGATCAATCATGCACCAATGCCCACTATGTTTGTGTACCAAATCAGCTAGCTCAGATGATTTGGAGAGAGGTAGTGTTCTATTTTTTTTTTTTTTTTTTTTTTTTTTTTTTTTTTTTTTGAGATGGACTCTGGCTCTGTCACCAGGCTGGAGTGCAGAAGCACGATATAGGCTCACTGCAACCTCTGCCTCCCAGATTCAAGCGATTCTCCTGCCTCAGCCTCCTGAGTAGCTGGGATTTCAGGTGCGCGCCACCACACCCAGCTAATTTTTGTACTTTTAGTAGAGATGGGGTTTCACCATGTTGGCCAGGATGGTCTTGATCTCTTGACCTCGTGATCCACTCACCTTGACCTCCCAAAGTGCTGGGATTACAGGTGTGAGCCACTGCACCCAGCCGGTAGTGGTCTAATTTTTGCTAAGGTATCTCCTTCATATTACTGGGAGGTGAATCTGACCAGTATGTTAAAATATGATACACAATCAGCAGTGGGTTCTTGTAGCCTCTCCCAAATGTCTTTCCAAATGGCAGCTCTCCATCAGGGATTTTTAAGCACATATCAATCATCTTGAGTCCACTGGGCAAGCCAAGCTGTAAGACCCTTAAATACTGCCCAACTGGCTGTACAGAAAACTGTAGGCCATTGTGTATGGGTACAAACAGACCATACAGTTCAGAGTTCTGCCCATTAACTGCTCTGTTGCATTGCCATTTCAAACAATATAGTATCTGTCTGTGGTTGGCCAGCTACTGCCATCCATATACCAGGATTATCTCAGCTCAACCCATCTGAGAATTATATGTTTACAAGAATAGAGGCTGTGCCTTTATATTTTATTAAAGGTATCTCCTGTGGGGTTTCCACAGTAGAAGCAGCACTGGTCTCATAGAGTACTGGCCCTAAGATAGCATGCAGTTCATCTCTCAAGGGACTCATGGAGAGGGTGCTATGTTGTTGCATGTATGCATGACACCCTTGTAAAGTGGAGGCCTAGGGAATACCCAGTATAGGCCTGATAAACAAACCTTTTATCCAGCCTTTAATAGGGAGGCCTGTTCTCACTATTACGAGCAAAACATCAGTTATGGTTTCAACTTGCAGCAAAACTTGTATAGTCCCAGGACCCATGGTAGGTTTAAGCACTCGTCCATAGTAGTGAAGGGTGAACTGCTTTCCTATGCTGGACTTGCCAGAGGTCCCAACTGATTTCCTCAGAGATTATGATCCCATCCAAAGACATTGGTATCCCAGGAAGAGGGAAACCTAAATCTGTCTAAGCTGCTAGTATTTCAGCCTTCTCAAAGGCTTCCTCCTGTTCTTTATCCAAGCACCAACTAGATTCCTTCTTGTATAAGTGATACAAACATTGAGCTAAATATGGAATAAAAGCCGGCCAATATTCCAAAAGACCTAGGAAACTTTGTAACTGTTTAACTGTTTTATTTTATTTTATTTTATTTTATTTTATTTTATTTTATTTCATTTTTTTTTTATTTAGAGTCTTGCTCTGTCACCCAGGCTGAAGTGCAGTGGTGTAATCTCAGCTTACTGCAACCCCCGACTCCCGGGTTCAAGTGATTCTCCTTCCTCAGTCTCCCAAGTAGCTGGGACTAAAGGTGCCTGCCACCATGTCCAGCTAATTTTTGTATTTTTAGTAGAGGAGGGGTTTCACCATGTTGACCAGGATGGTTTCGAACTCCTGACCTCAAATGATCCACCCACCTCGGTCTCCCAAAGTGCTGAGATTACAGGTGACCGGCCTGTTTAACTGTTTTAAACATGAAAAATTGTATTTTCTCAATGACTGCTCCTAGGGTAAGGTATTGATAGCAGCAGGAGACAGACAAATTCCTACGCAGACAGGGACGGTCCGTAGTGAAACCCAACCTTCAAGCCAAAGACACCTTAAAGCCTGAAAACTGAGCTGCTAGTTCCGGGTGAGTCCACGACTGAAGTGAGAACTTCCTCGATGCCGTTTAGTCAATGAAATGGTGCTTTTTCCAGGCCCACCCATGGACCAGTCAGCAAACAATCCCACATTTTGAGCCCATGAAAACCCTGGACTCAGTCACACGTTTGGACTACCTGCTTTCAGGCCCCCTCTCACACAGAAGGCTATCCACTTTGGGTCCACTCTTATATTGAGAGCTTTTCTGTTGCTCAATAAAACCCTTCTCCGCCTTGCTCACTCTCCAGTGTCCATGGGCCTCATTCCTCTTGGATGCAGGACAAGAACCTGGAACCCAACAAATGGCGGGTGTGAAAGGAGTTGTAACACTGTAAACTTTCCGCCTTCTGCTGTGCTTGGCAGCTGTCCCACAGGATGAAAAGCAGAAGCAGCAGGGCCAGGCCAGCCCAGGAGCCACAGACTAGAGCAGGGTGGCAGGACCAAATGAGCTGTGACACACCCTTGTTTGCCAAAGCATGTGGACGGCAGGAACAAAAGAGCTGTAACACAAATGAGCTGTAGCATGAACAAGCTATAATACAGATAAGCTGTAATGCTTCCTGGGGTCTCAAATTTCGAGAATCCCCGGGCAAGAGTTGTAACACTCCCTGGGGCTCCACGGCTGCTCTTGTCTCCAAGTTTTTGGGTGCTGCTGCCTCCTCCTTGTACAGACTCCAGCACCCAATGTGAAAACCGCGGCAAGCTGGGCTCAGCCATGCGCTGAGCATGGAGTCCCTGTGCCTGAGTGGTGATATGGTTTGGCTGCATCCCCACCCAAATCTCATCTTGAATTGTAGTTCCCATACCCCCACATGTTGTGAGAGGGACCCAATGGGAGGTAAATGAATCATGGGGGTGGTTACTTCCATGCTGTTCTCGTGATAGTGAGTGAGTTGTCACAAGATCTGATGGTTTTACAAGGGGCTTTTCCCCACCTTTGCTGAGCACTTCTCCATGCTGCCACCATGTGAAGGAGGATGTGTTTGCTTCCCCTTCCACCATGATTGTAAGTTTCCTGAGGCCTCCCCAGCCATGCTGAACTGTGAGTCAATTAAACTTCTTTCCCTTATGAATTACCCAGTCTTCTGTATGTCTTTATTAGCAGCATGAGAATGGACTAATACACGTGGGATCTAGGCTAGTAGCACAAGCTGAGTTCAGCCCGCTGGGCCAAGTGGGCAGAGCAAGCCCAGTGGAGAGCCTAGAGCTGAGGGGAGCCTAGAGCTGAGGAAAGCCCAGGCAGAGGCACCCACCTGGTGAAGCGGCACCAAAAGAATCCTGAGTCAGTATGTCTTACCTAACCAAGTAACCCCTAGAGAATTTATAGCCAGTCCTTGTCCTTATATCTTTTGTGGGTTGATGGCCCATTTTCTAGATTGAAGTAGGGTGCTCAATGCATTGAGGTGTTGCTGTAGCAATGACAAGCCTTCAGAGGTTAGCACAATATCATCAATGTTATGAAACTGTTTATCAGCAGGTGGCATTGGACATAAAGTTGAATCTTTAGCAATAATTTTATGGCAAACAGTGGGACTCTGTAGATATTCCAGGGATAATACTTGGAATGCTCATTGTTGGCCATTCCAAATAACAGCAAATTGCCCTTGTCAGTCAAGGTGTAAAGGAACACTGAAGGAGGCATTAGTCAAATCAAACACTGCATGATAAATGCCTATATTCTCTATTATTTGTTCTATCACTTGAGTTATATTAGGCACAACGGCGTTTATCTCAGGAACCACATTATTTAGTTTCCGGTAGTTCATTGTCATGCCCCAGCTAGCACCTGATTTTTCTTCCCTCCATAAAGGGCTATTGAAATGGCTCTGGGCTAGCCAAAGAAAATTTACTTTGGTCAGTTCCTGTATGATGGTTGTAATTTCTTCTATCCCACCAGAAAGATGGAATTGTTTCACACTAACAATATGTTGTGCAGGAGGGAGTTGTACAGATTCCATTTTGCTTCCCTTCTTAAAATACATCTCACAGCCCAAACTTATAGGTAGAATTTCCCCGCAGATGTTTGTGTTGTGCATCTTAAAGGGACATCCATACCCAAGATGTTTTCTGGAATAGGTTAAATACAGTATAGTAAGCAGGATGGGGACTCAGGGGGTGGGGGGCACTCTTTTCAATACTAAGGAGGAGAGGAGTTTGTTTCACTTGGATTTTTCAACTATGGACCATCTATAGCTGCTTACTTACCAGGGCATCTTTCTGAATTTCCATGAATTAAAGTACATTCTGCTCCCGTATCCATTAAAGCTAACGTTCTCTGCTTGGTTTTGGATACTAATAGATTATGAGCTCCATTTAGGGCCTCTGGTCACCCCCTATTATTCATACAGGGAGGCGACCTTGGCCACACTTCTAGTTTGTAGGGTGGGGAGGCATCAACTCCTGAGGCATAGCAATTGGAATTCTCTTATGTGGAGTTTTTTTTTTTCTCCTTTTCCCTCCTCTGGCAGGGTTCTGGGAAGGTATCTGAATCCTTGATCAGGAGTCAGGTTTTTCCAAAGCCCCACTAATAAAGCATGGGGTTGCCAGTCTATTATTTCTTTGTCTACCCCAGCTGAGATCAGATAATACCACATTCGTTTCCTGGCAGTCCTATCTGGGATATTTAGGCCTTGCTTTCTTAGTCTGGCAGACATGGCTCCCTTTTTTTTTTTCCTTTTCCTTTAGTAACCCACCGACTTTAACTCTTCCCTTTTTAGTTTCTTCAAGATCAGCTATAGTTTCCCCCATGTCCTACACATCTTGTCTCAGGAGAGGGCTCAGGTGGAATAGGAGGGGGCCATGCCACTCCCAGTGGGCACCTTGCAACAATTTATTTTTCATGCTCATGGTAAGCACAGCCTTATCTCATCCTTCAAATTGTTGGGTATAGATGGCCTGACACATGTCCAACTCCCTAAATCACTCTGTGCTTCCCCAGAGATTGTCATGCCACCATCTGACCAAAGAATTCCCCTTTCTTGGGCCAAGCTTTTCTCATGGCCAGGAAAACCGAGTCCATAAGACTATGATTTTCCTAGAGAGTTCTAGCATGATGCAAATGCTATCTCAAAGCAAGATGAGTGGTCATATTACTCATTTTATTCAGTTTCACTCCCTGCTGGGGAAATGTCATTCCAATCACTGTCACACAGCCACACCAACAGTGTGGCTAAGCTTCCTCTCAGCAGCTGTTGAAAAGTTTTTCTTATGTCCAATAAAAATTCTGCTGAGGCTCTCTTGGACAGTTAAGGTTTCCTGAAAAGGTCATCTATTATTGCCCAGCTGCATGTGCTGGGCTTTTGTTTTCCACTACACTAGTGGTCTTGCTCTCAAAAGGGGAGGATAGTTATCCCAGTCCTGCAAGATAACTTCTGTCTTCATCTGACTCACTAGCTGATTCCCAAAGATTTCACATCTTAGCATCTCAGGTCAGTTTAGCAAGGATAGCTCACATTTTCAGCCAGCACTGTTTCCTTTCTCTCAGACATACAAAGTGGAGTGGCAGGCAAGGGTTTCTAACTGCATCTCCTGAGTTTTGAGCTTATCCATGACTAGAAACAAATACAGACATAGAGGTACTCATATCCTTTTCTAACTGTAATTCTTCCGCTAGTTTTCATATCATTGCCTGAGCAACAAACTGTGCCTCTGTGGTCATTCCCACAGCACATGACAGTGGCCAACCCACTGTTGCCATAACCTGGTGATCTTCCTTACCTCAGTGGGTCATACAACTTTCTACTATACTCATGTGGTGATCCACAGGCGTGTAGTGGATAGAAAAGAACACCTCACATGGATAAGGAGGGCCACCTCAGGATTCTCCCTGCTAATGTGTGCTTCCCTTTGCCCATATTTTGGTTCTTGGACTCCTTCGACTAGCTCACTAACTCTCCCATGAAAAGGCAGTATATACAAAATGACACTCAAACACAGAAGAAGCTGAGAAATCACAGAATGAGAGGGACAAATTTAGTTTTTCAGTATAGGGTGATCTACTGGGGAACTTATAGAAAGGTGTGTAGTCTTAGGTGGCAGTAAGACAGATAGATTTCTGCACCATTGTCCTCTAGACCCAGGACTTATATACCATAGGGAAGAGTGTATATTTTTTATAGACACAATTCAAGGAAACTCTCCAGAACAGGCAAGAATGCTATGCATGTCACTGTAATTTGTGTGATAACATCACAGTTACTATAATCTAAGGCCAAGATTTATGGTAACTACATGTTCTTACACTAGGGGCAAATAGGTGGCAATCCCAGAACTGAGATTCATCAGAAACCAACATGGTAGATTAACATCCAAGTTGGAGTCACGTTTGCCTCCACATAGTAACAAATGAAATATATACATTTTTTTCTGATCAGAAGTATGTAGATTTAAGTGCAAGAACTATTGGTAGGCCTTATTCAAAATAAGATATAAAGAGATTATTCAAAAATGAAAAATGTATGTGAATATTTTCTGCTTCTAGTTTTCCAAATAACAAAGTAGAACCATCAGAATCATTGCTTGTGGAAGGTTTAATGCATGTATTATAAAGAAAAGCACGTGAGCTTTGAAATAAGGCAGAATTGGGTTTAATTTCCAGATACATTTATTTCATCTCAATTTACTAAGAGATAAAGTAGAGGTATTAATAATTACCTCATGCATTTATGATGGAGATTAAAGAGATAATGTATGTGATGTGTCTAGAACATGTTTTGCATATAATAGGTACTCGATGATGAACTGTTGCTGTACTGTTATTATTGATATGAAATTATAAGGAGGACAATCTCTAAGCCAAAATATGAGTCATTGTATGTACCATGTAACAGTATTTTGGAATCTAATAAAATTTTTGGTGGTTATTGTTTTTAGAATTTTTAAATTTAAAGCAACTAAATATGATAAAGGACAGATATATTCGTCTCCTTATTACCCACAGTGAATTTCCAATCAATTTAATGAAGTGGTTTAAGGAACAGATAATGAAGCCTGACAACCTGGATAAAATCTCATTTCTACATCTCACTACTTGAAAGACTTGGATAAGTTACTTAACTTCTCTCTGCATCAATTTTCTCATTTATAAAATGAGGATAAAATAGGGCCTACCTCATAGATTTGGTATGAGAATAACATTATTAAAGTGTTTAGCAGATTGACAGAAACTTACTGAGTTCTATGTCAGTATTTTCTTCAATAAACTTTTTAACACAAACATTTTATTACATAGGTTTACATTAAGTAGACTTCAGGAAAAATTATTCTAAGTTTAAGAGAAAACTTTACCCTGAAGAAACACACACTTGGTTTTTGAGCCATTTTGATAATTGATTTTTTTTTAAGTGAGCCCCTTGTTTGATTACATAGTTTTGATTTAGGATTTTTAAGATGGAGAACATCCCTCCTATGAATAGAAGAAACACAAGATGGAAATAAAGATTTTAATACTTCCAAATTCCAGGAGCTACACACCATCTCAGGAGGCCCCAAACACACGGAGGTCAGGGAACATGTACAGAGAGAAAGGGGCACTTTATTGGGTCCAGGGTGTTTTGCAAACAGGTTTCCTATAGGGAGTTTTAATTGTGGTTTAAAGCAAGCAGTCATGAGTTCCAGTGGGTCATGCTGTTACTGAGAGTTAGTTGTTGTGGCATATCTTCATAGACTATATAGAGTATGAGAGTCACTGGAACCAGTGAAGTCGGCTATAAGCAGTTGTCCTGCAGTGAGTTGGTCACCAGGAGGAAGTTGTATAAGGTAGATATCTGGATTGACCACACTGAGGAAGTGGAAGGAGTGTAGAACTGAAAACTATGTGAAGCATGACTGAACCCGTTTCTGGCACGAGAAAGCCAGACATATTTAAATTGAAGCCAAGACAACATAAACTTATACAAATTAACTACAAGTACATTTTCATATCTGAGTTATATCAACCAGGAGAGTATCTCTTACTAAGCATAGCAGATATGAAAGGGGTGTGTGTGTGTGTATGAAATGGGAGCATTGGAAATAGTGGAGAGCAGTGAAAAGCAGAAACTTAAACTCCTGTTCTGTCTGATCAAAATGACTGAGCTAACTACTGTTTCACTTACTTCTCTTTGATTATTTTTTTCCTGAACAACATCAGGCACTCAGTGATTTCAAGGATGCCTAGCTAACCATGTTCCTCCTCAAGGCAATACTATCTGTAAACAGAGATCATAATAAAATGAACAGAAGAATATTGTGCTCTTCCAGTCTATTCTTATGAAAATCAATGGATGGAATGTCATATAAATGTCATATAGTATATAGCCAATGAAATTTATTTCATTCGCCAAAATTCTCTGAAGGTTCGAGCAGATTGTTGCATATACCTGTAGTTCATCTTTTTTAAATTTCTTACTGATATCCTATGGTATAAATGTAAATGTATCATAGTTTAACCATTCACCCATTGAAAGGCATCTTTTTTCACCATTTTTTTTGCAATTACAAATAAAGCTGCTATTAATATTCTTATATAGTTTGTGTGTGTGAGTGTGTGTGCTTGTGTGCATGTAAAGTACATGTTCATTTCTTTGGGATAAATGCACAAGGTTGCAACTACTGAAGTCATATGGTAGTTTCATGTTTAGTTTAGATTTTTTTTTAATGCCAAAGTATTTCCAGATTGGCCATGCCATTTTATTTGCCACTAGAAAAGTATGAATGAGCTACTTTCTTTGCATCCTTGCCAACATTTGGTGTAAAAAACAACAACAACAGCAACAACAACAACAAAAAAAACCAAAGCAACAGCAACAAAAAACAGTTCTTCTACCTCTATTTCCAATACTTCTGAATCAAAAGTGTGTTTTTTAAATTTCTCACCTGCAACCAATTCTCCAACTTTTGACACATCAACTGGGTGATTCTATTGAGTCCAATAATTCAATTCAATTCAATTCAATTCAATCTTAAACTACCTACCTAGAGTTAAAATAGACTCCACAGGTTAAGGACTCAGCTCCACAAGATTACCCTCAGTAAACATTCCAGTTGCAAGCCTGGTCCATCCATACTTCTGACCAACCAAGCACATATTTGGGTAGTCACAAAATCCCTTCCACAGGCTTGATAATTTCCTAGAATGGCTTGCAAAACTCAGGAAAACATTTATTCATATTTAGTGGTTTATTATAAAGAACATAATACAAAATTAGAGTTTTAATGAAGATTCTTTTATGTAGACATTAGTGATTGAATCATTTACTATTAGTGATTAGTTCAATCTCCAGTCCTTCACCCCTCCCCAGATGTTAGATGAATGGGGCTGAAAATTCCAACTCTGGATCACATGGTTGCTTCCTCTGGCAACCAGGCCTCATCCTGAAGCTATCTGGAGCCCCATCAAGAGTCACTTCATTTGCATAGGCTCAAGAATATTTGAAAGGGGCTTACTGTGAATAGCAAAATATGTTTTACTTATACCTATTACTCAGAAATTCCAGGGATTTTAGGAGCTCTGTGCCAGGAACTAGGGATAAAGAAAAAATACATGTCTATTATGATATCATAGTATTACAGATGTTATCACTATATCTACATCTATCTATCAGTTATCTGTTTATCATCAATCTATCTGTCTATCTATTTGGTCATTCTGATAGGTGTGTAGTGATATCTTATTGTGGTTTTAATTTCTATTTACCTTTTGACTAATGATGTTGAACATTTTTTATGTGCTTATTTGCTGTCTGTACATCTTCTTCAGTGAAATATCTGCTCATGTCTTTTGGTGATTTTCCAGTTGGATTGTTTGCTTGTTTGTTCGTTTTATATTGGTGAGTTTTGAAAGTTCTTGATCTATTTCAGATACTAGCTCTTTGGCAATACAACTGCACAAATTTTTTTCCCAGTGTGTAGTTTTCCTTCTATTCATCGTAACAAGGTATTTCAGAGAGCATTTTTTTTATTTTTTATGAAGTCCAATTTATCAGTTTTCCTTTTACAAATCATGTTTTTGGTTGTTTAATCATGGATCCTAAACATTTTCTTCTATGTGTAATTTATTTAAACAAGTATTACTTTACTTTCCACATTTAAGTCCATGATCTATTCTGAGTTAAATTTCATAGTGTGAGACTTAAGTCGAGGTTAACTTTTATTTTTATTTTTTTAATTTATTATGGATGTCTAATTGCTCCAGCACCATTTTTGAAAAAGCTATCTTTTTTCCACTGCATTGCTTTGTCAACTTTGTGAAATATCAGTTCCACGTTATTTGTGTGGGTCTGTTTCTTGGTTATCTAGTTCCTGTATTGTTCCATATATTTATTCCTCTGCCAATACCACACAGACCTGACTAATATGGCTATATGTTAAACCTGGAAACCACTATGGCTATATGCTAAATCTTGACATCTAGAATTATTTTTCCACATTATTCTTCATTTGTAAAAACACTATTTTAGCTCTATTGTTTTTTATACAATTTTTAGAATAATATTTTCTATATTTGCAAATATTTTTGTTGAGTTGGGAATCTTGCTTACTCTATATATCAATAGGGGGAGAACTGAATTATTTACTATGTTGAGATTTGCAGTCCATTTTATCGCTCTCCATTAAAAAATTTTCTTGACTTATTTTATAGTTTTCAGCATACAAACCATGAATCTTCTTTTTTAGATTTAAACTTAAATATTCCATCTTTTGTGCAATTATAAATGATATTGTATTTTAAATTTTATTCCTTACTTGTTCATTGTTAGTAGAAAGAAATAGAATTGAGTTTTTGTGTTCTCTCTTATCTTTCAAACTTCCTGAGCTCACTTTTAGGATGTTTTGTTTGATTCTTTTTTTTTTTTTATGTAGACTGTCATGCCATATGCAAGAAGGGATAGTTACATTTCCTTCTGATGTTTATGATATTTATTACCTTTTCTCTCCATATTTCACTGGTTAGAAATTCCAATACTATATTGAATAAGATTGTGAGAACAGACTGCTTTATTTCCAACCTTAAGAGAAAGCAATCAGCCTTGCTAAACAAAATGTGTTAGCTATAGGGGTTTTTTTTTTCTTTTTGATAGATTTCCTTTATTACACCCCTCTGTTTCTATTTTTGAAAAATTTTGTCAAGAATCAGTGTTGAATTTGTCAAATGGTTTTTCTGAGCCTTTTTTTATGATCATATGGTTTTTTTTAATCATTTATATGATGAATCGCATTAATAGATTTTGAATACTGAACCAGCATTGCATCCAATGGTGGTTTTGATTTGCATTTCCCTAATGAATAATAGTGTTCAGCACCTTTATAGGTGTTTACTGGATATATATATATATATATTATATATATATATATACTTGTAAAGAATTCTATGAAGATCCCTTGTCCATTTTGTAATTGTGTTATTTGAATTAAAATTTAGTGTAAGTATCTTTATATATTCTGGAAATAAATCTCTTATATGAATTGCAAATTCTGTGAATCATATTTTCAAATTGTTGATGGTATTGTTTGTAGCACAAAAGTTTTTAATTTCAGTTAAGCCAAGTTATTTTCATTTTTTGCTACTTGTGGTTTGGATTTGATATCTAGGAGGAGTTTGCTTGACATGTCACAGAGATATTATATTTATTTTAAATTTTCATAGATTTTGCGTTGGTATTTAGGTTTAGATTTATTTAGAATCAATGTTTATTTAGAGAGTGAGGAAAGTGACACTTTATTATTTTGCATATGGATATCCAATTGTTCCGGTACTATTTATAAAAAGTCAATTGAACATAAATGTAAGGATTTATTTATAAACCTTGAATGTTTTTCCTGTTAATCTTTATATCTATCCTATCGCCAATATCACACTGTATTGATTGCAGGAGACTTGGGTTAAGTTTTGAAAACAGAAAGTATGAATCTAGATATTTAGATCTTTATTTTTTTTTGCTTTTTTATAGGTAAAAGTTATATATATTTATCATGTACAAGATGATGTTTTAAAATATACATAAATATGAAATGGCTAAATCAAGACATTTAACATATGTATTACCTATCATTAGGTACTTATCATTTTTGTATGTGGTGAGAACATTTAAAATCTACTCCAGGCAGGGCACGGTGGCTTAGGTCTGTAATTCCAGCACTTTCGGAGGTTGAGGCAGGAGGATTGCTTGAGCCCAGGAGTTTGAGACCAGCCTGGGCAGCAGAGCAAGACCCTATCTGTACAAAAGATTTTTTTTTTTTTAATTAGCTGGGTGTGGTGGCATGTGCTTGCAGTCCCAGCTACTCAGTAGGCTGAAGTGAGAGGATCACTTGAACCCAGGAGGTCAAGGCTGCAGTGAGCTGTGATAATGCCACTGTGCTCCAGCCTGGGTGACCAAGTAAGGCCCTGTCTCTAAATAAATAAGTAAATAAATAATAATAAAGTAGGATCTACTCTGTAAGCAATTTTCAAATGTGCAGTATATCGTTCTTAACTGTAGTCACTATTATGTATAATACATCTCCTGAACTTATTCATCCTGCTTAACAAAAATTTTGTGTCCTTTAACCAACATCTACTTATTTTCCCCACAAGCTAGACTCTAGTAATTCAATCTTACTCTCTGGTGCTGAGTCTGACTTCTTTATGCTCTATTTATAAATGAGATCATGTAGTATTTGTCTTTCTGTGCCTGATTATTTTGCTTAGCATAATTTTCTCCAGGTTTATCCATGTTGTTAAAAATGAAAAGATTTCTTCCTTTTTATCAGACTGAATAGTTTTCCACTGTTTATATACATAACATTTTCACTTTCTCATTATCCGCTGCTGGAGACTGAAGTTGATTCCATGTTTGGCTATTATGAATAATGCTGCAATGAACATCTGCATATTTCACAAGTGCAGATGTCTCTTTGATATATGCAATTCATTTCCTTTGAATATGTACTCAGTAGTAGGATTGCTGGATCATATGATAATTCTATTTTTAATTTTCTGAAGAACCTACATACTGTTTTTTAATATGTAGTATAATGGCTATACTAATTTATTTTCCCTCCAACAGTGTACAAATGTTACCCTTTCTAAACATTTTTTCCACACTTGTTATTATTTTTCTTTTTGATAATAGGAATTCTAATATGTATGAGAAAATGCCTCATTGTGGTTTTGGTGTGCATTTCCCTTTTGTCACATACTTGTTGACAATTTGCATGTCTTCTTTTGAGAAATGTCTATACAGTTTTTTGACCATTTTTTAATTGGGTTACTTGTTTTCTAACTATTGACTTGTTTGAAATCTTTATGTATTTTGCATATTAACCCATTATCAGATGTATGGTTTGCAAATACATTATCCTATTCCATATATTGTCTCTTCATTCTGTTGGCTGTTTCCTCTGCTACACAGAACCTTTTAAGCTGTATGTAATCCTATTTGTTTATTTTTGATTGTATTGCCTGTGCTTTTGGGTTCCTCTCCAAAAACAAAAGCTTATTGCCCAGCACAATGTCATGGAGCTCTTCCTCTATGTTTTCTTTTAGTAATTTCACAGTTTCAAGTCTTACGTTTAAGGCTTTAATTCATTTGGAATTGATTTTTGCATATAGTCTGATATTAGCATCTAATTTCATTCTTCTACGTGTGGATATCCAGTTTTTCCAGCACTCTCTATTAAAGAGATTTTCCTTTCCCCCTTGTATGTTCTTGGCATCTCTGTCAAAAATTATGGACTATAAATGCATGGATTTATTTCTGAACCTCTATTCTGTTTTATTGGTCTTAATGCCCATTTTTATGCTAGTACTAGGTTTTGATTACTGTAGCTTCATACTAAATCTTCAAATCATGTAATATGGTAGCCCCAGCCTTGTTCCTTTGGCACAAGATTGCTTTATCTATTCTGGGCCTTTTGTGGTTCCACATGAATTTCAGATTTTTTTTTTTCAGTTTCAGTGAAAAATGTCATTGGAATTTTGATAAGAACTCCACTGAACCTCGAATTGTCTTGGGTGGTATGGGCATTTTAACAACACAAATTCTTCTTACCTATGAACATGGAATACCTTTCCATTTATTTGTGTCTTCAATTTCTTTCGTCAATGTTTTATTGTTTTCAGTGTATATATGTTTCACTCCCTTAAGTGAGTATATTTCTAAGTATTTTATAGTTTTGTACATTTTGAGAATGGATTATTTTCTTGAATTTTTGGACACTTCATTGTCAGTTTATAGAAAGCTTACTGATTTTTCTCTTGATTTTGTATTCTGCAAATTTACTGAATTTGTCTATTAGTTATAAGGAGTTTTGGTAGTCTTTAGGGTTTTCTATATATAAGATTTTGACCTCTGCCAAATAGATACAATTTAACTTCTTTTGTTTTCCTAATTTAGATGCCTTTTTCTCTTCCTCTTGCTTAACTACTCTGACTAGCAATTCCGGTACCATGATGAATAGAAGTGGTGAGTAGGCATGTTCATCATGTTGATCTTAAAGAAAAAATTTTATTTTTCACTGATGAATATGGTTAGCTATGGGATTGTTGTATATAGACTTTATAATAATTAAGTCCATTCCTTCTAATTCTAATTGGTTGAGAGTTTTTTCATAAAATAATGAATTTTCTGCATATATTGAGATTTTCATGATGTTTATCTTTGATTCTGTTAATATGGCATATCATATTTTATTGATTTGTATATGTTAAAAAAATCCTCTATCACGGGGATAAATTCCACTTGATCATTGTTTATGATTTTTTTACTGAGCTGCTGAATTCAGTTTGCTAATTTTGTTGTTGTTGTTGAGGATTTTTGCATTTTTGTTCATTGGGAATATTTGCCTGTACTTTTCTTGTAGCATCTTTTTATGGTTTCGATATTAGAGTAATGCTCACCTCGTAACATGAATTTGGAAATGTTCTTTCCTCTAACTTTTTTGGAAGAGTGAAAATAATTGTCTTTAATTGATTTTAAATGTTTGGTAGAATTCAGCAGTGAAGCTGTCTAGTACTACGATTTTCTTTGCTTGGAGATGTTTGGTTAGTTCTTCAATGTCTTTACTTGCTATTGGGCTGTTCAGATTTTTTATGTTTTCTTGACTTAGTCTTGTTAGATTGTATGTGTTTAAAAATTTAACTATTTATTACAGATTATCCAATTCATTGGCATATAATTATTCATAGTAGTCTCTTATTCTTTTATTTCTGTTATATTAGTTGTAATGTGTCCTCTTTCCTTTCTGTTCTTTTCTCTTGTTTTCTTAATCTAGCTAAAGTTAGGTGGATTTTATTTATCTTTTCAGGAAAAAACCCAACTTTTCATTTTCTTAATCCTCTCCATTGTTTTTCTGTTCTCTATTTTATTTATCAGTGCTCTGATCTTTATTATTCCCTTTCTTCTATTAACTTTTGGCTTACTATAGTATTTTTTCTAGTTTCTGGTTTCTTGAGGGACAATATTAGGATTTTATTTGGGAATTTTCTTTTTTATGTAGACATTTATTGTTGTAAAGTTCCATCTTAAGACTGCTTTTGCAGCATTCTGTAAGTTTTGTTATGCTATGTTTCCATTTTCATTTGTCTTGAGGTATTTTAAAATTTCCCTTTAATTTCCTATCTGACCTATTGGTTCTTTAGAAGCATGTTTAATTTCCACGTTTGTGACTTTTTCAAATTTTCTTCTATTAGTGATTTCTAATTTCATTTCAGTTATCAAAAAATACTTAATATACTATTAGTCTTCTTCAATTTGTTAAAAGATATTTTGTGGCCTAACATATGATCTGCCACAGAGATCGTTCCATGTGTGCTTGAGAAGAATGTTTGTTTTGCTGCTATTGGATGATATGTCTGTATATTTCTATTAAGCCCATTTTGCCTAGAGTGCAGTTCAATTCAAATCTTTGCATATTAATTTTTTCTCTGGATCATCTGTCCACTATTGGAAGTTAAGTTCTGAAGCCCCACACTATTTTATCACAGTCTATCTTTTTCTTCAGTTCTATTAATATCTGCTTTATATATTTAGCTCCTCCAATATTGAGTGCATATATATTTACATTTGTTATACAGTTTTCAAGAATTTATTTCATTATCATTATATAATGGCCCTTTTTTTTTCCCTTAGTACAGTTGTTGGCCTAAAGTCCATTTTGTCGAACTGTAGCTAGCCATGTTCTTTTTTATTTTAATTTGCAATGAATATCATTTTGCATTCTTTCACTTCAGTCTTTGTGTGTCCTTAAAGGTGAAGTGAGTCTCTTGTAGGCAGCAAGTGAGTCACTTCTTTTGTTTTGCTTTGCTTTCTTTGCTTTACCTTTATTTTTTCCATTTATTCAGCCACTGTTTTTTAATTGGAAATTTTAATCCATTAACATTCAAGGTAATATTTGATAGGTAAGGACTTACAACTGCTACTTTGTTAATTGTTTTCTGGTTGTTGTGTAGGACCTTTGTTTCCTTCTTTCCCTCTCGATGGTTTTCTTTGTGATTAGATTACTTTCTCTAGTAGAATTCACTGATTCCTTACTGTTTATCTTTTGTGTATTTACTGTAGGTTTTGGTTTCGTGGTGACCATGTGGCTTGGATAAAATATCTTATAACAGGTTATTTTAAGCTGATAACAACTTAATTTTGATTGCATAATAAACATGATGCATTTTTGCTTTACATTCCCTTCTTAGTCCTTTTGGGCTGGTATAAGAAAATATCTTAGGCTGGGTATTTTATAAACAACAGACATTTGTTTCTCATAGTTATGGTAGCTGGGAAGTCCAAGGTGAAGGCATAGCAGAAATTTGTTTCCAGTAGGGTTTTACTCTCTGCCTTATAGATGGTTCCTTGTTGCCTTGTCCTCACATGGTGGATGGGTAATCCGTATATCCTTCCCCTCAAACATTTATCTTTTCTTTGTATTGGGAAAATTACAATTTATTATTTTTAATAGATTTGTCTTTTAACCTTTATACTAAAGAGATAAATAGTTTTCATGCCACCATTACAGTATTAGAGTGTTCTAAATTTGATAGTGTATTTTCTTTTACCAGTAAGTTTTATACTTTCAAATGTTTTTCTATTACCAATTAGCAACCTTTTCTTTTAGCTTGAATAATTTGTTAGTATTTGTTGGAAGACAAGTCTGGTGGTAATGAACTCCTTCAGCTTTTGTTTTATGTATCTTTAATTTCTGAGGGACAGCTTTTCTAGTTACAAAATTATTCGTTGGTAGTTTGTTTTTTGGCATGTTGAATATATCATCACACTGTCTCTTGGCCTTATAAGCTTTCTGATGAGAAATCTTATGATAGCCTTCTGAAATTCCCGTCTTTATAATTTACTTCTATTTTCTTGCTGCTTTCAGGATCCTCACATTGTATTTTATTTTTGAAGTCTGATTATGGCAATGTAGTCTTGTTTTGGTTAAATTTGGTTAGAGACCTTTAACCTTCATGTATGTGGACACTTAGATCTTTTCCCAGATTTGAAAAGGATTCTGCTTTTAAATTCTTTAAATAAACTTGCTATTCCATTGTCTCTTCTCTTTTTTGACTTTCTGCAACTCAAATATTTGCTCTTTTGATACTGTTCTGTAAATCCTGTGATCTTCCTTTATTCCTTTTTATTCTTATTTCTTTTTTCTGTTCTTACTATGTATTTTCAAATAACCTGTCCTCAAGTTGAAAGATTGATCATTCTGCTGTTGATGTTCTCTACTGTATTTTTCATTTCATTCATTATATTTTTGAACTGAAGAATTAAAAAAAAATTTCCAATCTCTCTGGTAAATTTTTCACTTCAGGCATTGATTGATATCCTGAATTCATGTAAATTCTCTGTATTTTCTTCAGTTTCCCTGAGCTTCCTTAAAACAATTGTTTTTAATTCTTTGACAGGAAATTTGTATGTCTCCATTTCTTTGCTGTCAGCTATGGAGAGATTATTTTGTACTTTTGGTGGCATTATGTGTCCTCTTTTTAAATGTTTCTTGTTGCCTTACATTTATATTTATGCATTTGGCAGAGTAGTCACCTCTTGAAGACTTTATGGGCTAGGTTCATTGTGAAAAGACTTTAAGGAGTGCAAGGTTGCTTGCTTATTGGGGCATAGTGATTCTAGAACCAGTAATAGTGCCAGCTTTGTATTATCTGTGTGGCTTTGTAAGCTGAGGTCCATGTTGATGAAGATTATAGGCATCTTCAGTGTTTAGTGCTGTGGATATCTACAATGGTGGGAAGGGTCACTGGTTCTTTGTTGGCAAAGATCTTCCCAATATCTCTATCTCCAACCAGAAAAATTGTGGGTGAAGAAATTTTTATTGGCACTGGGTATGGCTTATAGGCTTGCTTGCAGTGGTTGTGGCACTGGTATTTCATGGGTGGTGTTTATGGAGTGACCATGGGGCTAAGGCCTGAAGCATGGGCACACACGGAGGGACTATAGCTCTGAGATTTGGGGAACTGGTGCCCATGATGAAGGCACCCCCTGCCTCCATTTTGGTAACAGTATGCAAGGTACAGATTCTTGTGAATTATCTGAGAAACCAAGCATGACAGCACAGGAATGCACAGGGTAGAGTGACTCTGGGATTACGGCAGGTTCCAGCCCTCCATAGCAGTAGAGCTGGTGCCCCAGAGCATGGGCATATGGTGCCTAGCTCTCCATAGCAGCAGAGCTGGTGCCCACAGCAAGTGCTTGGCTCCATGGCCCAGAGTGAAAACTAGCTTGCTCTGCCATTGGCTCTGATATCTGAAACGTGGATCCATCCAGTGTTGCCACTGAGCATGGGTCCTTACTTTGGAGACTCAGAGAGTAGCCATGTATACAGGGTTGGGGTACATGAAGAGTTGGGCTAGGTAATGGCTCCTTTCCCAAGCAGTTGTTTCTTTGGGGAATATGGGTGTGCAGCCATGTTTTCTTCTCTAGGATTTCCTGGCAGGATTAGCTGTTGGTTACCTCAGTGACAAGAGATGCCAGTGTCCTCTGTGTAGCAGGTTGCTGGGGAGCATGGTGGCTCCCATCACATGGCTGATACCAATAGCTTCCATCTTTCTTATTCCCATGTATGTCAGTATCACTAGAGATCCTTTCTATGTGGATATTCTCCATCTTTTCTTTCTTTCTTTTTTTTTTTTTGTTCCACTGTGTTGCTGCAGATTTTCTAATGGGCCCTTGAGCCCTCTCTGGCCTATTTTGATTTGTAAATAACTGTCTGTTTTTTATTTCTATTTTTTTTTGTGGCAGGATGAAAGCTGATATCTCCTACCCTGTCATCTTGGTGATATCACATCTTTATCATAATTTTTGAATATTATGGATTATTCACATTTATATATTACTTTTGCATCATCTTACAATTTGTTCACAAAAGTAGCTGGGAATTTTATAGAGATATTGTTGAATTTGTCAATCAATTTTGGAGATATTTCTCTCTTAACCATATTAAATCTTCTAATCAATATGTATGAAATGTCTGTTTATTTAGGTTTTAAATTAATCCAACAATATTTTGTTGCTTTCAGATTACAAGTCTTTCACTTATTTGTTAAATTTATTTCTAAGTGTTTTTTTCTATTTGATGCTATTAAAAATGAAACTGATTTTTAAATTTTATTTTTAGATTTGTATTGCTAAGATGTAGAAATTTATGAATTTTAAATATTGATCTTTCATTCACAAACTTTATTGAATTTCTTTATTATTTTTTATATTAGTATATTAGATTCCTGAAGATTTTCTCCATACAGAATTATTTCATCTGCAAGAGAGATATTTGTATTTCTTTCTTTTTAATCTAGATGCATTTTAGTACTTGCTTTATTGTCCTCACCAGATTTTCTACGACATTGTTTTTAAAAGGCAGCAAGAGTAAATATTATTTTCCTCTTATTGATCTTAGGTAGAGAGCATCCTCTTACTATAACACTTTTGCTTTCAGAATAGGGCACTGGGTGTGGTGGTGACAACTGGTATTCTCATCTTGTCTCTTCCTGCTTACCAGTTTCACCTCTGAACAACTGAGGACCATGAAAATGGGGTCCAGTGTTTCTTACCTGCTGAACATAGGATCTATATTCCACCCAATGAGAGGATACTCAAAGGAAGAAATAGAGGCCTGGTACTCTTAGCTTTCTTACCTGGAATAAAACTTCTGCAAAACAGAGCTGGTGTATGTGACAGGGGCTGGTGGTAGAGGACAAATGCTAATGACCAGCCTTTCCTGGGAAGAAACTGTAGCCCAAACCTGGTAGCAGGTGAAAGACGGAACCATGCCTTCTTCATTCTACCTATGTGGCTTAAAATGTTTATTATGTAGAGCTAGAGAGGTAGAAAAGAATGAATCTTTACACACATGTCAAGGACTTTTGCTATATATATAATATATATGTGTGTGTGTGTGTGTGTATATATATATATGAAAGATCAATATTTAAAATTCATAAATTTCTATATCTTAGCAATACAAATCTGAAAATAAAATTTAAAAATCAGTTTCATTTTTAATAGCATCAAATAGAAAAAAACGCTTAGAAATAAATTGTCATATATATATATATATATAGAGAGAGAGAGAGAGAGAGAGAGAGACAGAGAGAGACAGAGAGAGAGAGAGAGACTCCCTCTGTCACCCAGGCCAGAGTGCAGTGGCGTGATCTCTGCTCACTGCAACCTCCGCCTCCTGGGTTCAAGCAATTCTCCTGCCTCAGCCTCCCGAGTAGCTGGGACTACAAGCGCCCAACACCACGCCTGGCTAATTTTTGTATTTTCAGTAGAGACAGGGTTTCACCATATTAGCCAGGCTGGTCCCAAGCTCCTGATCTTGTGATCCATCCACCTCGGCCACCCAAAGTGCTAGGATTATAGACGTGAGCCATTGCACCCAGCCGTATGTTTGTTTTTTGGAGACAGGGTCTCTGTTGCTCAGGCTGAAGTGCAATGGCATGATCATAGCTCACTGTAGCCTCAAAATCCTGGGCTCAAGCAATCCTCCCACCTCAGTCTCCTAAGTAGATGAAACTACTACCAAGCGTGCACCACCATTTCTGTATTTTTTTTTTGTTTGGATGTGATCTTGTTATGCTGCCCAGGCTGCTCTTAAACTTCTGGCTTCAAATAATCTTTCTGCTTCAACCTCCCAAAACAATGGGATTAGAGGCATGAGCCACTGTGCCTAGCTCTTGCTGTTCTTTATATAATTTAATAGTTTTTCTAAAAAATAAGTGATTCTTTATTTATTGTGTGCACTCAATTTTATAGATTTTAATTTTTAAAAAAATTATATATTTTTTTAAAAAATGATATTTGCCAATTGTGATTGTTTTTCTGAGTACAGGGTCTATGGAACTCCTCCTGTCACTATTCTAGAGGTGCTAGGTTCTATCTATAATGTTTTAAAATAAGTTATAAGATATAACATTTTAAAATAAGTAATAAGTATTTAAAATAAGTAATAAGTTATAAAATGTTTTTATAACTTATTTTAATGGTTGACCAAGGTATTGTATTATGTTTATATAGTTTTCCTAATAGTGACATCATTTTACATGTTTTGGTGACATCTAGAAATCTTACTTATCCTCCTGTTTATAACTGTTTTAAATATTTCCTGTATTTACATTTTGAATATTATCAGTCAGTGTTATAATTTTGACTTCAAATGTCAAATATAATTTAGAAAACTCAAAAAGAATAAAATTCAATTGTATTTGCCTACTATGTTCTTCCATCCTTTCTAATGTTACAAGATCTCTCCTTATATAATTTTTTGTTTAGAGACTTTCTCCTTTAGCTATTTTTTTAAAATCTATGAATATGTTAAGTTATATGGCAAAAGGAACTTTGCCACAATCCATAAGGAAAGGGACTTTTCCTTAATCTAAGAATATCTTGATTTCCCTTTTGCTCCTGAAGAATATTGTTGGTAGATATAGAATTGTGGATGTACATGATTGTTGTGTTTTATTTTTCTTTTTGTTTTTGTTTTCCTTTCAGGACTTAAAAGACTATGACACTTTCTTTTGGCCTCCATCATTTCTGATAAGAAATTCACTGTCTTTCAAATTATTTGCTCTCACAGGTAAGGTGCTGTTTCTCTCTATAGATTTCAAGATTTATTTTTTTTCTTTAGTTTACAGAAGTTTGAATATGATATAACTTGTCATGGACTTATTTAAGATTATCTTGTTTTGCATTCATTTAGCTTCTTAAATCTTAAGTTTTATGTCTTTTGCAAAATGTGGGAAGTTTTCATCCATTTTTCAGTACATTTTTGTTCTGCCTCTTTTCTCCTCTCCTTTTAGGATTCCAATGATGTGAATGTTAGACCTTTTTTTTTTTTTTTTTTTTTGTAGTCCAAAAAGTGCCTGAGGCTCTTCTTACTTTATTTTTTCAATATTTACTGGGTTTTGGATTCTGTTCTCTCTACCCTGCTGCTGAACCCGTCTGTTGAGCTTTTCGATTATTGAATTTTTAAGTTCAAAATTTTTCCTTTGTTTCTTACTCATATCTTCTGTGTCTTTGCTGATTTTTTTTTCCATTTGTTCAAATGTGTTAGTAATTGCATGTTGAAGTATTTTTATAATGGCAGTGGTAAAATATTTGTTAAATAATTCTAACATCTCTCATATCTGTGTTGACATCTGTTGATTAACTATTTTTTCTCATTCAGTTTGAGGTTTTCCTGATTCTTGTTAGGAGGAGTAATTTATTAAAAATTAAAGCCTAGACATTATGGATATTAAGTTATAAGACTGGATTCTACTCCTATTTTAGTTGGCTCTCTCTGACCCCACTGCAGTCTCATTTAGATGTGATGGAGGGAATTGCCTAATTATTTTCAGATGAGGATAGAAGTCCAGATTTCTCACTAGGCCTCCATTTACACCTGATGAAGGTGAGAGCTCCTTATAGTTGAGCTGGGTTGGGAGTTCTGGCTCTACAATAAGCCTTTTTGATGCCTTCCTGGCTAGGATGCATAGTGCTGCTTCATTATTTCTTTCCAAGTGGCTTTAATGAACACAACAGAGAAGGGGAATTATCTCACAGCCAGAGGAACATTTTGAAAATTTTGACTTTCCATGTGGCCAATTTTGGTACTATTCTTGTTACCACCAGGTGGTGGTGTAAGTCCAGGCTCCACTGGTGGTTTCCACTGAGACCATGAGGAGGGGGTTATTATGCCCCAGTATGGATGAAAACGTAGGCTTCTTTCTTGGACATCAACCAGGTGTTGTGATTAGAAACCTCATTATAGCCTGTGGGCATGGAAACCTGCTCAGTGTTTTTTGGCATGGGTGGGATTGGGCCACAGTATTTTTCTTTTATGATTGGCAGGAGTAGAGTGGTAATTATCTAAATGATTTCTGATATGGTTTGGCTGTGTCCTCCAAAATCTCATCTTGAACTGTAATCTCCATAATCCGGATGTGTCAAGGGAGAGACCTGGTGGAGGTAATTAAATAATTTGAGTGGTTTCCTCCATGCTGTTCTCATGATAGTGAGTGAGTTCTCATGAGATCTGATGGTTTTATTAGTGTTTGGTAGTTCCTCCTGCGTTCATTCTCCCTCTTGCCACCTTGTGAATAAGATGCCTTGCTTCCCCTTCAACTTCCACCAAAACTGTAAGTTTCCTGTGGCATTCCCAGCCATGCTGAACTGTGAGTCAATTAAACCTCTTTCCTTTATAAATTACCCAGTCTCAGGCAGTTCTATACAGCGTATGAAAATTCACTCATACAATTTCTATCTTTCTAGGCTGTCTATTACTTGGGAAGAGAGATCAGTTACTTGGCTAGTGAGATTAGTCTTTGCTGAGGAATTATTTTGTCTGCTGTTTTGTTTCTGGATTCCGACCTTCTTTGGTTCCAACTCTAGGATATATGAAGCTAAATGAAAACCCAGTAAAAGCACTACTGTGTCTCCAGAGTTTCTTGCTTGTCTGCCTTCTCTTCACCTTTCAGGGGCTCATATATTTGTTTTATATGTTATGCCCAGGGATTTTAGTTGGGCTTAGCAAGAGGATTGTGGAGAAGGACATTTAAAAGGACATCTATTTCCAGAAGTACCTTTCTGGAAGCATAAGTCTATGTTTTTTTGTTTGTTTTTTGTTTTGTTGTTGTGGCTGTTCTTTTAATTTCAAACACTGTTCAAATTTTCTTGTGATCTTGCCTACATTCATTCAGGTCATGATATGCTAACTTATGTAGCTTTCTTTTTTTTTCAGCCATATATTTTTTATTTTTTTATTTTATTATTATTATACTTTAAGTTTTAGGGTACATGTGCACAATGTGCAGGTTTGTTACATATGTATACATGTCCCATGTTGGTGTGCTGCACCCATTAACTCGTCATTTAGCATTAGGTATATCTCCTAATGCTATCCCTCCCCCCTCCCCACCCCAACAACAGTCCCCAGAGTGTGATGTTCCCCTTCCTGTGTCCATGTGTTCTCATTGTTCAATTCCCACCTGTGAGTGAGAACATGCGGTGTTTGGTTTTTTGTCCTTGCAATAGTTTGCTGAGAATGCTGGTTTCCAGTTTCATCCATGTCCCTACAAAGGACATGAACTCTTCATTTTTTATGGCTGCATAGTGTTCCATGGTGTATATGTGCCACATTTTCTTGATCCAGTCTATTGTTGTTGGACATTTGGGTCGGTTCCAAGTCTTTGCTATTGGGAATAGTGCCGCAATAAACATATGTGTGCATGTGTCTTTATAGCAGCATGATTTATAATCCTTTGGGTATATACCCAGTAATGGGATGGCTGAGTCAAATGGTATTTCTAGTTCTAGATCCCTGAGGAATCGCCACACTGACTTCCACAATGGTTGAACTAGTTTACAGTCCCACCAACAGTGTAGAAGTGTTCCTATTTCTCCACATCCTCTCCAGCACCTGTTGTTTCCTGACTTTTTAATGATCGCCATTCTAACTGGTGTGAGAGGGTATCTCATTGTGGTTTTGATTTGCATTTCTCTGATGGCCAGTGATGATGAGCATTTTTTCATGTGTTTTTTTGGCTGCATAAATGTCTTCCTTTGATAAGTGTCTGTTCATATCCTTCGCCTACTTTTTGATGGGGTTGTTTGTTTTTTTCTTGTAAATTTGTTGGAGTTCATTGTAGATTCTGGATATTAGCCCTTTGTCAGATGAGTAGGTTGCGAAAATTTTCTCCCATTCTGTAGGTTGCCTGTTCACTCTGATGGTAGTTTCTTTTGCTGTGCAGAAGCTCTTTAGTTTAATTAGATCCCATTTGTCAATTCTGGCTTTTGTTGCCATTGCTTTTGGTGTTTTAGACATGAAGTCCTTGCCCATGCCTATGTCCTGAATGGTATTGCCTATGTTTTCTTCTATGGTTTTTATGGTTTTAGGTATAACATGTAAGTCTTTAATCCATCTCGAATTAATTTTTGTATAAGGTATAAGGAAGGGATCCAGTTTCAGCTTTCTCCATATGGCTAGCCAGTTTTCCCAGCACCATTTATTAAATAGGGAATCCTTTCCCCATTTCTTGTTTTTCTCAGGTTTGTCAAAGATCAGATGGTTGTAGATAGGCGGCGTGATTTCTGAGAGCTCTATTCTGTTCCATTGATCTGTATCTCTGTTTTGGTACCAGTACCATGCTGTTTTGGTTACTGTAGCCTTGTAGTATAGTTTGAAGTCAGGTAGTGTGATGCCTCCAGCTTTGTTCTTTTGGCTTAGGATTGACTTGGCAATGCGGGCTCTTTTTTTGGTTCCATATGAACTTTAAAGTAATTTTTTCCAATTCTGTGAAGAAAGTCATTGGTAGCTTGATGGGGATGGCATTAAGTCTATAAATTACCTTGGGCAGTATGGCCATTTCCACGATATTGATTCTTCCTACCCATGAGCATGGAATGTTCTTCCATTTGTTTGTATCCTCTTTTATTTCCTTGAGCAGTGGTTTGTAGTTCTCCTTGAAGAGGTCCTTCACATCCCTTGTAAGTTGGATTCCTAGGTATTTTATTCTCTTTGAAGCAATTGTGAATGGGAGTTCACTCATGATTTGGCTCTCTGTTTGTCTGTTAATGGTGTATAAGAATGCTTGTGATTTTTGTACATTGATTTTGTATCCTGAGACTTTGCTGAAGTTGCTTATCAGCTTAAGGAGATTTTGGGCTGAGACGATGGGGTTTTCTAGATATACAATCATGTCATCTGCAAACAAGGACAATTTGACTTCCTCTTTTCTTAATTGAATACCCTTTATTTCCTTCTCCTGCCTAATTGCCCTGGCCAGAACTTCCAGCACTATGTTGAATAGGAGTGGTGAGAGAGGGCATCCCTGTCTTGTGTGAGTTTTCAAAGGGAATGCTTCCAGTTTTTGCCCATTCAGTATGATATTGGCTGTGGGTGTGTTATAGATAGCTCTTATTATTTTGAGATACATCCCATCAATACCTAATTTATTGAGAGTTTTTAGCATGAAGAATTGTTGAATTTTGTCAAAGGCCTTTTCTGCATCTATTGAGATAATCATGTGGTTTTTGTCTTTGGTTATGTGTATATGCTGGATTACATTTGTTGATTTGCGTATCTTTTAACAATCTATAAGAGTATGCCTTTATATCTATGGAGCAATATGATAGAAACTGTATTAGTCCATTTTCATGCTGCTGATAAAGACATACCTGAGACTGGGCAATTTACAAAAAAAGAAAAAAAGGTTTAATTGGAGTTACAGTTCCACATGGCTGGGGAAACCTCACAATCATGGTGGAAGGCAAGGAGGAGTAAGTCACATCTTACATGAATGGCAGCAGGCAGAGAGAATGAGGAAGATGCGAAAGCAGAAACCCCTGATAAAACAATCAGATCTGGTGAGACTTATTCACTATCACAAAATTATGGGAAACAGCCCCCATGATTCAATTATCTCCTAGCGGGTCCCTGGCACAACACATGGGAATTATGAGAGTACAGTTCAAGATGAGATTTGGATGGGGACACAGAGCCAAACCATGTCATTCTGCCCCTGGCCTCTGCCAAATATCATGTCCTCACATTTCAAAATCAATCATGCCTTCCCAACAGTCCCCCAAAGTCTTAATTCATTTCAGCATTAACTCAAAAGTCCCCAGTTCAAAGTCTCATCTGAGGCGAGGCAAGTTCCTTCTGCCTATGAGCCTGTAAAATCAAAAGCAAGCTACTTATTTCCTAGATACAATGCGGATACAGACATTGGGTAAATACAACCATTCCAAATGGGAGAAATTGGCCAAAACAAATGGGCTACTGGGCCAATGGAAGTCTGAAATCCAGTGGGGCAGTCAAATCTTGAAACTCCAAAATGATCTCCTTTGACTCCAGGTCTCACATCCAGGTCACACTGATACAAAAGGTGGATTCTCATGGTCTTGGGTAGCACCGCCTCTGTGGCTTTGCAGGATACAGCCTACCTCCCAACTGCTTTCACAGGCTGTCATTGAGTGTCTGTGGCTCTTCCAGGTGCACGGTTCAAGCTGTCAGTAGATCTACCATTCTGGGGTCTGGAGGACAATGGCCCTCTTCTCACAGCTCCATTAGGCAGTGCCTCAGTAGGGACTCTGTGTGGGGGCTCCAACCCCACATTTCTCTTCTGTACTGCCCTATTAGAGGTTCTCCATGAGAGCCCTGCCCCTGTAATAAACTTCTGCCGGAACATCCAGGCGTTTCTATACATCTTCTGAAATCTAGGTGGAGGTTCTCAAACCTCAGTTCTTGGCTTCTGTGCGATGGCAGGCTCAACACCATGTGGAAGCTGCCAAGACTTGGGTCTTGCACCATCTGAAGTCACACCCTGAGCTCTACATTGGCCTTTTTCAGCCATGACTGGAGCAGCCTGGACACAGGGCACCAAGTCCCAAGGCTGCACACAGCTCGAGGACCTGGGCCTGGCCCATGAAACCACTTTTTCCTCCTAGGCCTCTGGGATTGTGATGGGAGCATCTGCCATGAAGACCTCTGACATGCCCTGGAGACATATTCCCCATTGTCTTGGGGGTTAACATTTGACTCCTCATTACTTATGCAAATTTCTGCAGCCAGCTGGAATTTCTCCCAGAAAATGGGATTTTCTTTTCTCTCAATTTGTCAGGCTGCAAATTTTTCAAACTTTTTTGCTCTGCTTCCCTGTTAAAACTGAATGCTTTGGACAGCACCCAAGTCAACTCTTGAATGCTTTGCTGCTTAGAAATTTCTTCTGTCAGACAAACTAAATCATCTCTCTGAAGTTTAAAGTTCCAAAAATCTCTAGGGCAGAGGCAAAATGCCGCCATTCTCTTTGCTAAAACATAGCAAGAGTCACCTTTGCTCCAGTTTCCAACAAGTTCCTCATCCCCATCTGAAACCATCTCAGCCTGGACCTTATTGTCCATATCACTATCAGCAATTTGGGCCAAAGCATTCAACAAGTCTCTAGGAAGTTGCAAACTTTCCCACATTTTCCTATCTTCTTCTGAACCCTCCAAACTGTTTCAACCTCTGCCTGTTACCCAGTTCCAAAATCACTTCCACATTTTTGGGTATCTTTTCAGCAATGCCCCACTCTGCTGGTACCAATTTAGAAACAACAACTACATTTAGAGAAGTAGAATAGTGAAACATACCCAGTAATTAATCACAGTATCTATGGAAACACAGTCCGTTTTCAGTTATCTGTTTAATTTTTTTGAAATCCCTTTGCTACCTCTTGCTATCATGGGTACCATAGGATCACTTTAAGAGGAGATAAACTTATTATGTTCAGTAAAAACTTTGTTTCAATATTTGGTCATTAATATTTATATATATTTTGGTAACCTCAAGTCATTAAAATTTCATTTTATTTTGTCGCTCTATAATTGTACACTAGGGAAGAACTTCGACTGAGTAAAAAGTATAAGAGAGCTACATTGTTTAGGAGGTGAAGGTATTAAAAATTGATATGGAATAACAAATCCTGGAAACTGACCAAATACGGGCTCTCTACCAAGTGTCTGAGTTTTTAAAAATCACAATAAAATTGTTTTCTATACTTTAAACATACCAAATGAAAAATATGATAATAAGAATAATATAACACTGAAAACATCTAGCATGAAAATGACCTTTAAAAACATTTGAACCCTATATGTGTTAGAGGTATATGTATACGTGTGTTTGTATATATATATATATATATATATAGAAAATAAAATATATATTTTTAAATATACATAATTTTTTTATATTTGGTAACTATTGAAAGGCATTGAAAGGGGAATGTTTTCTAAACAATCCCTTGAAGGTTATAATAAAAATATTAGATTCTTACTTGGAAACCTGGATAGGTAGAAGATTTTATTTTCCAAGTTGAGTCTTGTCTTTTGGTCTTGTATTCTGATGTGGATACTAGTACCCCACCCCCTTGACAGAGAAAAAAAAATATTGAAACAGATAACTTCTTTTTAAAACTATAGTCTGAGCTTTTTAAATGGGATGAAAGAGACAAAAGAAAAAAATAAACCATGACACCAATAATAACATAAGTTAGGCTTGAAAAATAAAAACTGTAATTTGTAATGCAATTTTACATAGAAGGACCAAGATAAAGTGGTTGAGAAAGGAATAAAAAACAAGTTTCTTGAATCATTAATATCTGCTGCATACCAGAATAGGCATTCTCAAACATACTATTGCACATTCAAACTAAAAAACCCTTAAGATGTATGGATTACATTTGTATGATAAGAACTAGAGAGGTTATGTAACTTTTTTTGAAATGAGCAGCTAGTGAGAGACAAGGCATAGAATTTGAACCTGTGCTTTCAGATGACAAAGCCCATACATATCTTCCACTTTGAAAGAATAATTCACATGGAATTGTTACCTGTGTATACTTGAAAAAGAATATTTAATGCTACACAAAACCATAAACAACAGACACTGGGGCCTACGTGAGGGTGGAGGATGAAAGGAGAGAGAGGATCAGAAAAAATAACTCATGGGTACTAGGCTTAGTGATAAAATAATCTGTACAACAAGCCCCGGAGACATGACTTTACCTATATAACAAACTTGCGCTTATACCTCCAAATCTAAAATAAAAATTAAAAAGAGAAATCTAACACTGAGCTCAGTGTCCTGACATTATTATTCTCACTTCTCACACCAAATAATACCGAATATCTCAATTTTGTTGAGAAAAATACGTTTTCTTTCATTTCAAAAGATAATAAAGGATAATTTGTGGACTTATTAGAAAACTGCTTTGCAAATTCTGTTTTTTTTTGAGACGGAGTCTCGCTTTGTCGCCCAGGCTGGAGTGCAGTGGCGTGATCTCCGCTCACTGCAACCTCCGCCTCCCGGGTTCATGCCATTCTCCTGCCTCAGCCTCCTGAGTAGCTGGGACTACAGGCGCCCACCACTATGCCCAGCTAATTTTTTTGTATTTTTAGTAGAGATGGGGTTTCACTGTGTTAGCCAGGATGGTCTCGATCTCCTGACCTCGTGATCTGCCCGCCTCGGCCTCCCAAAGTGCTGGGATTACAGGCGTGAGCCACTGTGCCCGGCCACAAATTCTATTTTATGTAACCGAATAACTGTGTCTTTCCTTTCTAGGTCTAAAAATAAATGAGAATAAATTGTGGTAGACTGTAACTCAAACTTCTTCAACCTGCAGCCTGTGAGCAAGGTGGCCCAGGACAGCTTTGAATGAGGCCCAACACAAATTCATAAACTTTCTTAAAACATTATGAGTTTTTTTTGCAAATGATTTTAGCCCATCAGCTATCATTAGTGTTGCTGTATTTTAAGTATTGCCCAAGACAATTCTTCCAAAGTAGCCTAGGAAGACAAAAAGACTGGACACTCCTGCAACTCAACAAAGATAGAGTGTGGTCTCCAATTACGATGACTGTGATTGTGGCACAAAGATAGAACATTTTAAACTCGGCACAGCATGGTGGCTCACACCTGCAATTCCAGCACTTTGGGAGGCCAAGTTGGACAGATCACTTGAGGCCAGGAGTTCAAGACTAGCCTGGCCAACATGGCAAAATACCATCTCTACTGAAAAATACAAAAATTAGCCAGGCATGGTGGCACGAGGCTGCAATCCCAGCTACTGTGGAGGCTGAGACACAAGAATCGCTTGAACTTGGTAGGCGGAGGTTGCAGTTAGCCAAGATTGTGCCACTGCACTCCAGCCTGGGTGACAGAGTGAGACTCTGTCTCAATAAATAAATAAGTAAATAAATATATATTTTAAAAAAAGAATATTGTAAGCTGGTGCAGAAGGGCATTTTGTGAATTTTTACTTGAAATTCAAAACATGCAAGTCACATGATGAGTATATTTACTGCACTTATTTCACTAAATTAAGTTCACAGACACAACAGTAACTTGAAATGATTAACCTATTTATGCTTTCCAACATTATCTTATAATGTATAAACATTACACATTTTAAATTAAATATATACATACTGATGTAATATACATATTTAACCTAAAGCATACAATATTTATTTATTTGCTAAAATACCAGTGTATGCCTAAGACTGCTTTCATTTCAAGCTTTAAAAAAATTATTTATTTATTTATTTAAATAATTTATTTTAGAGATGGGGTATTGATAAGCTTCCCAGGCTGGAGTGTGGTAGCTATTCATAGGCACAATCCCACTACTGATCACTGCAGGAATTTTTACCTGCTCTATTTCTGACCTGGGCAGGTTCACTCCTCCTTTGGTAACCTGGTGGTTCCCTGCTCCCAGGAAGTCACCATATTGATGCTGCACTTAGTGTGAATGTTGGATCAGCATAGTGTACTATATCCCAGAACTCCTGGACTCAATCAGTGTTCCTGCCTCAGTCTCCCAAGTAGCTGGGAGTACAAGCACGCATTAACATGCCCAGCCAAATATATATTTTTTAAATCTAACCTGTAGTCACAGGGCATCTATGTTTTCAGTTTGGATTTGTATGAATTAGAATAGGAACTTATATTTAAAAGGACTCTGAGCAACAAATTTTAATTTTATCATTTTCTCCAATCACTCAGTCATGTCACATTTAATCTGAAACCCTTTATATAATATTGACAGCATTAACCTTAATTAAAGTAACTATCATAATAACCATGGCATAAACAGATTGTGGAAGAAAAAATTACTTATGTTGGAAGTATTCAATTCTACTGGTGGGCAGACAGTTTTCTGGGCATTCTAAAGAATCAGTGTTCCCATGCACACATATGTTTATTGCAGCACTATTCACAATAGCAAAGACTTGGAACCAACCCAAATGTCCAACAATGATAGACTGGATTAAGAAAATGTGGCACATATACACCATGGAATACTATGCAGCCATAAAAAATGATGAGTTCATGTCCTTTGTAGGGACGTGGATGAAACTGGAAATCATTCTCAGTAAACTATCGCAAGGACAAAAAACCAAACACCGCATGTTCTCACTCATAGATGGGAATTGAACAATGAGAACACATGGACACAGGAAGGGGAACATCACACTCTGGGGACTGTTGTGGGGTGGGGGGTGGGGGGAGGGATAGCATTAGGAGATATACCTAATGCTAAATGACGAGTTAAGAGGTGCAGCACACCAGCATGGCACATGTATACATATGTAACTAACCTGCACATTGTGCACATGTACCCTAAAACTTAAAGTATAATAATAAAAAGAAAAAAAAAAAGAATCAGTGTTCCATAGACATTGGTCTAGGGAGTACTGATTAAACCCACAAGTCAGTTAACTGGAAATAGGTAAAACCATTCATTGCCTTTGTTTTACATTCACTTATCATGCCTGAAGAGTGACAGTCCAGGAAATGTCTTCTATTCCTCGCAAAGGGCTTGGAATAGCTCTCTTTCTAACCACCACTTGTGCCACCTCTAACAAATGCAAATACCATGAGCCACATTCTGACTACAATGTGAAGCTAGTTGTGACTAATGCTTGTGGGTTGGTATATTTTCTGTACCAACTGTTCTTCCAGATGATTGGATCTATAATGGTGACGGGTGTTGTGGGTTTTATTACTCCTCTTTACTAAGAAATTTTTGTGCACTTAAATGTTTCGGTTGTATATTATTATGCTCAGATGGCTTTCTCTCTTTATCCTGTCTTACTCATATTATAATCATAATCCTAAATAGTAATAATATCTAGTAACCTATTCTTTTCCTCCTTGCATCAAGCATGTAATATACTCAGAAGAGCAGGAAACAACTCTTATGAACTAGGACTCTTTAGGTTTCCACATGGCTAAGAATGACTCTGACATTTTTAACTATTGTTAAGCAACTCATTTTTTCCATTTGAAGGGGAAAAGAATATGCCACTCCAAAAATATGCTGCTTTGGCATAAGAATTATTTAAGTTAAAGGCAATTGAGAAAAAGCTCTCCACCTTCTCCTGTGTGCCTAAAAGCAGGACATAACTTTTCCTTGTGAGGGTATGTATTAGTCCATTATCACATTGCTATAAAGAAATATTTGACACTGGGTAATTGATAAAGAAAAGAGGTTTAATTGGTTCAGGGTTTGCAGGCTGTACAGGAAGCATGGCGGCATCAGGTTCTGGGAAGGCATCAGGGAGATTTTACTTGTGACAGGAGCAACTGTCTTCCTGGCAAGAACAGGAGCAAGAGAAAGAGAGAGAGGGAGGAGGTGCCACACACTTTTAAATGACCAGATCTCAGGAAGATCACTGACTATGGTGAGGACAGTACCAAGGGGCATGTTGCTGATCCATTAGTGAGAATTGAGCCTCCGTGATCTAATCACCTCCCACTGTGCCCTACCTCCAACATTGGGGATTGTAATTAAACATGAGATTTGCACGGGGACACAGATTCAAGCCATATCAAGACATCTTCCTCTTTCATACCAGGAAGGAAGGAACACCAATTATCCATGCACATGGAGAGAGTCCTAAGATGAATCTAAGTAAACAAAATCTTACTAGATAGCTCCTACCTTCCATCCACATATTCTTGCCTTCCACAATTTACTGCCCATAGAAGCATGGACCCCTTTTTTCTTTTTCTTACCACATCTTCTCAATTTGTCATCCTCTGCTAAGATTATATATAAGTAATACAAATTTAATCACCTCTTTGGATATTGACTTCTATTCTGTGACTATGCACATAAAATTTTTAAATATTAACATTAAATAAAAATTGTATACCTTTCTCTTTTTGATGTATTTTTTAGTTTAATTCACAGTTTGCGGCTACATACCCTTAAAGGGTAGACATGTTAGAAATATCATATTATATATTTTAAGTGCCAATAACAGTATTTTCCTATATGATTCTTTTGAGTACTCAGTTGTGGAGAGGAATAGTGTTGTGAACATTTTATTTTAGAGGCAGTGTATGTACTATTGAAGAGAGTTCTGTTGTCAGACTGACAACTTTTAATCTTACTCCGTCACTTACTGCCTGATTTTGAGAAATTAAGTCATCGTACCTTACAGTTTTTCTAAATATGAAAACAAATTTATTTCCTCATAGGATTGTTGTAATAATTTTTAAAAACCTCTATAAACACAAGTCATGTAAAACAGTATCTGACTCATAATTTTAAATCAATGTTAGCTTTAAATAATAGTATAAATGTAGCAAACTCAAAACAGCCTATGTCATAAACTCCAGTACACTGTAGCAAAACAATACTCATATTACATTAATGATATTAGCTTGAATTTTATTCAGTTTGAAGCTGCTGGAGCTCTGAAAATGATACCATAAACTTTGGCACTTGGACATGCTAAGTGCTTTGAACTAAAACATGTTGGAGAGGACTCAGAAGCAGAGTCACTCTGACCTTCTCCTGCCCTCCATTCTCCTTGCTCCTCTTTCTCTCCCAAGGCAAGTTGTAGAATCTAGAATTCCTCTTCCCCAATGTGGATCATAGAAACTAGAACTCCTCTCCTCCAAAGTTAGCCATGAACCCCAGAAATACTACTTCAGCCTTCCTTCACCTTTCTGTGTAAGAGCTGGCCATAAAGAAATGGACTTGCCTTGTCTGAGAGCAGATCATAATACTCTCATTCCAGAAAGGGTCCGGCCTTATACTTGGGAAGAAGAAATGTCACACAGAGAAGCCAAGAAGAATCCGATCAGACAGGCCTTGCTGGGTTTGCCCGCTCAATCTAGTACTATTACATTATTTCGTTTTTGTTTAATCACGTGTCTCCATGGCTGTTCACTTGTTATTGAATTCAAGCATAAAAATGCACGGTCTTCCCTTGAGTCTTTAGGTCTTCATTTCTCAAGGCTCCTGTGTCATATAAAAGTTTCATCAAATAAATGTATTATGCTTTTTTCTTGTTAACTTGTCTTTTGTTTGAAGAATGTAGCTAAGATCCTTACGATGGGAAGGAAATGTATCATTCCTTTCCACCTCTACAAAGCTTTTAAAAAATTTGATTTTTAATAGTTTGTAATTTAACTTTGGTTTTATTTCTTTATAAGGGCCCTCAGTTAACTCATATATGAGAAACACTCTTATATATCTTCTACCCCTCTAAGTCATGCAGCTCAATTTAACCTATAAATAAGTACATTCAAGTGGTATGTTGGACAGCATAAAAATGAGCAAATTGTGAGCTTCTGGCAAAAAGCAATGTAATATTTTTTATTTGGTAGAAAGCTGGGAATCTGCTCTCTCTGCTAAGAAGTCAGGGTAATTTTGAATATAAATAGACTAAAAATTTACTAATACAGTTGAGTAGCTAAAATAAAACTTTTACTTTATGAGACAATAGAAAATATAATTATACGCTTATATACAATTTATATTACATTTGCATTTTTTGTAGAAGCTAAATTTTTCATCTCACTAATGTATTTATATAATCAGATAAAAATTTGCCTCATTCCATATATCTAATTACTCATTCATAATTTAACATATACCTTTGACTAACATGAAACTAGTCAAGATTCTTACTTTTCATAGAATTTTCTTAGACATTTAGAGCAACTTCTCTTAATCATCTGGTTCTTAACTCCTTTCCATAACATGACACAGATATGAAAAATGAAATAATCAGGCTGAAGTATAAAGTAACATATTTATAAAGTTGTTCCGTAAATTGTCCTCTCCTACCCGTTAGATGACTGATGTGATTGATATACTTAGTGCTGTAGTAGGATTTTGTATTTTCTGTTGCCATGAACAAAACAGTTTCATGACACAGGAGCATATCCTGTACATGTGGTAGTATGGTAATAACATCAAGTGTCTCACCACTTGTACATTAAATAAAAACCTTCTAAAATGATTCTATATGATATTTCAGAAACAATTTTGGAAGGCATAGCCAATTTAGAAAGGGCTATGGAAAGACTAGGTTTTCATTTATAAATAAGACCACATTTTAACTAAGGATTTAGGATTTAGATCTATCTTTAGCAGTGGCTGCTTCCCATGATGAATATCTTAAGAAACTGAGAGAAGGCAACCTTTTAGGAAAATGTTTCTGCTTGAGATGGTCTTCATTTAATTACATTGCTTAAACACTGACCAATTTGGTTTAGCAAGTTTCTTTTTTTAAATCTAAATATCTTAGTGTGTGTATTCATTTGGTTTATTAGTCATTTATACCTACTATAGAATACTATGAAGTATTCATACCCACTCTAGAATAGAATACAGTAAAGTTTACATTTTAGAACACTATAGAAATTTCCATAAGAACTCTCCTAATATACCCTCATATTTAATAGCTCAATATTCAAGGTCATTTAACACAACAGTGAACACCACTGTTTCAGGGGCTAGACTTCCTGAAGACCATAGGAAAGTCATGAGAACCTTAGGGAAGTTATTTAAATTATCTTTGCCTCAGCTTTCTGATTCATGAAAAGGGGATAATGTCTGATATTGTGAGAATTAAATGAGGTAATATATGTAAAATGCATAGAAGAGTAGCTGGTATGTGATAAATTCTCTTTTGCTATTGTTGTTATGCTTATTAATGGAAGTCTGCACAGTTAATTTGCCCTAAGTAAAAACCAGGGTTAGTACTTGTAGATACTACTTAGAAACATATTTCTTTAAGTAATTCATTAAATGTTTGTGGAAGGAGTGAGTGGAATGAGAACTGATGCCTTCTGTCTCAGTCATCACAAAGCCACATCCAGAGGTAAGACATAGCCCATCTCCTTTAAGTGGCTTGTGTTCTGTAGGAGAGGGGTAGATGAGAGGAGACCTGTACTACTACTTGATTTTCAGCAAGAAACGAATAGGGCAGCAGAATCAAACAATTATAGGACTGCCCCTTCTGCCTGGCTTCATCACACTTCAGATATCAACTAAATGGTACTTTGACAAATGGAAGAAATTACTGTACTAATTTGTTTGTAAATGAACCAGACACACTTAAGTCTAGATTCATAAAGTTAGTATTTCTGTCATCCTTAAATCAAATTTTTGATCCAATTGAATAAAATTGACCAGAATCAAGTTCTAACATAGTGATCTAATACTCTTTTAGCAGTAATGTTTAAGAAACTAAAGATAAGCATCAGTGTTTATAAAATGACTGAAAGTTGCCATAAGTAAAAACATCACATCAGTGAAAGTGATGAAGAACTTTAAAATGCTTTCTGAGATCAAAACATAAAGAATCAATTTAGTGAATACGACATGTGCTCTAATCATGTTCTCAACATTATATCTCACTTGCTTTCTTTTCAACAGCTCAATGTTCCTGGCCTAATCATCTCTTTTCATGATAGATAAGGAATTCAGTGTTTCTAGTCCTCTCAGAACAATAGTTGATCTTAGCCTCCCTTCTATATACAGTATGTATAACCATAAGTAATTGTGCTGATGGCTAAAGTTCCCACTGTTCTTTTCCACAAAAACTAACATTGCTCTATTATAGGTATTCTTCGCCTTTGCTTGTAGGGCCACTGCTTACCAAATAGCAGTCATTTCTTTTCAATAATGCCTGGAAAGTTCAGCACAGGAAAGTTAAAGCCCTTTTTCTTTTTTTGAAGTCCATCTTCTTGGGAGAGACAGTCAAAATGCTAGAATTAGAAAATTCTCTGATTTTATATGGGATAATTATTCTCCCTATTCATACCCTTACTGATAACTGGGTGATGGAAAGGGGCGGGCTAGGACAGGGATGAGGTTGTGAGTGTTTCTCAAAGGCGATGGAAAGTAATTATGCTAGCAGTCTTAGGTCTTTGCTCCCTAATACTGAAATTCCAGTGGGAAATATGTGAGGCCATGACTACCATCAATGCTAAAATATACAGGTAAAGCCTCCTGTTCTGTATCTGTATATAACTCTATATACAGGACAGTTTGGGGGATATATTGAATCAAAAGAAGGAATAAAACGGGGAAAAATCAATTGATAAGGCAAATGAAGATCATTTGAGATCAACAGGGGATTGGACACAGGACAGAAAAGAAAGGAAGGATAAAAGCTTAAGGTGAAAGTATCCTACCAGGGAGGTTACTGGATTTGTGATGGAAAGGAGTTATTTGTGATGGAAAGGAAGGCAAAATGATATTGGGAACAGACACAATGAAAGTCATTTAACGGGTGTGGTGGCTCACGCCTGTAGTCCCAGCACTTTGGGAGGCCGAGGCAGGCGGATCACGAGGTCAGGAGATCGAGACCATCCTGGCTAACATGGTGAAACCCCATCTCTACTAAAAAATACAAAAAAATTAGCCGGCCGTGGTGGCACGTGCCTGTAGTCTCAGCTACTCAGGAGGCTGAGGCAGAAGAATGGGGTGAACCCGGGAGGCAGAGCTTGCAGTGAGCCAAGATAGCGCCACTGCACCCGAGCCTGGGTGACAGAGTGAGACTCCCTCTCAAAAATAAATAAAATAAATAAATAAATAAATAAATAAATAAATAAATATTCAAATATTTACTTTGATGTTATAAAATACATGTTTATGTTTCATTTTCATGATAGTTTTTAGCCTTGGTCTTTTTCTAACTCAGCATTTGTTTAGATCTGCTTATATTTTACATTCAAACCACAATATTTCTGAGGAAGAAACATACAATATGTAATCAGGGTCAGGATTTGAGTCCCTGCCCTTGCCCTCACTATCTTTGTCATCTTGTTCGAGATGCTATAAATTCTTATTTGCAAAATAAGTTTTTTTGTTTTTTTACAATACATAGTTTATATGGTTGTTTTAAAGATTACATAATGTAGATGGAAAGTGCTTTTAAAATATAAACCGTTAAGCTGATCTATGTTGCTTTAAAAATATGGTGAAATGTAAGATTCTTGTGGTGGTTTTATCCATTCTAGTTTGTTAGACTTTTGAAAAATCCATGTGTTACTTACCAAACCTGGGTTTGGTTCTGCTTGAGCCCTTTCATGCTTCTGTTGCCTGAGGGTTGCTGCCATGTCACAGCACTGGAAGTTTATAGACAAATCAGTGTCTTGGTCCCGGGCACGGATCCCATGTTAAATAGATGAGTCCTAAGATCTGTGATGGTGTCCACGGGAGTTGACAGCAGGCATTCAAGCTAAAGGCTGATGCAGTGGAGAGTTCTCTGGAGCCTTGGCACTAACATCCTGGAGACATCTATACTCAAAGATATTTTGGCATCTTCCAGGAGGTTCTAATGCCTTCACAGGACAAACTTTCAAGCTTTCTTTTTCAATCTTCTTCAATCTAGCCATTCCAGCTCAATTCAAAACAGTTACAATAGTTTAATATCGTTGGGGGCCAGGCCCAAAACACCTTCTTTCTCATTTTTGCTCTTTCTATTCAATCTTTTAGCCAAAGCTTTGTTTACAGGAATTCTGAAATACTGCTTTCCCTCTACAAGTGACATTTTTTTTTCCTCTGCTCTCAATTAGTCATGATTAACAGCTACCACGGTAATTATAGCCAAGGTGAAATAAGTAACTCTAAAGTAATTCTAAAACCTAGCTCTACTGCCTTGGCAGCCCTCTGCAGCTGAGAAAGGCCACAGGAGTTTGGTCTGCCACCTCTGTGGAGATGCATTACAGAGAATAATTTACCTTGACCTGTTCTCAAAACATAATTACTGTTTAAAGTCAAAGATAGACACACATTTTCATATCAAGTTACTGAAGATTTAAAAAGACACACACACACACACACACACACACACACACAAATCAAAACAACAACACAAAAGCCTCTGACCATTATTTTGTCCTCTTAAAAAAGCTACCCACTTTTGTGCTTTAGCTTCTTATTGCTATCAAAATAATGGTATTTTTCTAAACACACATATTATTTATTTTTAAATAATTGACATTGGATTATTTTGCTCTGAGTTTATGGTAAATTACTAATCTTTTTTTTTTAAGTGAAAATTTGTCTATCACTAGTGACCACAATCATCCTCTGTGTTTTGTTGGAGTTTTTTAACCACCAATGAAAGCAAAGTTTACTTGGTCTTTCATACACAAATTTTGCTATATATCTGTGTTGCCTATTTACTTTGTGATATTTATGTGTAAGAGTGAACAAAGGAGCACTACTTTTTAAGTCTTTGAGCGTTATTTTTTTTCTTATTCTCAGAAAAATAGTTGTCAACTGTGTTCCCATGTCCATAGCCTCATTTATCTCCAGTGCTGTTTGAACATGGTCTCTGTGGAGATGCTTAGAGGGAGGTAGGAGGAAACAATAGGGAATAGATAAAGGCTATTACTCTGTATCTTTTGAAATGTTTGCAGATTTTCTAGTCTTTACACAATAGTTTATTAAAAATGTCTCTCTCAACAGCACCAGAAATTATATAAGAAGCTAGATGCGTTAGTCCAATATTACTGATTTGGTTTTGAGATTTTTTAAAATGCATCTTTGCTCCGATCAATAATACTGATGTTTTACAGGTCTCAGGCTTGGATCTTGTTCTAATCTTATGGTCTATAGTTTCCAAGGCACTCGTTATTGAATTGTAAGCTATAACTACAAATATCATTGAAAAAATTTTCAATTCCACCTAGACTCTGTGGCCATAGTTTTACCACAATCATTTCCTTTATTACTATATAACTAGTATTTTTCTATAGGAACTAACCATTTTTACTGCATTTTCAACATGATTTAATTATAATAAGACTTTAAATATTTCCCAAAGATCAAAGTATGTCTCGACATTTTTCAGAAGGTGAAGTAGAAATAGTTTGTATGGGGAAACACACTTTTTTTGTAAATCTCTTATTGACTTTTTCAGTACATGTTTATTAGCATTCCCTAAAATTACAGTGACAACAATGCTGATATAATACAAAGTACATATTTGGCAATTATCAAATTTATTTGGTCTTATAGGTTCAGATAAAACAAATGTCACATGGCTCTCAGATTGCTTTCTGGGTTATGTTTTTTTTTTTCTAGACAGACATTATATAACAATGACATTAGCAAATAAATGACTCCAAAGTTAAAATTTTAATTAATTCTATGAAGCTCAGATGACTGAAGTATGGCACAAAGAAAATATATATACTATTTCAATCAATCAAAAAGACAATATATGCAAAATTCAATCTTATTTTGCTGTCACTATATTTGAATCAATTCCCTAACAGTGGCTAATGAAAAGTGAAAGAGTTCATTTTATATTTATGGATACATATGTAATGTAGAAGATTTTCTTTTCATAATCACCTCTAATATTATCTTTTCTGAGTGCATATTTAGTAAATTATATAAAGCATGAAACATGCATTATCTCATATAATCTTCGCAAAAGTACCAAGCCAAGATAAGAAAAGCAGATTGCCTGAGTTCACAGCTTGTTTCTCACACTCACCAGCTGTGTGACTCTTGGGGAATCACTTCACCTTTCTATGACTCCATTTTCTTGTCCATAAAATCGGAATGATGATAATTGTACCTATTCATAGGGCAGCTGTGAGAATAAACCATGATAAAGTCATATGAAATACTTAAGGGTCTAACACCGAGTAAGCCCTTTATAAATGTTACTACTGAAATGATATAATTGTTATCATTATCACATATTATGGATGAAGAAAATAAGCACAACTTTCAAGAATGTTTCCATGAGCACACAGGCAATAGATTATGAAGTTGCGATTGTAACACAGATAAACCTGATTTTAAAACCAGAGTTCTTATGGATTCCTCTGGTCTCTCTCACTGCTGGTGAACTCTTTTCCATTGACAGTCCTAATACAGATTTTTCAGAACCATCTTCCTTAGCTATATTATTCATTCTATTGTGAAACAAAATATGTCTAATCAAATGAATAGCCTTTGTTGTTCCAGCCAATCAGTATTTCTCTTATTTCGCTCAAAATTTAAAGATTTATGCTAATTTGGAGTTTCATATAGTTTTAACACTTTACACTGTTTAATAACTAGAAAATAAATGACATATGCTTAATATCATTGTCTGAAGAATGTTTATGCATTAAATTGATAAATATTTGAAAATAAGGAATTGTTAACTGCTCATTATCCACTTTTTTAGGTAAATGTGGTTTTTAGTATTATTCATCTAACTGGGTTTTTTTCAGATGTACAGAAATCATAAAAAATGTATTTTTAAAATAAAGATTTGAGTCTCTTGACCTACTTGTTTTATATTATGTCATTCTATCACATAAATCCTGCACATGTATTTTACTTCTCAGCATGTTAATGGTAACCTTGAAAGCAAAGAAATTCTTTGAAATACTCTCTGAATAAACAGTTTCTCCCCAACCCCTAACTCATTCCCAAATGCCTAGTACAAGTGTCCTGTGACTTTTACTTTTATCATTCTATCACCTCTATTGCCTCTAATCTTTGTGTCAAAAACCCAGTTTTCTTCTCCACTGCCTATTTTTATTTGATTTAAATTTAAACACCATAAGCTTTTTTTTTTAACACCTCATAGAAAGAGGCATTAACCTCCTTATATATCTTCCAGTATCCTATGGAAATGAAATGAAGAGCAAATATAATTTTAAAATCACAATGTGTTTAATAACAACAGCAAAAAGAGTTAAAGGCAAACGAATGCATTCAGAGCAACTGTCAGAAATTCAAATGCTATTTTGAGTTTAAAAGTTAAGAGTCCAATTTCATCCATGTCCCTACAAAGGACATGAACTCATCATTTTTTATGGCTGCATAGTATTCCATGGTGTATATGTGCCACATTTTCTTAATCCAGTCTATCATTGTTGGACATTTGGGTTGATTCCAAGTCTTTGCTGTTGTGAATAGTGCCGCAATAAACATACGTGTGCATGTGTCTTTATAGCAGCATGATTTATAGTCCTTTGGGTATATACCCAGTAATGGGATGGCTGGGTCAAATGGTACTTCTAGTTCTAGATCCCTGAGGAATCACCACACTGACTTCCACAAAGGTTGAACTAGTTTACAGTCCCACCAACAGTGTAGAAGTGTTCCTATTTCTCCACATCCTCTCCAGCATCTGTTGTTTCCTGACTTTTGAATGATCGCCATTCTAACTGGTGTGAGATGGTATCTCATTGTGGTTTTGATTTGCATTTCTCTGATGGCCAGTGATGGTGAGCATTTTTTCATGTGTTTTTTGGCTGCATAAATGTCTTTTTTTGAGAAGTGTCTGTTCATGTAAACTATCGCAAGAACAAAAAACCAAACACCACATATTCTCACTCATAGGTGGGAATTGAGTAATGAGAGCACATGGACACAGGAAGGGGAACATCACACTCTGGGGACTGTTGTGGGGTGGGGGGAAGGGGGAGGGATAGCATTGGGAGATATACCTAATGCTAGATGACGAGTTAGTGGGTGCAGCACACCAGCATGGCACATGTATACATATGTAACTAACCTGCACAGTGTGCACATGTACCCTAAAACTTAAAGTATAATAATAATAAAAAAAAAGTTAAGAGTCTAGAGTAAAAAGATTACTTTGAAGAATGTTAGAAAATACGGCACTTTTATAAATTTTCTAATTTAAGAGACAATATTTTGAGCAAAGTTGTATGTTAGGACAAAAAGTTTTGAAGTATAATACTAATCTAAAATAAATTAAAATGAGCTATTTTGTTGTGTATCTCTTGCTCTTTATTTCTTTCTGTCTCTCTCAATTTATTTGCCTCTCTAGGTGCAAGATTTACATGTTATATATATTTTTATGTATTATATTTATATTATGTTTAATTTATATATATAAAGCTTTCCCACTCTTCGAGTCTCTGGTAGATGTAAGTGATGGTTACTGACTAGAGCAAGTCTTTGCTTTTTTTCTCATTCTGATGTTATTTATGTATTTCATTCACTTTTTCAACCTCCCTTTCCCAAGGGATCTCAGGCCAGGTGACAGATACACACACACACACACACACACACACACACACACTCACACACACACACACACACATATATATATAAACATATATAATATATCCACTACAATAAAGATAATGTACATATGAATCATTCCCCAAAATGTCATTGTTTCCTTAATTTCTTTTGTAAACTCTTCATCCTATCTATACCTATGTGTTCCATCCCCAGACAATCTTCTGTCTTCAAATATTTTTGTGCATTTTCTAAAAAGTTATATAAATAAAATCGTAAAGGATATGCTATTTTATGTCTGCTTTCTTTCATTCAGCATAATTGTTTTGAGATGGATTCATGCTGTTGCATGCCTCACTACACAATTCCTCTCAATTGCTGAGTAGTATCCCATTGTATAGACATACCACAATTTGCTTATCCATTCACCTGTGGTTGTATGACATTTGGATTTTTTCAGTTTAGGATTATTACAATAGAGCTACTACAGACATTCATATACACATCTTTGTGTAGACATATGTTTTTATTTCTTTGGAGCAAATACTTAAGTATGAAGTGAGTAGGTTGTATGGTAGGTGTATGTTTAACTTTTTAACAAACTACCATGCAGGTTTCCAAAGTGATTGTATAATTTTAGATTCCCATCAGTAGTTTATGAGAAATCCAATTGTTCTGAATCCTTACCAACAATTGGTATGGTTAGAATTTTTAATTTAAGACAGTCTCTTAAGTATGTAGTAGTACCTAATTTCATTTTAAATTTTATTTCTCTAATGCCTTATGATACTGAATAAATGCTATTTTGCAATAAACATATCTTCTTTACTGAAGTGTTTATACATTATTCGTTTTTGGCTAACTAGCTATAATTCAACAAAAGATCATTGACTTTTCAAACAAAATGGATATAATATATATTGGGATTTTTAGGATATGGAAATAAAAGGTGTTACTATAACACAAAGCCTGGAAAAAAAGCGGTAGGGTAAGAAGTAGATAAAAACAAGTACAGGAATAAACTAAAAGTTCCTCTTCATCCTCCATACCCAAGGGCAAGGTGATACCATCAAATGGTTGGTTCTATTGGAGAGAGTTGCCTGCTTGTAGAGTTGGTCAGAGAAAAAATTGTCAGAACAATTTAGAACAAATCAAAATAATCATCTATGTTGTGAATGCTATATCACCTACTCTCTAAATAGAAGAGGGTACAAGCAATATCACCATCTTTAACCCACACTTTGAAATAACATCACCTAAGCTAGCAGACTTATCTGGGGAAAATTTGCTCCCCATGGAAAATTTATGGGAATTTTGATTAAAACACTGGTCTTGTAACTGAACACAGGTCCAGATGCTCACCCCCTGCAGAGTCCAATTAACAAGAACGAGGTATGGTAGAAAGAAAGTGAATTTATTAACTGAAACTAGTAAATGGGTAAGCAGCCAGATTCCTACCCAAACTAACTGCTTGAATTTCCGTGGGGTCGGGAAGGAAGTATGGGTTTAAAAAGGGAAAACTTGATAAGGAAGACATGTAAGAATTGGGCTGAGCACAAATCCATGTGTCTTGTTCTAGCAGCTATGTTGGGTTCCAGTCTATCTGGATCGCAAGCTGAGGACAATGCCTTTGTGTCTTGTTCTGGTGGCTGTCTTGGCTCCCAATCCACTGAGCTGACTTTGTCTCAACAATGGCTGGGTGGTTGATTAGATGTCTTCAATTGGTCTCTGAAATTTTGCCACTGGGTCTTCAGACTTCATCTGTCTGTCTCAAGATTAGCCCCTGAAATTTCTAAGAAGACACATAGTGGCTGGCAAGATGGCCGAATAAGAACAGCTCCAGTCTGCAACTCCCAACGATATCAACGCAGATGGTGGGTGATTTCTGCATTTCCAACTGAGGTAACCAGCTCATCTCATTGGAACTGGTTAGGCAGTGAGTGCGGCCCACAGAAGGCAAACCAAAGCAGGGTGGGGTGTCGCCTCACCCGGGAAGTGCAAGGGGTCAGGGAACTCCCTCCCCTAGCCAAGGGAAGCCATAAGGGACTGTGCCATGAGGGATGGTGAATTCCTGCCCAGATACTATGCTTTTCCCATGGTCTTCACAATCCACAGACCAGGAGATTCCCTCGGGTGCCTACACCACCAGGACCCTGGGTTTCAAGCACAAAACTGGGTGCCGTTTGGGCAGACGCTGAGCTAGCTAACTATCCTAAATATATATATGCACCCAATACGGGAGCACCCAAATTCATAAAGCAAGTTTTTAAGAGACCTACAAAGAGACTCAGACTCCCACACAATAATAATGGGATACTTTAATACCCCACTGTCAATATTAGACAGATCAACGTGACAGAAAATTAACAAGGACATTCAGGACTTGAGCTCAGCTCTAGACCTAGCAGACCTAACAGACATCTACAGGGCTCTCCCCCCAAAATCAACAGAATACAAATTCTCAGCACCACATTGCACTTATTCTAAAACTGACCACACAATTAGAAGTAAAACTCCTCAGCAAATGCAAAAGAATGGAAATCCTAACAAACAGTTTCTCAGACCACAGTGCAATCAAATTAGAACTCAGAATTTAAAAACCCACTTAAAACTGCACAGCTACATGGAAACTGAACAACCAGCTCCTGAATGACTACTGGATAAATAACAAAATTAAATCAGAAATAAATAAGTTCTTTGAAATGAATGAGAACAAAGACACAACATACTAGAATCTCTGGAACATGGCTACAGCAGTGTTTAGAGGGAAATTTATGGCACTAAATGCCCACAGGAGAAAGCGGGAAAGATCTAAAATCGACACCCTAACATCACAATTAAAAGAATTAGAGAAGCAAGAGCAAAAAAATTCAAAAGCTATCAGAAGGCAAGAAATAACTAAGACCACAGTAGAACTGAAGGAGATAAAGACATGAAAAACCCTTCAAAAAATAAATGAATCCAGGAGCTGGTTTTTTGAAAAGATTAACAAAATAGACCTCTAGCCGGACTGATAAAAAAGGAAAGAGAGAAGAATCAAATAGACCCAATAAAAAATGATAAAGGAGATATCACCACTGATCCCACAGAAATACAAACTACAATCAGAGAATACTATAAACACCTCTACGCAAATAAACTAGAAAATCTAGAAGAAATGGATAAGTTCCTGGACACATACACCCTTCCAAGATGAAATCAGGAAGAAGTCAAATATCTGAATAGACCAATAAGAAGTTCTGAAATTGAGGCAGTAATTAACAGCCTACCAGCCAAAAAAAAGCCCAGGAACAGATGGATTCACAGCCAAATTCTACCAGAGGTAGAAAGAGAAGCTGGTACCATTCCTTCTGAAACTATTCCAAACAATAGAAAAAGAGAGGTTCCTCCCTAACTCTTTTCATGAGGCCAGCATCATCCTGATACCAAAACCTGGCAGAGACACAAAAAAAGAGTACTTCAGGCCAATATCCCTGATGAACATTGATTCAAAAATCCTCAATAAAATACTGGCAAACCGAATCCAGCAACACATTAAAAGCTTATCCACCACGTTCAAACTGGCTTCATCTCTGGGATGCAAGGTTGGTTCAACATATGCAAATCAATAAACATAATCCATCACATAAACAGAACCAACGACAAAAACCACATGATTATCTAAATAGATGCAGAAAAGGCCTTTGGTAAAATTCAACACCACTTCATGCTAAAAACTCTCAATAAACTAGGTATTGATGGAATGTATCTCAAAATAGTAAGAACTATTTATGACAAACACCCAACCAATATCCTACTGAATGGGCAAAAGCTGTAAGCATTCCCTTTGAAAACCAGCACAAGACAAGGATGCCCTCTCTCACCACTCCTATTCAACATAGTATTGGAAGTTCTGGCCAGGGCAATCAGGGAAGAGAAAGAAATAAAGAGTATTGAAATAAGGAGAGAGGAAGTCAAATTGTCTGTGTTTGCAGATGACATGATTGTATATTTAGAAAACCTCATCGTCTCAGCCCAAAATCTCCTTAAGCGGATAAGCAACTTCAGCAAAGTCTCAGGATACAAAATCAATGTGCAAAAATCACAAGCATTCCTATACACCAACAACAGACAAACAGAGAGCCAAATCATGAGTGAACTCCCATTCACAAGTGCTACAAAGATAATAAAATACCTAGGAATCCAACTTACAAGAGATATCAAGGCCCTCTTCAAGGAGAACTACAAACCATTGCTCAAGGAAATAAGAGAGGATACAAACAAATGGAAAAACATTCCATGCCAATGGATAGGAAGAATCAATATTGTGAAAATGGCCATACTGCCCAAAGTAATTTATAGATTCAGTGCTATCACCATCAAGCTACCACTGACTTTCTTCACAGAATTAGAAAAAAACTACTTTAAATTTCATATGGAACCAAAAAAGAGCCCATATGTCCAAGAAAATTCTAAGCAAAAAGAACAAAGCCGGAGGCATCACACTACCTGACTTCAAACTATACTACAAAGCTACAATAACAAAACAGCATGGTACTGGTACCAAAACATATATATAGACCAATGGAACAGAACAGAGACCTCAGAAATAACACCACTCATCTACGACCATCTGATCTTTGAAAAACCTGACAAAAACAAGCAATGGGGAAAGGATCCCCTATTTAAAAAATGATGTTGGGAAAAATGGCTAGCCATATGCAGAAAACTGAAACTGGACCCCTTCCTTACACCTTATACAAAAATTAATTCAAGATGGATTAAAGACGTAAACATAAGATCTAAAACCACAAAAACCCTAGAAGAAAACCTAGGCAGTACCATTCAGGACACAGGCATGGGCAAAGACATCATGACTAAAACACCAAAAGCAGTGACAACAAAAGTCAAAATTCACAAATGGGATCTAATTAAACTAAAGAACTTCTGTTTGTAGTCCACATAAACTAAAATGATATGTATAGACCAGCCAAAATATGATTTTAAACATTTTTAGAGAGACAAGATGGATACTAATAACATGGAGCAAGGACAAAAAAAACAATTATTTTGTAAATAAATAGTTAATAAAATTTAATAACTCACTGGAAATATTAGACATAAAATAGTGAATAAACTACAAATTAATGAGCTCAAATCCAGGATAAGGAATTATCCCAGAAAGCATCAAGATAAAAAACAAAGAAAAGAAAAAGACTTAATAATAAGTAAAGTGATTTGGAAAATAGAAATAGAATTGTAAGCATCTTTATATTATGAGTGCCAGAAAGGGGGAAAAAAAAGAGGGAGGTAATCTTAAAAGAAGAAAAAAAAGTCATTCAATCACAAGGAAAACTGCATTTGATGGAAATGTGGATCTACCCAATGGAATGAAAATAAATGGAAATGGAAATAATGTGAAAATACAAGACTTTTTTTTTCCTTACTATGAAATCTCTTTTTTAAAAGTTTACTGGAAAATGTCTAATTCATTTCAAGTCAAAAAACCTTAGATCAAAGTGAGTCACAGGGTACCAACTTGATTTTTGTCCAAAGAAAATTATAAAAGTATATTACATTGAATGTTGCTGAAGAGTTTCTGTATTTTTATCCTGGTAGGAGACAATGCTCAAGCCAAATGTCATTCCACAGTGAGTGACATTGCTTCCAACTTTGTTTTTCCACAATGCAGCTGAGTACTTCTTTTATATCTTTCTTCCTGGCATTAAAATGGATATTATGCCTGGAGCTTTCAGCCATTTTCTTACAGTGAAGGCCAAGAAAATTACAGAGATGCTGGTCCTGGCATCACTTAAGATGGGCAATAGCAGTGCTACTTAAGATTTTGTATGTAATAACAGCAGTACTGGGCCTCAGCATTCCAGTATTCAATTATTTTTTATTATTTTGAATTTATTATTTTAACATCAAAACATTTTACTTTGTTGGTATACTGCTATTTCAGACACTGGCCAAAAGATTTGTGCACTTTTCTGTTTATTTATGTTTTCTATTCTTTCCTTCTCTTCTTCTTCTTTAATCCCCTCCCTACTCACTCATCTCTGATACCTCACCACAAGCCGTCATACTTTTCTTTACCCCTGGCTTCCTTTAACTCCTCTGTCTCCATCCATCTTTACTGCCCTAGAAAGGGTTGAAAGCCTTGCTTCGCCCTGTTAGTTGTTCCCTTATTTACATCTGATAAAGTTTCTCATAAAGACAAAGGAAAACTCTATTTTTCATTAAGTGTATACATTTGGATGCAAATTAAACAAATAGAAAATGATCAGTTATATCTAAAGTAACAATGGAGTGGTATTGTGTTTTTATCAAGGAGTACTTAAATTGTTCTCTTCTACTTGGAAAAAAATACATTAGTTGTGTAAATGGAAAAAAAAATCAAAAGCAATGTGAATAAAAAGCAAAAATGAGGACCAGTCTAAGAACTGTTATTTGACCATTCAAAGGGGAGACAAGTGGAGTGAAAGGCTTTCTTGGTTTCTTTCTCCTACTTTCAACGAGGACTATTTCCATCTTTCTTCATTTTGCTTCTACTTCTAACTCATTTCATCACTATCCCATACCTCTCCATTCCAATTATTTTTCTTACATTCTGTGCCCACAGAGAATAGAAACCAGTGGTTAGATTTCCTGGAAGTGAAGTTACCAGATGTTCAGCTAGTCCTGGTTCTGAGCCCCTCCTCTCTTAATCCTCATTTTGTAATAATTTACTCTTGGGTTCTGGATATAATCCTGTCCTACCCTCTTGGGAATCTAATATCTATTGATAATTATTTCTCTCATCTTTATCTTCAAATTTTTCCTCCTCTTAAATGATTTCTTTTGGGAATTATACTTGTTAAAATCTTTATCTTCTCTAACTTAAAACAAATCTATTTCTATTTTTTACTTTCTATTTCTCTTTTTTACTACAATCTTCATAAAATAGCTAAGAGTAGTTGTTTATACTTGTTGTTTTCTTTTCCTCATCACTGTCTACTTACAGTTTAACACCCTCTAATACAACTAACTGTTGGTTCACCAAAATGGCTATTGATATTGTCATTGTTCAACTCTATGCCATTAAGTTCCTTTGTCATTTTCAGTCCTAAATATCGATGATGTCTAAACAAGTTTTGAGTACTCTTTGGCTTTCATCACCTCGTTCTCTCCTGATTTCTTTTTAACAATTGCCTTTCTATATTCTCCTAATTTGTTTTTTACTGGTTCATCATCTTATCTTCAGCCTTTTGATGTTGGAGAGCCTCATGATTTTGTCCAAATCACCCTTCTTTTTTTCATTATCTATATTTTCACAGAGAAATTTCATGCCCAAAGTAATAATTATCATATGTAAGCATCTATATGACCTTCACATTCACATATCTTGTCCCAGATCTTTATCTCAAAGCATGCTTACTCAGCTGTCCACTAAAGTCATATACTTAGATATTTAATAGATATCTCAGAAACATGTTTTAAACAGAAATCTGAGTATTAGCATTTCACTCAATTTTTCTTGTTTGTGCTTTCTATATGTCTGTATTTTTTATTACTGTTTTTACTTTTGGTTTCCAATCCAGATAGATATGAACTTTCTTAACACCCTCCTTCTTCCATTGCTCATCAAAATTCAACTGGTCATTAGGACCTGTTCATTTTTGCCTCCTTAACATCTTGAGTTTCACCCAATTTCTCAAAAAATATTATAGTGCATTTAATATCATCTATTGTGTCATTCCTTAAACTATGACATAGAGATGTAAATGACTTTTTATATCTGCATTTTTCATTCTTACATTCAGTCTTCAAAATAAAGCTAGAGTTATATTTTTGATTATCATTATGGAAACCTTAATTCTGACTATGCACCTACAAATTAAGCCTTTTCTGTGGATTTAATTTTGAGATTATCAACCTAAACTGTTAACATGTTATGCAATTTCTCACTTATCTGGCCTTTACTCATATTTAATCCCTCATCTAATATCACCCTTCTATTTGTTCACTGTGGTCCACACCAGATTTCTTTATTTTCCTGAAATGGACTACCTTCCCTCCTACAATTGGGCTCTTAAATTTGTTGTTCTCCCCACCTAGAATGGTGTTTTCTTTTTTTTTTTTTTTTTTTTTGCCTAATTAAAATCTTATTTACTTTTTAGACAACAGCAACTCTTTCTCATTCTCTGAAAAGCCTTCTCTGGTGTCTGTGGAGTAAACCAGTTAAACCAGTTCTCACTCCTCTGTGCTATCCTGTCACGCTTTTTTCTGTTTTGCATTTTTTTACATTTTAAGTATTATTTAATTTCTCACTTCCCAGTCTACGATGGTAACGATTATATATGCTTTGCTTGCTTTTGAATTCCTAGTATCCAGCATTGTACCAAATACATGGTAGATAATCAGTAGATATTTGGTGGATGTAATAAAGTGAAATGAATGAATGAATGAGCTAGTGAATAAATGAATCACTCAGTCAATCAACAAACACTAGACTGAACAGAGAATTGTGATGGCATGGTAATTCCTGTTTCCCATATAATAAAATTAAGAAATATATATCAAGTACTGTTTATTCATTGAATAGATTTCCACTGGAAAAAGAGGAAAGAAGCCAGGCAGGCTCTTTCTAGAAAGAAGCATTCAGTCATTGAATTAGTATTTATTAAATTTCTTCTGTATTGCAATCACTTTTCTAGATGCTGAGGATAAAAAGGACAAAATACACACCTCTTGCTCTCAAAAGATCAGGAAAAAAACATGAAACGTACATTTAAGTTGATTAACAGGGGTGAGTAAAGAGAAGTGGATGCAAGAAAAGACAACAATAGGGAAAATGCATTCATTCTTATTCTCAGAAAATTTTCATGTCTTTTTAAGATAGAAACTATTTTGAAATTTTCCTTTACTTCAGAGTCATTCTATCTTTTCCGCCTTTGTTGTAGCTAAGTTCTCTGAAAAGAATATCCATTTGAGACATGCTTTAGCTGCTCTCTAGCCATCAGTTCACAGTGATAAAATAGTGATGATAAATACTCCCCTTCTTATCTCACAAGGTTCAGATAAATAAATAAGCTTTGAACTTTATGGAAACAAATGTAAATTACTACATTTATGCAAAATATTATTATTATTATCTTTGTTCAGCTATAATGCCTATAAAATATTTTGGAAACCAAGTACAAATTATTGCAGCAATGTTAGATTGTATTATTACTTTATTTAATCTATAGGGCTGTGTCACAGTATGAATATTGATGAAAGCATTTTAATAAAATTGTAATGTATTCTTATTTGAATGAAATTTAATTTTAAACCAAGATTTCTAAATATAACATGAAATATATGTTGGTACTATTGTATAGAAATTAGAGAACTGAATTATTTGTATGTTAAGATATTCCCCGTTATATTTTTCTCATGAATTTATATGCAAGCAGAGTAAAATAATATCAAATTCAGAGTAGAATAATGTCAGCTGTGTCCTGAATCATGATACTGAATTAATAACTATATATTACATGGTACAGGTGAATTATATAGAACATGAACTATATCTTAATAAAGCCATTATAAAAATACTAGCATTTATATCAAATAATGAAATAATAGAATTAATGTTGTAATACTACATTTGGGTAAAATAATTATTTTCCATAATACAAATAATATAAAAGGAAAGTGTCTTCAAACTTATAAAAAAGGTACAATAAAGGTGAAATGATAATGTTTAGTGGGTTCAAGTTGAGTGTATAACTATTGAAATAGATTAGTTTTTCTTTAAAATCTGTGTTATCTTGGTCAAAATTATTGGCTTAAAATATGGATAAGCATATGCTCAGAAAAAGCTCCCTAGATCATCCATTTTGATTAAATACATAGAATAAAACAAAATGGATGACTGTATGTCATGCTTTCTGATATCAGAATGATGTATTAGATCCTGTACCATGAAACACAAAGGCTGAAGGAGAGAAACTCCTTTAGAAGCTCATGTTTTTCTAAGGCTGACAGTTATCTTCATTCTACTGCCATCTGAATTCTTGTTAAGTCAGTGGAATAGCTAAGTTAAAGCATTGTAGTAAGAAATATAAGCAATGTTTCTGTCTATTCAAGGTAAAACTTTAGGGAAAGGACAAATGAAATAAAAAATAGAAATTAAAATAACACTTGAAATAAAGTTGGTGTCTAAAGAAACAGCCATATTTGGCCAGTGCTTTTAGTTATAATTCCAGACAAAAATATAGTTAGTTTGACCTATATTTGGTGACTATAAATTTCCAGGCTGAAAGCTATGGAGTCTTATATTTTCTTTGAGAGTTCCATGACTTTTCCATACCATATTTTCCGGGAAAAGTTATTCTTATCCCTGCTACAACTACATTGTGAAATTATTTTCTTATGAGATGTAAAGCATTTAGTTTTTATGATTTGGAGCTATGGATTACTTTAACAAGGAGTTTTGAAATAATCTTTCTTAAAATTTTAATGAACATATTATTGAAATTAAAACTTTTTCTATGTAGTTTTAAATTAAGAAAGAATAGAAGGTTCCTATTAATTGTATTTCTCAATAGAAGAAAGTGTTGTCAGATGATGATAATATTGTTGCTTCCTTCACCTAATGACTAATTTACCACTCATTCACACTGTATATATTTATTTAAGAATTTCTACGTGCCAGGCTTGGTGCTAACTGGTAGATACAGGCTTTGTCCTAAATAAGTTCAGAGATAAAAATAATTCTGCATGAGTAAATATTTTTAAAGTCTATTTAAAATAGGAACAAATTAAAAAATGTTTCTGAGGACAACTTTAGATTTCTTACAAAATATCCCAAAATACACAACTGCAAAAATTTCCTAATTAAACTCCAAGCCACAAAAGCACTGAATAAACTATTGTTATATGGTCTTGAAGAGGAAGAGAAAATATTGTTTAAGAAATATTAATTCATGGTATGTTTCCTCTACTAATAGCAATTCTCAATTGGTTACATACAAAAAATGACTCTAAATGATTCTGTATACTCAACTGGTCATAAGTGAGTACACTATTTCATGATCTGTGTAATTCTTGTTTTGTATTTAAAATCATTCTGATAATTTTTCTTGCTCTGAAATCTGCTTTTCCTAAAATCATATTACTGGCCATTCCAGTTTCTTTTGATTTGCGATAGCATGGTATATCTTTCTCAGTTACATTTAACCTATTTGTGTCATCATATTTAATGTAATTTTTTAATAGGTAATATAGTTGATATTTTCATCCCTTGGAACATCTCTGCTTTTAATTTTTGAATGCCTTCTACTTTTAAAATGATGATTGAGATAGCTAGACTAACGTCTACCATATTTAGAACTACAACCTGATATTTTGTCTTAATATTACGTTATGAACATTTTTCCAAATCGCTAAATAATTACAACATTATTCTTCAAGCTTTATAAAGCTTTTGAAAGAGTATTTGTTTAGACATATTCTGTTTTGGAAGAGTAAGTTGTACTGTAATTTGTTAATGTAAATATCTTTTGTCTACACACTTTTACATATACTTGATTATTTCCTTAGAAAAAATTAAATGTAAAATTATTAGGTCTATATAAGTATATAATTTTTAAAAAATTTCTTACTTATATGTAAATTATCTTTCAACATTATCATCCAATTTATGTTTCTAATGTTCAATATATGGGAATAATTTAATCTCTCCAATTTGCCTAAATTTAATTTTTTTTAAATTTTACTTAAGTTTTAGGGTACATGTGCACAACGTGCAGGTTAGTTACATATGTATACATGGGCCATGCTGGTATGCTGCACCCATTAACTCATCATGTAACATTACGTATGTCTCCTAATGGTATCCCTCTCCTCTTCCCCCACCCCACAAGAGGCCCCTGTGTGTGATGTTCCTCTTCCTGTGTCCATGTGTTCTCATTGTTCAATTCCCACCTATGAGTGAGAACATACGGTGCTTGGTTTTTTGTCCTTGCAATAGTTTGCTGAGAAAGATGGTTTCCAGCTTCATCCACGTCCCTACAAAGGACATGAACTCATCATTTATTATGGCTGCATAGTATCCCATGGTGTATATGTGCCACATTTTCTTAATCCAGTCTATCATTGTTGGACATTTAGGTTGGTTCCAAGTCTTTGCTATTGTGAATAGTGCCGCAATAAATATAGGTGTGCATGTGTCTTTATAGCAGCATGATTTATATTTCTTTGGGTATATACCCAGTAATGGGATGGCTGGATCAACTGGAATTTCTAATTCTAGATCCCTGAGGAATCGCCACACTGACGTCCACAATGGTTGAACTACTTCACAGTCCCACCAACAGTGTAAAAGTGTTCCTGTATCTCCACATCCTCTCCAGCACCTGTTGTTTCCTGACTTTTTAATGATCGCCATTCTAACTGGTGTGAGAGGGTATCTCATTGTGGTTTTGATTTGCATTTCTCTGATGGCCAGTGATGATGAGCATTTTTTCATGTGTCTTTTGGCTACATAAATGTCTTCTTTTGAGAAGTGTCTGTTCATATCCTTCACCCACTTTGTGATGGAGTTGTTTGTTTTTTTCTTGTAAATTTGTTTGAGTTCATTGTAGATTCTGGATATTAGCCCTTTGTCAGATGAGTAGATTGCAAAAATTTTCTCCCATTCTGTAGGTTGCCTGTTCACTCTGATGGTGGTTTCTTTTGCTGTGCAGAAGCTCTTTAGTTTAATTAGATCCCATTTGTCAATTTTGTCTTTTGTTGCCATTGCTTTTGGTGTTTTAGACATGAAGTCCTTGCCCATGCCTATGTCCTGAATGGTATTGCCTAGGTTTTCTTCTAGGGTTTTTATGGTTTCAGGTCTAACATTTAAGTCTTTAATCCATCTTGAATTAATTTTAGTATAAGGTGTAAGGAAGGGATCCAGTTTCAGCTTTCTCCATATGGCTAGCCAGTTTTCCCAGCACCATTTATTAAATAGGGAATCTTTCCCCATTTCTTGTTTTTGTCAGGTTTGTCAAAGATCAGATAGTTGTAGATATGCAGCATTATTTCTGAGGACTCTGTTCTGTTCCATTGGTCTATATTCTGTTTTGGTACCAGTACCGTGCTGTTTTGGTTACTATAGCCTTGTAGTATAGTTTGAAGTCAGGTAGCGTGATACCTCCAGCTTTGTTCTTTTGGCTTAGGATTGACTTGGCGATGCGGGCTATTTTTTGCTTCCATATGAACCTTAAAGTAGTTTTTTCCAATTCTGTGAAGAAAGTCCTTGGTAGCTTGATGGGGATGGCATTGAATCTATAAATTACCTTGGGCAGTATGGCCATTTTCACGATATTGATTCTTCCTTTCCATGAGCATGGAATGTTCTTCCATTTGTTTGTATCCTCTTTTATTTCATTGAGCAGTGGTTTGTAGTTCTCCTTGAAGAGGTCCTTCATGTCCCTTGTAAGTTGGATTCCTAGGTATTTTATTCTCTTTGAAGCAATTGTGAATGGGAGTTCACTCATGATTTGGCTCTCTGTTTGTCTGTTGGTGTATAGGAATGCTTGTGATTTTTGTACATTGATTTTGTATCCTGAGACTTTGCTGAAGTTGCTTATCAGCTTAAGGAGATTTTGGGCTGAGATGATGGGGTTTTCTAGATATACAATCATGTCATCTGCAAACAAGGACAATTTGACTTCCTCTTTTCTTAATTGAATACCCTTTATTTCCTTCTCCTGCCTAATTGCCCTGGCCAGAACTTCCAACACTATGTTGAATAGGAGTGGTGAGAGAGGGCATCCCTGTCTTGTGCCAGTTTTCGAAGGGAATGCTTCCAGGTTTTGCCAATTCAGTATGATATTGGCTGTGGGTTTGTCCTAGATAGCTCTTATTATTTTGAGATACGTCCCATCAATACCTAATTTATTGAGAGTTTTTAGGATGAAGGGTTGTTGAATTTTGTCAAAGGCCTTTTCTGCATCTATTGAGATAATCATGTGGTTATTGTCATTGGTTCTGTTTATATGCTGGATTATGTTTATTGATTTTCGTATGTTGAACCAGCCTTGCATCTCAGAGATGAAGCCCACTTGATCATGGTGGATAAGCTTTTTGATGTGCTGCTGGATTCGGTTTGCCAGTATTTTATTGAGGATTTTTGCATCGATGTTCATCAAGGATATTGGCCTGAAATATTCTTTTTTTTTGTTGTGTCTCTGCCAGGCTTTGGTATCAGGATGATGCTGGCCTCCTAAAATGAGTTAGGGAGGATTCCCTCTTTTTCTATTGATTGGAATAGTTTCAGAAGGAATGGTACCCGTTCCTCCTCGTACCTCTGGTAGAATTTGACTGTGAATCCATCTGGTCCTGGACTTTTTTTGGTTGGTAAGCTATTAATTATTGCCTCAATTTCAGAGCCTGTTATTGGTCTATTAAGAGTTTCGACTTTTAGTCTTGGGAAGGTGTCTGTGTCAAGGAATTTATCCATTTCTTCTAGATTTTCTAGTTTATTTGCGTAGAGGTGTTTATACTATTCTCTGATGGTAGTTTGTATTTCTGTGGGATTGGTGGTGATATCCCCTTTATCATCTTTTATTGCGTCTATTTGATTCTTCTCTCTTTTCTTCTTTATTAGTCTTGCTAGTGGTCTATCAATTTTGTTGATCTTTTCAAAAAACCAGCTCCTGGATACATTGATTTTTTGAAGAGTTTTTTATGTCTCTATTTCCTTCAGTTCTGCTCTGATCTTATTTATTTCTTGCCTTCAGCTAGCTTTTAATGTGTTTCCTCTTGCTTCTCTAGTTCTTTTAATTGTGATATTAGGGTGTCAATTTTAGATGTTTCCTGCTTTCTCTTGTGGGCATTTAGTGCTATAAATTTCCTTCTACACTCCGCTTTGAATGTGTCCCAGAGATTCTGGTATGTTGTGTCTTTGTTCTCCTTGGTTTCAAAGAACATCTTTATTTCTGCCTTCATTTTGTGATGTACCCTGTAGTCATTCAGGAGCAGGTTGTTCAGTTTCCATATAGTTGAGTGGTTTTGAGTGAGTTTCTTAATCCTGAGTTCTAGTTTGATTGCATTGTGGTCTGAGAGACAGTTTGTTATAATTTCTGTTGTTTTACATTTGCTGAGGAGTGCTTTACTTCCAACTATGTGGTCAATTTTGGAATAAGTGCGGTGTGGTGCTGAGAAGAATGTATATTCTGTTGATTTGGGGTGGAGAGTTCTGTAGATGTCTATATTAGGTCCACTTGGTGCAGAGCTGAGTTCATTTCCTGGATATCCTTGTTAACTTTCTGTCTCATTGGTCTGTCTAATGTTGACAGTGGGGTGTTAAAGTCTCCCATTATTATTGTGTAGGAGTCTAAGTCTCTTTATAGGTCTCTAAGGACTTGTTTTATGAATCTGGGTGCTCCTGTATTGGGTGCATATATATTTAGGACAGTTAGCTCTTCTTGTTGAGTTTATCCCTTTACCATTATATAATGGCCTCCTTTGTCTCTTTTGATCTATGTTGGTTTAAGTGGGTCCCTGACCCCCGAGTAGCCTAACTGGGAGGCACCCCCCAGCAGGGGCAGATTGACACCTCACAGGGCCGGGTACTCCTCTGAGACAAAACTTCCAGAGGAACGATCAGACAGCAACATTTGCTGCTCACCAATACCCGCTATTCTGCAGCCTCTGCTGCTAATACCCAGGCAAACAGAGTCTGGAGTGGGCCTCCAGCAAACTCCAACAGACCTGCAGCTGAGGGTCTTGACCGTTGGAAGGAAAACTAACAAACAGAAAGGACATCCACACCAAAACCCCATCTGTACGTCACCATCGTCAAAGAACAAAGGTAGATAAAACCACAAAGATGGGGAAAAAACAGAGCAGAAAAACTGGAAACTCTAAAAATCAGAGCGCCTCTCCTCCTCAAAAGGAATGCAGCTCCTCACCAGCAACGGAACAAAGCTGGACAGAGAATGACTTTGACGAGTTGGGAGAAGAAGCCTTCAGATGATCAAACTCCGAGCTAAGGCAAGAAGTTCGAACCCATGGCAAAGAAGTTAAAAACCTTGAAAAAAAATTAGACGAATGGCTAACAGAATAATCAATGCAGAGAAGTCCTTAAAGGACCTGATGGAGCTGAAACCCAAGGCATGAGAACTACGTGATGAATGCACAAGCCTCAGTAGCCAATTCAATCAACTGGAAGAAAGGATATCAGTGATGGAAGATGAAATGAATGAAATGAAGTGAGAAGAGAAGCTTAGAGAAAAAAAGAATAAAAAGAATAAAGAGAAACCAGCAAAGCCTCCAAGAAATATGGGACTATGTGAAAAGACCAAAACTATATCTGATTGGTGTACCTGAAAGTGACAGGGAGTATGGAACCAAGTTGGAAAACGCTCTGCAGGGTATTATCCAGGAGAACTTCCCCAATCTAGCAAGGCAGGCCAACGTTCAAATTCAGGAAATACAGAGAATTCCACAAAGATACTCCTCGAGAAGAGCAACTCCAAGACATGTAATTGTCAGATTCACCAAAGTTGAAATGAAGGAAAAAATGTTAAGAGCAGACAGAGAGAAAGGTCGGGTTACCCACAAAGGGAAGCCCATCAGACTAACAGCTGATCTCTCGACAGAAACTCTACAAGCCAGAAGAGAGTGGGGGCCAATTTTCAACATTCTTAAAGAAAAGAATTTTCAACCCAGAATTTCACATCCAGCCAAACTAAGCTTCATAAGTGAAGGAGAAATAAAATCCTTTACAGACAAGCAAATGTTGAGAGATTTTGTCACCACCAGGCCTGCCCTAAAAGAGCTCCTGAAGGAAGCACTGAACATGGAAAGGAACAACAGGTACCAGCCACTGCAAAAACATGCCAAATTGTAAAGACCATCGAGGCTGGGAAGAAACTGCATCAACTAACGAGCAAAATTATCAGCTAACATCATAATGACAGGATCAAATTCACATGTAACAATATTAACCTTAAATGTAAATGGGCTAAATGCTCCAATTAAGAGACACAGACTGGCAAATTTGATAAAGAGTCAAGACCCATCAGTGTGCTGTATTCAGGAAACCCATCTCACATGCAGAGACACACATAGGCTCAAAATAAAGGGATGGAGGAAGATCTACCAAGCAAATGGTAAACAAAAAAAGGCAGGGATTGCAATCCTAGTCTCTGATAAAACAGACTTTAAACCAACAAAGATTTTAAAAAATTTTTAAATTGTATAGAAATGTTCAGTATTTTTATGTAGACCCATTACCTTGTTATTCATGCTTTTGCAGTTCTAATTTACAATTTTTTCTATCACAAAAATGTGAAAAAATAATATTTTCTACTTTTTTATTTCATTTACCTTTTTATATGTTTATTTTTATCAGAAACTTATTTTCATGGAATTTTGGATGTAAGGATTTAGCTTTTATGTTTTATATTTCAAAAAGTGTTAGTTAATTGTCTAAACATCACTAAATTATTTCTCAACATCTTTCCTCAAATTCCCACTGACTAGTTTATTCATACATTGTCACTGATATAATAGAAATAATAAATTTTATTATATAAAACATACAATAATAAATTATATATGGAAAATAATATGTTCTTGACATCTTAAACTTAGCCATACCATAAATTGCTTCAGACTTTTTGCATATGCTTCCATACTTCTTACTGCATGTTTAGGGTGCACATATATACACTGTTTTTTTTACAAAAATGAATTTCTACTCAAAATACTGCTATGTTTCTTGGTTTTTCTTCTAAGTCAATATATATGTTAGGTATTATTCTCTGTCAGTACACACTGTAATACTGTATTTTTTAATTAGAAAGGACTAAAAATCATTAAAAATATTAAATTAAGCTTCTGCTTTAGGAAACTAAAGAAATAATAGCAACTTAAATCTAAAGTTATCAGAAGACAGGGATTAATAAAAATTAGAGGAGAAATTAATAAAAATAAACATAGGAAAGTAATAGGCAAATACACTATTCAAAGTTTAACTCTATAAAAAATTAGTAAAATTGATTAAATTCTAACCAGATTAACCAAAGAGAAAATGAGAGAGATAGAATGCAAATTTTGCATCATGAATGAAAGAGGTTACTTCCATGTTAATCTCAGATACATTAAATGAAAATGAGGTAATGTAAATCATCCTATACTCTTATGTTTTATAAATAAAATAATATGGACACTTACATGAAAGACACAAACCAAAATCCCTTAAAAATTAACAGTTATCGGCAATAACACATGTAGTCTGTATCTATTAAATAAGTTAATTTGTAATTAAAATAAACAAAACTTCCAAGATAGGATAATTCAGGCTCAGCTGTTTTTTATCGAGTTAGTTATACTAAACATTTAAAGATAAAATCATACAAAATATTAACAATACCGAAAACAGAAGAAGAGAGACCACTTCCCAACTCATTTTAAAGGGTCGGCATTATACTTACAGGAAAACCATAAGAAGACATTACAAAACAAAATGATTATAGACAAATGTCTCTCATAAACACAGACACAAAAATCTTTACAAAATGTAACACCGAATTTGTAAATTATTTTACTAATATTGCATTTTTATATGTTCAACATTTTAATTTGACTTTCATGTGTCTAGCATTCCAATTTGACATAATATATGTCCAGCATTTCAATTTGACTTGTATGCTCAATGAAAATATATTCTAAATTTTACCTGACAATTATTTTAGTTAAATTTTACTATCCATATGAGTACAAACTTTTTTTTGCAGACTTAGCACCATTTTCATGCTGTGTGTTAAGTAAAACATCATTCTTAATCATGTGTAGGACTAAATTTCTCACATATAATACATATATATTACACATATACACACATTTTTAGGGTAGAATTGTTTCTAGGCATATTATTTTGACATACAAGTGTTTGTCTGTAACTAAGCCAGTGCCACATTCTTTAAGTTACCCTGTCTTCATAAAAGTTTTCATAAATTGGTAAAACAAGGTTTGATTTATTTACATATATATATATATATATATATATATACATATATATATATTTTTTTTCTAAAACACAACTGAAGACTGTCTGTCTATTCTCAGATAGTATTGTTGTTAAATTGAAAAAATTTTAGAAATAAATTGCTGGAGAAATGCCATAATGAAATACTGAGACTTCTTAACCTAGAACACAATTTGTCTCCGTTTAACTAAGTCTCTTCTTAGGTTTTGTAGTATTTATTTTTTGTTTGTTGTCTTTATCTATTACTTTAATTATCTAAATTATGTTGACGTTTAGTATTTTATAATTATTTTATTAGTTATAATGTAATATTTTCTTTAGTATTTTTATTTTGTTACAGTAACAATAAGCAAGGTATGCTACATTATACAATAAATATATATTACAAGCATGTGTGTTTGTATGAACAAAAGATACACACACAAATATAAATTATAACTTCCTTTTATCCCCTACTCATACTGTACCTGAAGTAACTTAAAAAAAGTCCTAGCGCATGTTCTGCCTCAAATTTCCTTTGCTGATATAAGCATAGATAGATATACACATACATAATATCTTAATTTTGATTAAGATATTGTCATATTTATACTCTACATATAATTAATTCTATCACCCACCTGGCTACTGGAAGAAAAAACAGTAGTTTCTTCTACTACTGATTATAATTACTAAATAAAGGAAATATTTTTTCTTTCTGGATAAAACCAAAAGGGATTTTTTAAAGGTAGAAATGAATATAAAACAATATTGCCTACATTTTAGTGATCCTCAAGGCCACATGAATTGAGAAATAAATGATGGTTATATTGTTAAATTTACTAACATTGGAGATATTCTCTTACTCCTGATATAAACCATGCTAGTTTAATCACTTCTATCTTTTATTTTAATTTCAAAATTTAGTATGAATTATTCTTGATTAAATCATTTAAGTTATGCATTTTATTCTGAGTGTATTGTTGGTCACATGTCATGAATACTTTTACTTGAATAATTATTTTAGGGATAATTGTATATTCACATGCAGTTGTATAAAATAATGCAGTGATATCCTTGGTACTCTTTACCCAATTTCTTGCCATGGTAATAGCTTTCAAAACTTTAGTATAAACTGAAACTATAGTAAATATTACAACCAGTATATTGTGGTATTGATATTGATACCATCCACAAATAGTATTGAGATATTTTATCAGAATTACTTGTACTTTTGTCAGTGTGTGAATATATTTAGTTCTTTGTCATTTTACCATGCGTATATTCATGAGAAACTTCCACAATCAGGATACAAAGTCGTCATGAGAATCCTTCATATTTTCCATTTGTAGGTTTCCTTTCTTCTCTCCACCTCACTCATTTCTGATTCAGGACAACCACTACCTTATGCTTGATTTCTAAAATGCTTTATAAGTTGGATTATATTGTATATATATTTTGGGTTAGCGTTTTTTTTTAATTTACTATAATTTCCTGGAGAGTCATTCAAGTTGTTGCATCTATCAGTAGTCCATTTATTTCACCAAAAACTGTATACAGATGACAAAAGCATGAGAAGAGGATATAACATTATTAACCATCAAGGAAATGCAAATTAAAACCACAATGGGATATCACTCCGCAACTACCAGAATAGGCAAATAAAAAATAGTGAGAACACCAAACATGGTGGAAAATATGTAGAACATTTTTGGTGCGAATGTAGAATGGTATAAACAGTCTGGTAAAGATTTTGGAAATTTCCTGTAAAACTAGACATATAATTACCATATCATACAGCAGTTCCACCCTTGGGCATTTGTCTTAGAGAAATAAAAAACAGATTCACAGAAAACATGTATAGTAATGTTTATTACTGCTCTATCCGTAATAAACACTAATGGAAAGAATAGATGTTTTTCAATGAATCAATGGTTAAATAGACCATAATTTTTATGTTAATTTATAAATTAACTATAATTCTAGTTTCAATTTAGTACTTCTTGACCCATAACTACCAAAATATTTTTCTAGTTATTTATTTACAGCATCTTTGTTGAGATAAAAAGGACATGCAGAAAAGTGCCCTTATTTAAGTAAATGCACATACACACACATATATGTACATGCATACGTATATATCTCCATGACACCAGCAACCCCAAAAGTATTTTGAACAAATCCACCACTTCTAGAAGTTGGTTGCCTCATACCCATTTATAATCCTCCACTGCTGTCCCTCCCTGTGCTCTTTTTGACCCCTGAAAACCACTGATCTGCTTCCTTTATTCCTATTTATTCATTATTTATGTTCTTTTTGAAAAGTTTTTTGATAAAGACACAACATGAGATCTACCTTCTTCATAATTTTCAAGTGTACAATACGTTATTGTTGGTTATAGGTACAATGTACAGCATATCTCTATGCTTATTCATCTTGCTTAACTGAAAATATATGGCCAGGGTTCGGTAACTCCTCCTCTTCTCCAATCCCCAGCCTCTGGCAAAAGCAACCACCATCTCACACCTTGATTCTATGAACTCAGTCATCTTATATACCTCATTTAAGTGGAATCATGCAGCATTTATATTTATGTGACTGTCATATTTCACTTAGCACAATGAGTTCAAAGTTCATCTGTGTTGTCACAAATGACAAGATTTCCTTTTTTATTAGGGCTGAAGAGCATTTCATTGTGTGTATATATATTCCATTTTCTGTGTGTATATATATATACGTAGCTTATATATCCATATATTTTATATATGGATATACGAAATGTGATGTGTGTGTATATATATATATATATATATATATATATATATATATATATATACACACACAACATTTTCTTTTATATGGATATTTATATAAGAGATTATACTTTCCCCATTGTGCCTTTTTGACAACCCTGTCAAAGATCAATTGATTTCATATGTGAGGTTTATTTCTGGGCTTTCTTTTCTGTTCCATTAGTCTAGGTATCTGTATTTATGCCAGTAAAATGCCTTTTTGATTTCTATACCTTTGTAATATATTTTGAAATCAGGAAGTGTTATACCTCCAGCTTTGTTCTTTTTGCTTAAGACTGTTTTGACTAATCAGGGTCTTTTGTAGTTGTATATAAATTTTAGAATTTTGTTTTGTATTTCTGCAAAAAAATGTTATTCAGATCTTAATAGGGATTGCATTGCATATGTAGCTGTCTTTGGGTAATATGAACATATTAATGATATTTTTTACTCTAATCCATGAACACAGGGTGCCTTTTTGTCTTTTTTAATTTCTATGAATTAATAGCAGAACAAAAACCTGAAAATTTAGAAATATTTTGAAATTAAACAACACACTTCTAAAAAACCTGTGGGTCAAAAAGGATATATGAAAATATTTAAATACAAATGGAAATGAAAACACAACATCCTGAATTTTATGGAATGCAGGAAAAGCAGTATTAAGAGGATATTTCACAGAGATAAACATCTACATTAAAAAAAAGATTTCAAATAAACAATCTACCTTTACACCTCAAGGAGTTATAAAAAGAACAAATTAAGCTGAAAGTTACAGGGGTGTAAGTAACAAAGATTAGAACAGAAATAAACAAAATAGAAAATAGAGAAACAATAAAAAATGTAAACAAAACTAAGAGTTGGTTTATCGCATCATAAACAAATTTGACAAACCTTTACCTACAGTAAGAAAAAAAGAGAGAAGTCTCAAATAAATACAATGAGAAATGACAGAAGAGAACTTACAATAGATGCTACAGAAATAAAAAGGATCACCAGAGACCACTATGAACAATCACATGCCAATCAACTGGATAACCTTGAAGAAACAGACACATTTCTAGAGACGCTGTAACTAAGTTATTAAGAAATAGTCTTAACAGAACTACAACTAGTATGGCAATTGAATCATTAAGTAAAAACCTTTCAGCGAAGAAAAGCCTAAAACAGATAGCTTCCCTGTTAAATTCTACCAAGCATTTAAGGAAGCATTAGGCTGGGTATGGGCATGGTGGCTCACACCTGTAATCCCAGTGCTTTGGGAGGCTGAGGTGAGAGGATTGCTTGAAGGCAGGAGTTTGAGACCAACCTGGGCAACAAAGTGAGCCCTCATCTCTACAAAAAATTAAAAAAAAATAGCTGGGTATGGTGGTGAATGCCTGTAGTCCTAGTTACTCAGAAGCATGAAGTGAGAGGATGGCTTCAGTCTAGGAATTTGAGGCTGCAGTGAGCAATGATCATATCACTGCACTCCAAAATGGGTGACAGAGGAAGCCCCTCTCTCTGAAAAAAATAAAAATAAAATAATGCCAATTCTCAAACTCTTTCAAGAAATTGAAGATGAGGGAAGACTTCCAAATACAAACTCATTCATAAGCCCAGCATTATTCTGGTAGCAAAGCTAAACATGACATAAGAAAAGAAAACTATAGGCCAATATCTCTGGTAGATATGGAGCGAAAAGTCCTTAACAAATACTAGCAAATCAAATCCAACAGCACATGTAAAGGATCACACAACTTGAATAAGTGTTATTTATCCCTGGGGATGCAAAGATGATTCAATATAGTAAAATCTATATATATATAAAACACACCACAGTAAAAAAATGAAGGATAAAAATCACATGCTCATCTCAACAGATGTAGAATAAGCATTTGTCAAAATTCAACACTTTTTCATGATAAAAAATTTCAAAAAACTAGGAATAGAAGAAAAGGATATCAATGTAATAAAGACTATATATGAAAAATCCACAGCTAGCATCTTAATAGTGAAAAACTGAACGCTTTTCTTCTGAGACGAGGAAAAAGGAAAGGATGCCCACTATTACCATTTCCATTTAACATAGTGCTGGAAGTTCTATCCAGAACAAAAAAAATAAAAATAAAAGCATCATAATTGAAAAGGAAGATGTAAGACTGTCCCTGTTTGCAGGTGACATGATCTTTTAGAAAACCCTAACAATTCTGTGAAAAATCTTAGAATTAATAAACAAACTTTTAGTAAAGCTTCAAGATACAAAATGAATACACAAACTCAGTAGTGTTTCTAAACACTAACAATGAACTATCTGAAAAGGAAATTAGGAAACAATCTTATGTAAACTAGCACCAAAAAGAACAAAATACTTAATAAACAACTCAGGAGGTGAAAGACTTGTATTCTGAGAACTACAAAGCATTGAATAAACCACTCATCTATTTTCTGACACTATAGATTAAATTGCAATATATAAAGTTTAATGTAAATGATAAAATATGTGACTATCTGTAGTTTCTTTCATTTGATATAATTATTTGAGATTCATTCTTGTTGTTATGTGTACAAATAGCTCAATCTGTTTTACTGCTGAGTATACATTCATCTGATGATTGACTTTTGGACTCTTTCCAGTTTTGAGCTTGGGACTTTTGCATACAAGTCTTTCTATGGACATTTGAGTTGCTTTTTTTTTTTTTTCCTTGGGTAAATATCTAGCAGTTGAACAGCTATATTATATGGTAGGTGTATGTTCAACTTTTTATGAACTTATCAGGCTCTTTTTCAAAATGGCCAAATTGTTTTACATTCACCCAATTAGTATATGAGGATTTCAGCTCCTCCACATCCTGAGCAACATTTGGTATGGTCAGTTCTTTCCATTTTAGCCACTGGCAATATTTGTATAGTAGTATCTAATTTTTAATTTTTATTTCTCTTACTATAAATTAGGTTGAGCATCTTTTATGTGCTGATTAGCTGTTCATATATTTTCACTGGTGAAATTCTATTTGAAAATTTTTGCCTATAATTTGAGGATTCACTATCTCGTTACTAAGTTTTTAATGTTTTTAAACATACTTTGAATTCAAACTTTTCATCAGCTTCATCATGAAGTCCCAATTATCATTTTTTGTTTCATGCTTTTGGTGCCACATGTAAGACATCTTTGCCTAAGTAAAGTTACAAATATTTTTCTGATTTTTTTCAGGAGTTTTATAGTACTTGGTGTTACATTTAGACTATTATATACGTTAACTAATTAGTTCAGTTTTACACGGTATAAGAATAAAATTACTAATTTTTGTATATGAATATACAAATATACAATCATTTCAACCCCATTTGTTAAAATGATTATATTTCTTTCTTTGCACCGTGAGAAAAAATTAACTTTTCATATACTCATGGGTCTATTTCACGACTGTCTTTCCTGTTTCTTTGATCTATTGGTCTATCTGGAAAACAACAATATATTTTTTGATTAGTGGGTGATCACAGACCTATAGAGTGAATACATTAATTCTGGTGTTTAAGTACCTAAGTACATATATAATTTAAACTACTGTTTTATAATAATTTCCCTATCAGGCTTTACTTAGAGTTGTATATATTTGGAATTTTTTTTCCATTATAAAGTGAGCTACATGTATTTGCTATGTCTGACTCATTTCACTATTACCTAACCAAGTTTTATGCTTGCTAATCTTTGACCCAACTAAACACTAACACACACCAGGAGAATGCAGTTACCAAGTTAGAAGTACGGCTTCTAAAATACTCAGGCATCTAGGAGAAAATAGATGGAAACTTAAATATATTTTGCTATGGCAAGTTATATTTTTCACCCAAAACTGCAAACAGCAGAATATGAGTGTAAATAGATTTGATAACACATTTTTCCTATTATAAAATTTACAAATAATATGTAGCTAGCATAAATATTTTTGGCCTCCCCAAATGAATTATTAGAAATATAAGGGACATTGAGAGAAATTCCATAATAATAGGATAAGTTAACAAATATATCAGCTCCTCTTCACTTCTAGCAACAGGATGTCATTGAAAAGTATACGAGTTAACAAAATGCTAAAACCTCCAAGGAATGAGCCACAGTAACCCAGATATCTGCAACTGATTGAAACAAGGATGGAGAGTAAGTAGAATAATCTAAAGGCATAAGCTAGAGGGCTTACCATGGAGGCAGGGACAATGGCCTGTAAGTGCTAATGAGAAGTAAAAAGGGAATCTTCCCTAATTACATAGGTCCCAGTGTTAGTACTATGTGGGAGACAAACTAGTCACCTCTTGAGGGGGGTGCGAAGAAGAAGATTCCTTGAGGACAGACAGTTTTAACTAAGACAATCGGGTAAGAATGATACAGAGCAAGATCAAGGGTAGGCAGGTGATGGACTATGAATTCCAGGTTGGAAGCCTTAGAAAGAAGGAGGAGAAGATAAGATCAGAACAGAATATTGTTGATTCTTCTGTATCAAATTTTCTGACTCATAACTGCCACTTTTATGTGAAAATTCAAGTTTTTCTTTTGAGAATGTTTTCTTTCATCTGAAATACTTTTGCATTTGTTTTCTCTGTTCTCTCCTTCAAAAAAAAACAATTACTAAATCTGCCAAAACGGTCATATATTTTTCTTTTAAACTTTTATTGTTCTCTAGTCTGTCTACAGTACGTTATACTGTTTACAGGCTTTTAATTCAGAATTTTGCTGCTCCTATAATAATATTTCTTTTTGTAAAGTTTCTACTTACTCTTTATTTTAATTCCTGTGATCTGCTGGCTTGCTAATTATTCTGTTATGTAAATTTGTCTTTGAACCCTTATGCTACTTATCTATTTTATCATTTTGGTGTACAGATAGATGAGTTTGTTCAAATGCATACAATCATGAATATCACCAACAGCAAAATGTAAATTATTTCCATCATCACAAAATGTTTTAACATGCTTCTTTTTTCCTTTCTCATTTATATTTTTGACAGCATTATTGAGAAATAATTCACATACCATGTAAGTTATTCATTTAAAGTATATAATTCAAGGGATTAAGCATATTTCCAGAGTTTTGCAGCCATCACTACAATCAATTTTAAAATATTCATAGCACTCCAATAAGAAACCCTGTACTTAGCCTTCAATCCCACCTTCCCACACCCAGCCCTAGATAACCGCTGTTCTACTTTTATTCTCTACAGATTTGTCTAATCTGAGTATTTCATATGAATTCAGTCGCATAATATGTGGCCTTTTGTGGCTGATATTTTAAAAATTTACTATAGTTTCATAAGATTGATTTATATTGTTGAATATATCATTACTTCATTTCTGTTTATATTTGAGTAATATTCATTACTTCATTTCTATTTATGTCTGAGTAATATTCCATTGTATGAATATATTACATTTGGTTCTCCTATTCAGCAGTTGAGGGACATTTGATTATTTCCACATTTTAGCTATTATGTGTAATGCTGCTATAAGCATTCATATATAAGTTTTAGTATTTTCATTTCTCTCTAGATAGTGGTATATATTTAGGGATGGAATTGGTGAGACATATGGTAGCTCTACATCTAACCATTGGAAGAACTTCCAAACTGTTTTTCAAATTAGCTGCACCATATACATTTCTACCAGCAATGTACAAGGGTTTGTTTGGATTTCTCCACATCCCTGTCAACACTTATTATTATCTGTCTTTCTGATAATAACCATCTTAGTGAGTGTGAAGTGATATCTCACTGTGGAGTTGTTATGCATTTGCAATTTGATAATGAGAAAGTTTTTTTGCAATTTGCAATTTGATAGTGATAAACTTTTTTTTTTTTTTTTTTTTTTTTTGGAGACAGAGTCTCGCTCTGTCGCCCAGGCTGGAGTGCAGTGGCACGATCTTGGCTCACTGCAAGCTCTGCCTCCTGGGTTCACACCATTCTCCTGCCTCTGCCTCCCAAGTAGCTAGGACTACAGGCGCCCGCCACCAAGCCCGGCTAATTTTTTGTATTTTTAGTAGAGACGGGATTTCACCATGTTAGCCAGGATGGTCTCCATCTCCTGACCTCCTGATCCACCTGCCTCGGCCTCCAAAAGTGATGGGATTACAGGTGTAAGCCACCATGCCTGGCCAATAACTAGAAACTTTTTATGTGCTTATTGGTCATTGTATATTTTCTTTGGGGAATTATCTATTGCTCATTTTAAATTGGGCAATTTGCCTTATTACTGAGCTGTAAGAGTCATTATATATCTTAGATACAAATTCCTTTTAAGATATATGATTTGCAAGTTTTTTTCTCCTATTCTGTGGATGTTTTAATTTGCTTATTTGGTCTATTTCTTTTTAAATAAAATTTCCATTAATATAATTTGCTTATGTTTAATTGCTTATCCTGTTGTCTATTTATTAACTTGTGAAGTCCATTACATAGTTTAGTTACAAGTACTTTGATATATGTTCTGCAAATGCTTTCCCCCACTCTGTGACTTGCCTTTTCATTTCCTAAATGATACATGTTTAAGAGCAAAATACATCATAAGGCATAATATTTATATACTATAAGGCATAATATTTACTTATTCTTCTTATATATATCTGGCTGAATCTGTGTCATTTGATGAAAACATTTTCCTTTTCCCATTGAGTAGCTATGTCAATTTGACAAAAATCAATTGATTATATTCCCAGTCTCTTCAAATATCTCTTTTTTCCTGAATACAATACTTTTTGGTTATAGTATTTTTATTCTAAATCTTGAATTTCAATGAGGTAACTTTTCCAAATTTATTCCCCTTTTTAAATATTCCTTTGGATATTTTAGGTCCTTTAAGTTTTTTAATACATTTTACAGTCACCTTGCTTATATATATATATATATATATATATATATATATATATATATAAATCTTGCTAAAATTTTCACTAGGAATTTGTTGACACTAGAATTCAATATAGGAAAATAGCCATTATAACACTGTTGATATTCTAATCCGTAAACACAGCATAACTTTTCACCTATGTAATTTCTTTCATAAAAATTTTTAGTTCTCAATGTAGAATACAAGTATATTTTTAGATTTACCCTATATAATTTTACTATCATAAATGGAATTATTTTTTAAATATCAATTTTCTGTTTTTTCTGCTACATATACAAATATTATTACAATTAATTTTTATGCTAAACTATGTCCTGTTAACTTGATACAGTCAATAATTTGCTTTCTTTTTTGTATAGTACATTTCCTGAGATTTTTCTGTGCAAATAATCATCACACTCATCTTTGTGCTTATCAACTACCGAGGTAAATTAGGTCATTCACAGCCAGAATTACTAAGAAATTAACTGTTACATATGTTATAACTGATGTTCAACTGATATTTAATGGTGTTTTGAAGTTCTAACCACCACCTTAAAAACCAATATTGCAGAGGATTCCAAAATATATACATAATTTTCTTTTTTTTTAACCTTTATTTTAGGTTCAGGGATACAGGTACAAGTTTGCTATGTAGGAAAAATTCCATGTCAGGGGGTTTGGTGTACAGATTAATTCATTACCCAGGTAATAAACATAGTATCCAATAGGAAGTTTTTCAATCTTCACCCTCCTCTCACTCTTCACCCTTAAGTAGGCCGACAGTGTCTATTGTTCCCTTCTTTGTGTCCATATGTACTCACTGCTTAGCTCCTATTTATAAGTCAAAACATACCATTTGTAAGTGGCATTTGGTTTTCTGCTCCTGTGTTAGTTCACTAAGGGTAATGGCATCTAGCTCCATCCATGTTGCTACGGAGTACATGATCTCATTCTTTTTTAATGGCTTGTAGTATTTTATGGTGTATATGTATCCCATTTTCTTTATCCAGTCTACTATTAATGAATAGTTAGGTTGATTCCATGTCTTTGCTATTGTGAATAGTGCTGCAATGAACATACACATGCATTTATCTTTATGGTGGAACGATTTATATTCCTTTGGGTATATACCCAATAATGGGATTGTTGGGTAAAATGATAATTCTGTTTTAAGTTCTTTGAGAAATTGCAAAACTACTTTCCACAATGGCTTAACTAATTTCGATTCCCACTAGCAGTGTATAAGCATTCCCTTTTCTCCACAACCTTGCCAGCATCTGTTATCATTTGGCTTTTTAGTAATAGCCATCTGACTGGTGTGAGATGGTATCTCATTGTGGTTTTGATTTGTATTCATGTAATGATTAATGTTGTTGAGCATTTTTTTCATCTGCTTGTTCACCATATGTACATCTTCTTTGCAATAGTGTCCGTGTGTGTCCTTTGCTTACTTTTTAATGAAGTTGATTGTATTTTGCTTAATTTGTTTAAGTTGTTTATGGATTCTGGATATTTGGCCTTTGTTGGATACATAATTCATGGAAAATTTTTCCCAGTTTGTAGGTTGTCTGTTTACTCTGTTGATAATTTCTTTTGCTGTGCAGAAGCTCTTCAGTTTAGATACCATTTGCCAATTTTTGTTTTTGTTGCAATTGCTTTTAGCTTTGTGGCTGGAGAAAGTCTTTCCTTTCCGTATTTAGCACTCTCTTCAGGGCCTCTTGTAAGGCAGGTGTGGTGAAAACAAATTCCCTTAGCATTTGCTTGTCTAAAAAGAATCTTATTTCTCCTTCAATTATGAAGTTTAGTTTGGCTGTATATGAAATTCTTGGTTGGAATTTCTTTTCTTTAATAATGCTGAATATAGGCTCCCAGTCTCTTCTGGCTTCTAGGGTTTCTGTTGAAAAGAACACTATTAGCCTGAGGGGGTTTCCATTGTAGGTTACTTGCCCCTTCTCTCTAGTTTTCCTTTCTTCTTCTTTTGTTTTTACTTTGACCTTGGAAAACCTGATGACTGTGTGTTTTGGAGATGATCATCTTGTGTAGTATTCACAAGGCTTCTCTGCCTTTCCGGAATTTGAATATTGTCCTCTCTAGTGAGGTTGGGCAAATTTTCTTAGATGATATCCTGAAATGTGTTTTCCAAGTTGTCTACTTTCTCTCTCTCTCTTTCCGGGAAGTCAATGAGTCACAAATTTGTGTTTTTGTTTTGTTTTTTTACGTAATCACGTATTTCTTGGAGGTTTTGTTCATGCTTCTTTATTGTTTCCTCTTTATTTTTGTCTGACTGAGTTGTTTTGGACAATCAGTCTTCGAGCTCTGAGATTTTTTTCCTCAGCTTGTTTAATTCTGCTATTAATACTTGCAATTTCATTCTGAAAGTATTGACGTAAGCTTTCAGCTCTGTCAGATCAGTTTGGTTCTTTATAAAAATGGCTGTTTCATCTTTCATCTTCTGTATCATATTATTGTATTTCTTAGAATCCTTGGATTGGGTTTTGACTTTCTCCTGAATCACAATGATCTTCGTTTCTATCCATATTCTGAATTCTATTTCTAACATTTCAGCCATTTCAGCCCAGTTATCCATTGCTGGGGAACTAGTGCAGTCATTTGGAGGTAAGAAGAAACTGGCTTTTTGAGTTGCCAGACTTCTTGTGCTGGTTCTTTCTCATATATGTGGGCTGATGTTCCTTCAGTCTTTGAAGTTGTTATACTTTGGATGGGCTTTATGCTTTTATCTTCTTTGAGGCTCTTTGGGATTTGATTGTGGTATAAGGTGGGTTCAGTTGACTAACTTCGTTTCTGGAAGATTTTAGGGGGGAAAGAATCAACTCAGCACTCCTGAGCAGCATGCTCTAATTCTGGGCGCGGGGGTGCGGGGGATGGGTAGTATCAGCCCATGGCTTTGTCCTTTGGCCCCTTGAAGTTAGGAACCTGCTATGCTGGAGGGGCCAAGAGTTCCCAACCACTGGCCACAACACTTCAATGGTTGGTTTCAACCAAAGTGCTTCGTCAGAATGGTGGCAGCTGGATCTGTGCTTATTCACATGTGCCAGTGGTGGCACCAATGCAGCAGGGTGCATGCTCATTGGCTGGAGCAGGACACTGGCAGGCAGGGCTACTAGCCTCCATGTGTGCGTTCCTGCTGCTGGCAGTGGCGGCCACATTAGGGGGGCTGGATGAGATAAATATTTCCAGTAATAATTTACATTAACATTTCAAATTAATAACAGACACCAAGCCACAGATTGAGGAAGCTCAAAAAGAACACTAAGTGTGAAAAATAGCAAAAAAATTCACATGTAGACATATCGTACTAAAACTTGTTTATTATTTGGCCCACAATAATGTAAGTACCATAGTAGTAGGGCGTTTTTCTCTTTTGTTCACTGCTATATCCCAAGGATCTAGGATTGTGCCTGTTACACAGATACCATTCAATAAATGGTGAATCTATGAATGAATTAACCTCCATACATGAAGAACTCTTGCATCCACAGACTTTCCCATTCACTCAACATCCTACTGTCACACACGTTTGCACCCAGGTTTTTACTAAGTGGGGCTGCCTTTCCTGTTTTCATGTACTGAGAAGCCAACAGTGGTGTTCCTGGACACACAGTTCTGTGCAGGGGGCTTAGCCTAGGGTTTTGCAGGAGTGGCTTTCCATGAGCCCTACTCTCAGAGGCTGGGATTGCTACTTTATTTTTAACACAATACAAAGTTTTCCATATTGATATGATGACACAGAAAATTCCTAAGCCAGAGTTCATAATTGGGATTGGGAAATGGTAATAACCCAAATTTTGGGAACTGAGAAATTATAATTTCAAGTAAATTTTTCAGAAAAATTTCATTTCATTTGAATATTTTAAAATAAATGATTTTTTAGTGATTGAACATTACTACTGCCTCAAAAATAATTTTAAAAACTATTTTTGAAAAACATAGTAATATTCTTGCTTTTGTTGTTAAATAAATTATCTTAATGTTTGGTTCCCATAAATTTCAATTAAAGGAGATTACATTTATCATACTGATATTTTTATTCATTAAAAATGCATTTCTCACATTAATTTCCACCAAGACATACAATTATTGATCCTATGATTATTGATTTAAAAACTTTCAATGTTTTGAGATAAAGCATTTTAATCCATTAAGGTAATATGTTTAATCAGAATGCCTGTGCTCCTCCCACAGCTCTCACATCTGAACTAGCACATGGATTGATTCATTTATATGACCACTAATAATTTTGTGATTTAAATCTCTTCCATCTTTACTTATCTTTAGAGGCTGACATTATTTATGCTCTCCACACTATTGAGAAAGGAGGCAGCTAGAGGCTGTTTAGGCAGATAAAAAGGGAGGGTCTTGGGAGAAGAGCAATGTTCATAGGAACATCCGCGGGACAGCACCTACACTGCCTCTGCAGCTAATGGGAAGAAACATGGTTAAGAAATTCCCCTTATGCTGGAATGTTCTTCAGAAGGGACTGTCCTAACTTAGATGCAGGCACAATAAGTCAATCTAAATGTCCTTAATTTGATCCAACTCATTATAATGTCATTAACATGATATTAGCGTTGCGGTTTTATCTCCCATGTGGGTTTCACTTAGGCACTCATGAGTAATAACCAAGATGGAGTCACGCTGGCCAACTGCAGGCATGCACAGTTACAGCACCCTTAGGAGGAAACTTTACCCCTATCGTTTTGGGCAGAATCCCCAGAAGGCTTCCTTGTTCTTGCCACATAAAAGACCCAGAACTCAGCCCCATTTCTGGCCACCTATTTTCAGGTTTCTTCTGTTTGCTGAGAGCTATCCTTTTTTTTAAGAATCTCTACTCTACTCACTCTTGGGTGTCTGCATGCCTTATTCTTCTTGGTTGTAGAACAAGAACTCGGACCTGGCTGAGCTAGAGACTAAGCAGACTGCAATATTTGGGACCTCATCTGGGATTGTCAGAAGGGTGAGTCAGATCAGACTTCCAACTCTTTACTTTCATTTCTGAGGCTTCTTATCCTTTTTTTTCTTTTTCCTCAAGATCAAATAAAACACCAGGCCTCTGTCAGCCAATTAAGAGCAAATATCATGGCTGCTGGACTTAAGACTCAGAGGTCAGACTTGCTGGGGAGGATTTTGTCAATCTCCCAACACCCTTGAATGTTGGAAATGTTGGCTTTATCCCAAACCAATTTTCCCTCATGGAGGTCTAGCTGTCACATGGGATTAGGAGGTCCTGGGGCAGCTGAGAGTATCTGGATGAGGCTAAACCTCCAAGTCACCCAAAGGTCCCTAGATTAAATCCATTCCCAGACAGCCTGTTAGGGTGTTGGCACCAGGACTTCCAGTCTTTTCTATCACATTTTTTTTCTTTCTCTCTTTCATGGCTGTTATGGCTCCTATCTCTTCTTTGTATGCAATGTTGTGGGTGTTTTTGCAACCTGGAGATACAATTTTGTTGGCTAAAGTCAGCAGGTGCCTTAGCAATCAGCAATGCAGCTCAAAGGGTTGTTGTTTTTGTGATTTCCCTGAGACACGGGGATTTCAAGATTTCAGTCTAAGGGCTTCTCTGTCCCCCTATGATGTCTATACATGGGACTGAATAGGGGGATATTTCACCCTGAGTAGCTACCCTCCTCTCCATTTAGGCTTTTCTTTCTTCATGTGAGAACTCAGCACTGTCCAGTGAATTTAAGCATCCCTTCTATAAGACAAATTAATTTTCTTCTGCTAGGAGACATATTGTGGGGACAGCCTATCAAGCCCCAAACCTCTCTTTCCAACCTCTGCCTAGAAAGTATTTGGAGAAAACGTTACAGCTTAACATTTCAATCCTTATCAAACCACCAGATGAGGTAGGATTTCTTTCCCTAGGGGGCCCTATCAGCCCTCTTCTCCAAACCCTTAGTTTTCCAATTACACACCCTCCTCCAGCAGCCCATCAGAGACCAAGTCCCTTGTCACATTTGCAAATGGAAAATTTACTGTATCATAGGGAGGAAGAAGAAAGCCTATCTAGACTGATGTTTTCTGCTATGTTGTCTCCGCAGAAAGGAGGCAACAAGCCCAACCATTACGGCCTTTTGAGACATCTGTTATGTCTCCAGTTGCAATGGCGTTTATACAAAAGAGAGGAATTATGTTTGGAGATGAATCATTCCCAAAGATGTCTGGATCAGGATGTCTTGTTTTGCCCCAATCTCACGGACTTCTGTCCATAAAGAAAATCCAGTCAGAGTTTTCTAAGTTTTCCTCAGATATTTTTTTCTGAAAACAGTGCAATGCAAATAAAATATATTTAACGTGTAAAGTATTGTTTAAAGGAAACTCTCTCTCTTTGAAAGTTTTATCTTGCTCAATCTCATGTTAAAATGTTATTTTTAAATAGTTTGCCTTATTAACATAATTGAGGAAGAGCTTAGCATCTTTCTTTGGGAAAATAGCTTCAGTGATCTTTTGCAAAAAAGAGTATGACCTGACAGGTAGAACCAGTTAGTAACATACTTCCCGACATCTGTATCAAAATCACATGCCTGTTATAAAGGTAATTTTAGAATAGTCAAATTTGTGAATGTTTTTTATATTTTTGATGAGTTCTGATTGTCTTTTTGTATTTTGATTAGTTCTATCTGGCTGGTTAGTGTCTTTTCTGTATTCCATATTTTCAGTAGTCTTGTTGTTATAAACTGTCCACGATGGTTAATTCCATTAATATTTTAAATGATCCCTACTAATGACTGATTAATACTTCTTTATTGCTCCTTTGGCAGCTCTATAGTATCTTTCTTAAGGATCAATTTCAGAATTAACAATTGCACATCAAATCACTGCTTTACATGATTTCCAAGAAAGGTAAATCTTCCTCTCTTTACTCCTTTAAGTACTAATTAAAATAACAATTACCACTTGAGATAATTAAACTTCTTTGTTACCAGCACACCGTTAGTTTTTCTACAAAGTAAAGAAAAATATTTCAAATATAATGTTGTCAGAGCCAAGGTAGTATATTTTACTCTAGATTAATAAGAAATACAGCATCATGATATCAGAAAAATACATAGACTAGAATGCAAGGATTTATGAATTGTTCTCTGTGAGTACTACAGGATATTGTTGAAACTGCATTATAACATTTACATATTTCTGTCAATTTAACTGCTTAATGAAACAATCACAAAAATCTTAGAGTCAAACTGAATGTACAGAATAAGAAAGGGGTCTGAAGATGAGAGAGAAGTTTGGAGTAACTTGGGAAAAAGAGTATGTTTTTCTTTTATGTTTTGAATCAGTTTTTTTTTTTTTTTTTGAGTCTGAGTTTTGCTCTTGTTGCCCTGGCTAGAGTGCAATGGCACAATCTTGGCTCACTGCAATCTCCGCCTCTGGAGTTCAAGTGATTCTCCTGCGTCAGCCTCCCGAGTAGCTGGGATTACAGGCTCCCACGACCACGCCTGGCTAATATTTTGTATTTTTTAGTAGATACGGGGTTTCATCACATTGGCCAGGCTGGTCTCAAACTCCTGATCTCAGGTGATCCACCCGCCTCAGCCTCCCAAAGTGCTGGGATTACAGGTGTGAGCCACCACGCCCAGCCTGAATCAGTTTTTTCAAAATGATGTGGACTTTGGATTTTGTAGAGAAATATTGGAAAATAGAATTTGTGTTATTGTCTAAACTATTTAGATATACTTTCTATTTCCTGTGGAGCACGAATCGGAGGTCTTAGACTTTTATCTCATGTTATAAACAGATTTAGATCAACATCTAAAATGGAATGGGACGGCATTCATCATGGTTCTGGAAAAGAAATTAGACATTGCACTTACCTAATTTCATCAATTTTTTCATATTTCTTTTGAAAATCAAGTATGGAGAACAAAAAGAAGAAAGGTGGGGTTTAACTATCAACTGAAAAGGCCAGAGTAGCTTTAAGGTTGATGTGATGTAGTTTTCTAGTCAGACTTCCATAGGAATTTAGGTAGTAGCTTACCAACACCTAAATTATTAGAGTTCACATTCCATCCAGGAATATAGACTGGCCTTCATAAAATACATGTAACTGAACTAGTTCTTCTGCTGTAAGCAGCTACAAAACTGGACAAAGCATACGAGGTATCTGGTTTCAGGAAGTGGACAACAGTCAGTGGAAAGCTGCAATCTCTGAATTTCAAAAGTGACGTCAGGATTCCAGAGTCAGTCTAGTCTTCACCTGGAAACAATTTTCTTAGGTCTATGTAGAGATTTTCCTTTTTGCAGAGTGAGGCAGCATACTGTACTGAAGGGGATGCTGTGCAGAAACTGAATTTCAGAAGTCAGGATGGAGGTTCCTTGTAAGTTCATGACTAAAATCTGGGCTGCACATTTGCAGGGTGAGACCATTCATGTTACCAGAATGTGACTGGTCAAGGATAGAGAGAGGAACAAATTTTAGAAAATAAGGGCTATAGTGGATTACCTGTGACCTATTCAAAACCTCTTTAAATATCCTTGGAAACTGAAAAAGCCAAACCTTAACAGTCAGCACCATATCTTAGAGTAAGGCTTACTGTGTTAGTTTTCCGAGGCTGCCATAACAAAATACGACAAATTGCATGGCTTAAAAAATAGAAATTTATTGTTTCACATTTCTGGAGGCTAGAAGTTCAAGATCAACGTTTTAACCGAGTTGTTTTTTTTTTTCTGAGGCTGTCGGGGAGAATCTGTTCCATGCCTCTCTCAGTCTCTGTTAGTTTGCTGGCAACCTTTGGTACCTCTTGTCTTGTAGATTCATCCCCTCATCTCTGCTTTCATGTTCACATGTCATTCTCCCTGTGTACATTTTTCTGTGTCTAAATTTACCCTTTGTATAAGGATGCCAATCCTATTGATTTGGAGCCCATGCTACATCAGTATGACCTCATGATAACTTGAGTAATTACATCTGCCATGGCTCTGTTTCCAAATAAAATCACATTCTGGGGTATTGGATGTTAGGACTTCAGTTTCTGAATTTGGAGGGGACAGAATTCAACCCATTATCAAAATTGCCATATTTTACCAGATAAGTCTCCTAACTGAAAATCACTATAATTCAGTCTGATCATCTAGAAAGTCATTTAAATTCCATGTGTGTATATGAAAACATAAACATCTATTATGTAAATATATATTTCGTGTATACTCCATATTATTTAAATATAGAGTAAAAGTATATCCATTTCAGACATATCCAGGGATATGGAAGTGGGTACTGTTTTAAATAATCTTTTATATGAATGAAAAATTAAAGCAAAAAGAAAATATTATACAGAAGTTGGTATAGTAAGCATATTTTAATTGATCAACTGAGAATTGTACAATGATTGTAAGAACATAGGTTGTAGTTCTTATCTAAACAAAAAGACAGAAGCAAGACACAGAGCATAATTAGACCAACTTTGTATTCAAAAAAGGAATAATGCTAGTGATACCATTTGGCTCTGTGTCTCCAACAAAATCTCATCCCAAATTGTAATCCCCACATGTTGGGAGAAAAGCCTGTTGGGAGTTGACTGAACCATGGGGTGGACTTCCCCTTTTTCTTCTCGTGGCAGTGAGTCAGTTCTTACAAGATCTGATATTTTGAAATTGTATGATACTTCCCCCTTTACTCTTTCAGTCTCCAGCCGCCATGAGAAGACATGCCTTGCTTCCCCTTCACCTTCTGCCATGATTGTAAGTTTTCTGAAACGCTCAAACCATGCTTCCTTTTAAGCCTGCAGAACTGTGAGTAAATTAAACCTTTTTACTTATAAATTGCCCAGTATTGGGTATTTACTTATAGCAGTGTGAAAATGGACTAATACAGTCAGTTTACTTCATTATTTCTTTTTCTTTCCCAGCTTGTGGATAAATCATGATAGCTCTGCCACTGATTTGCCATGTGACTTTGAAAGTGTTACGTTTCTTCCTTCAGGAGCTCTTGTAGGGCAGACCTGGTGGTGACAAAATCTCTCAACATTTGCTTGTCTGTAAAGTATTTTATTTCTCCTTCACTTATGAAGCTTAGTTTGGCTGGATATGAAATTCTGGGTTGAAAATTCTTTGCTTTAAGAATGTTGAATATTGGCCCCCACTCTCTTCTGGCTTGTAGAGTTTCTGCCGAGAGATCAGCTGTTAGTCTGATGGGCTTCCCTTTGTGGGTAACCTGACCTTTCTCTCCAGCTGCCCTTAAAATTTTTTCCTTCATTTCAACTTTGATGAATCTGACAATTATGTGTCTTGGAGTTGCTCTTCTCAAGGAATATCTTTGTGGTGTTCTCTGTATTTCCTGAATTTGAATGTTGGCCTGCCTTGCTAGGTTGGGGAAGTTCTCCTGGATAATATCCTTCAGAGTGTTTTCCAACTTGGTTCCATACTCCCCGTCACTTTCAGGTACACCAATCAGACATAGATTTGGTCTTTTCACATAGTCCCATATTTCTTGGAGGCTTTGTTCATTTCTTTTTATTCCTTTTTCTCTAAACTTCTCTTCTCACTTCATTTCGTTCATTTGATCTTCAATCACTGATACCCTTTCTTCCAGTTGATCTAATCGGCTACTGAAGCTTGTGCATTCATCATGTAGTTCTCGTGCCATGGTTTTCAGCTCCATCAGGTCCTTTAAGGACTTCTCTGCATTGGTTATTCTATTTAGCCATTCACCTAATCTTTTTTCAAGGTTTTTAACTTCTTTGCAATGGGTTCGAACTTCCTCCTTTAGCTCCGAGAAGTTTGATCGTCTGAAGCCTTCATCTCTCAACTTGTCAAAGTCATTCTCCATCCAGCTTTGTTCCATTACTGGTGAAGAGCTGTGTTCCTTTGGAAGAGGAGAGGTGCTCTGATTTTTTGAATTTTTAGTTTTTCTGTTCTGTTTTTTCCTCATCTTTGTGGTTTTATCTACCTTTGGTCTTTGATGATGGTGACGTACAGATGGGTTTTTGGTGTGGATGTACTTTCTGCTTGTTAGTTTTCCTTTTAACAGTCAGGACCCTCAGCTGCAGGTCTGTTGGAGTTTGCTGGAGGTCTACTCCAGACCCTGTTTGCCTGGGTATCAGCAGCAGAGGCTGCAGAACAGCGAATATTGCTGAACAGCAAATGTTGCTGTCTGATCGTTCCTCTGGAGGTTTCCTCTCAGAGGGGTACCTGGCTGTGTGAGGTGTCAGTCTGCCCCTAAAGGGGGGTGCCTCCCAGATAGGCTACTCAGGGTCAGGGACCCACTTGAGGAGGCAGTCTGTCCGTTCTCAGATCTCAAACTCCGTGCTGGGAGAACCACTACTCTCTTCAAAGCTGTCAGACAGGGACATTTAAGTCTGTAGAGGTTTCTGCTGCCTTTTGTTTGGCTATGCCCTGTCCCCAGAGGTGGAGTCTACAAAGGCAGGCAGGCCTTCTTGAGCTGCGGTGGGCTCCACCCAGTTCGAGCTTCCCACCCACTTTGTTTACCTACTCAAGCCTGGCACCCCTTCCCCAGCCTCACTGCTGCCTTGCAGTTCGATCTCAGACTGCTGTACTAGCAATGAGTGAGGCCCCATGGGCGTGGGACCCTCCGAGCCAGGCATGGAATACAATCTCCTGGTGTGCCATTTGCTAAGACCATTGGAAAAGATCAGTATTAGGGTGGGAGTGATGCGATTTTCCAGGTGCCGTCTGTCACAGTTTGCTTGGCTATGAAAGGGAATTCCCTGACCCCTTGCGCTTCCTGAGTGAGGCGATGCCTTGCCCTGCTTTGGCTCATGCTTGGTGCACTGCACCCACTGTCCTGCACCTACTGTCCGACAAGCACCAGTGAGATGAACCCAGTACCTCAGTTGGAAATGCAGAAATCACCCGTCTTCTGCGTGGCTTACACTGGGAGCTGTAGACTAGAGCTGTTCCTATTCGGCCATCTTGGAACCACCCCCCAAAACCGGTACCAGCCACTGCAAAAACATGCCAAATTGTAAAAACCATCAATGCTACGAAGAAACTGCATCAAATAATGAGCAAAATACCAGCTAACATCATACTGACAGGACAGGATCAAATTCACACATAACAATATTAACTTTAAATGTAAATGGGCTAAATGCTCCACATAAAAGACACAGACTGGCAAATTGGATAAAGAGTCAAGACCCATCAGTGTGCTGTATTCAGGAAACCCATCTCATGTGCAGAGACACACATAGGCTCAAAAAAAAAGGGATGGAGGAAGATCAACCAAGTAAATGGAAAGCAAAAAAAAGCAGGGGTTGCAATCCTAGTCTCTGATTAAGCAGACTTTAAACCAACAAAGATCAAAAGAGACAAAGAAGGCCATTTCATAATGGTAAAGGGATTAATTCAACAAGAAGAGCTAACTATCCTAAATATATATGCACCCAATACAGGACCACCCAGATTCATAAAGCAAGTCCTTGGAGACCTACAAAGGGACTTAGACTCCCACACAATAAAAATGGGAGACTTTAACACCCCACTGTCAACATTAGACAGATCAACGAGACAGAAAGTTAACAAGGATATCCAGGAACTGAATTCAGCTCTGCACCAAGAGGACCTAATAGACATCTAAGAACTCTCCACCCCAAATCAACAGAATATACATTCTTCTCAGCACCACACCACTCCTATTCCAAAATTGACCACATAGTTGGAAGTAAAGCACTCCTCAGCAAATGTAAAACAACAGAAATTGTAAAAAACTGTCTCTCAGACCACAGTGAAATCAAACTAGAACTCAGAATTAAGAAACTAACTCAATACCGCTAAACTACATGGAAACTGAACAACCTGCTCCTCAATGACCACTGGGTACATAATGAAATGAAGGCAAAGATAAAGATGTTCTTTGAAACCAAGGAGAACAAAGACACAACATACCAGAATCCCTGGGATACATGTAAAGCAGTGTGTAGAGTGAAATTTATAGCACTAAATGCCCACAAGAGAAAGCAGAAAAGATCTAAAATTGACACCCTAACATCACAATTAAAAGAACTAGAGAAGGAAGAGTGAACACATTGAAAAGCTAGCAGAAGGCAAGAAATAACTAAGATCAGAGCACAACTGAAGGAGATAGAGACACAAAAATCCCTTCAAAAATCAATGAATCCAGGAGCTGTTGTTGTGAAAAGATCAACAAAATTGATAGACTGCTAGCAAGACGAATAAAGAAGAAAAGAGACAAGAATGAAATAGATGCAATAAAAAATGATAAAGGGGATATCACCACCAATCCCACAGAAATACAAACTACCATCAGAGAATACTATAAACACCTCTATGCAAATAAACTAGAAAATCTAGAAGAAATGGATAAATTCCTCGACACATACACCCTCCCAAGACTAAACAAGGAAGAAGTTGAATCCCTGAATAGACCAATAATGGGCTCTGAAATTCAGGCAATAATTAATGGCTTACCAACCAAAAAAAGTCCAGGACCAGATGGATTCACAGCCAAATTCTACCAGAGGTACAAGGAGGAGCTGGTACCATTCCTTCTGAAACTATTCCAATCAATAGAAAAAGAGGGAATCCTCCCTAACTCATTTTATGAGGCCAGCCTCATCCTGATACCAACGCCTGGCAGAGACAAAACAAAAAAAGAGAATTTTAGACCAATAACCCTGATGAACATCGATGAAATAATTCTCAGTAAAATACTGGCAAACCAAATCCAACAGCACATCAAAAGCTAATCCACCATGATCAAGTGGGCTTCATCCCTGGGATGCAAGGCTGGTTCAACATATGAAAATCAATAAACATAATCTAGCATAGAAACAGAACCAAAGACAAAAACCACATGATTATCTCAATAGATGCAGAAAAGGCCTTTGACAAAATTCAACAGCCCTTCATGCTAAAAACTCTCAATAAATTAGGTATTGATGGGATGTATCTCAAAATAATAAGAGCTATTTATGACAAACCCACAGCCAATATCATACTGAATGGGCAAAACCTGGAAGCATTCCTTTTGAAAGCTGGCACAAGATAGGGATGCCCTCTCTCACCACTCCTATTCCTATTGGAAGTTCCTCACCACTTCCTATTGGAAGTTCTGGCCAGGGAAATCAGGCAGGAGAAGGAAATAAAGGGTATTCAGTTAGGAAATGAGGAAGTCAAATTGTCCCTGTTTGCAGATGACATGATTGTATATCTAAAAAACCCCATCATCTCAGCCCAAAATCTCCTTCAGCTGATAAGCAACTTCAGCAAAGTCTCAGGATACAAAATCAATGTGCAAAAATCACAAGCATTCTTATACTCCAATAACAGGCAAACAGAGAGCCAAATCATGAGTGAATTCCCACTCACAGTTGCTTCAAAGAGAAGAAAATACCTAGGAATCCAACTTACAAGGGATGTGGAGGATCTCTTCAAGGAGAACTACAAACCACTGCTCAAGGAAATAAAAGAGGATACAAACAAATGGAAGAACGTTCCATTTTCATGGGTAGGAAGAATGAATATCGTGAAAATGGCCATATTGCCCAAGGTAATTTATAGATTCAATGCCATCCCCATCAAGCTACCAATGCCTTTCTTCACAGAATTGGAAAAAACTACTTTAAAGTTCATATGGAACCAAAAATAGCCCGCATAGCCAAGACAATCCTAAGCCAAAAGAACAAAGCCGGAGGTATCACGCTACCTGACTTCAAACTATGCTACAAGGCTACGGTAAACAAAACAGCATGGTACTGGTACCAAAACAGAGATATAGACCAATGGAACAGAACAGAGCCCTCAGAAATAATACCACACATCTACAACCATCTGATCTTTGACAAACCTGAGAAAAACAAGAAATGGGGAAAGGATTCCCTATTTAATAAATGGTGCTGGGAAAACTGGCTAGCCATATGGAGAAAGCTGAAACTGGATCCCTTCCTTACACCTTATACTAAAATTAATTCAAGATGGATTAAACACTTAAATGTTAGACCTGAAACCATAAAAACCCTAGAAGAAAACCTAGGCAATACCATTCAGGACATAGGCATGGGCAAGGACTTCATGTCTAAAACACCAAAAGCAATGGTAACAAAAGCCAAAATTGACAAATGGGATCTAATTAAACTAAAGAGCTTCTGCACAGCAAAAGAAACTACCATCAGAGTGAACAGGCAACTACAGAATGGGAGAAAATTTTTGCAATCCACTCATCTGACAAAGGGCTAATATCCAGAATCTACAAAGAACTCAAACAAATTTACAAGAAAAAAACAAACAACCCCATCAAAATGGGTGAAGGATATGAACAGACACTTCTCAAAAGAAGACATTTATGCAGCCAACAGACACATGAAAAAATGCTCATCATCACTGGCCATCAGAGAAATGCAAATCAAAACCACAATGAGATACCGTCTCAGATCAGTTAGAATGGCAATCATTAAAAAGTCAGGAAATAATAGGTGTGGATAGGATGTGGAGAAATAGGAACACTTTTACACTGTTGATGGGACTGTAAACTAGTTCAACCATTGTGGAAGACAGTGTGGCGATTCCTCAGGGATCTAGAATTAGAAATTCCATTTGATCCAGCCATCCCATTACTGGGTATATACCCAAGGACTATAAATCATGCTGCTATAAAGACACATGCACATGTATGTTCATTGCGGCACTACTCACAATAGCAAAGACTTGGAACCAACCTAAATGTCCAACAATGATAGACTGGATTAAGAAAATGTGGCACATATACACCATGGAATACTATGCAGCCATAAAAAAGGATGAGTTCATGTCCTTTGTAGGGACATGGATGAAGCTGGAAACCACCATTCTCAGCAAACTATTGCAAGGACAAAAAACCAGACAGCGCATGTTCTCAGTCATAGGTGGGAATTGAACAATGAGGACATTTGGACATAGGAAGGGTACATCACACACCGGGGCCTGTTGTGGGGTGGGGGGAGGGGGGAGGGATAGCATTAGGAGATATACCTAATGTAAATGATGAGTTAATGGGTGCAGCACACCAACATGGCCCATGTATACATATGTAACAAACCTGCACATTGTGCACAGGTACCCTAGAACTTAAAGTATAATTAAAAAATATATATATATATAAATAAACACAACAAAAATGAAAAGAAAAAAAAGAATGTGTTACATTTCTCAACCTCAATTTCTTCATGAAATACTAAAATGTGTGCCTTTTTGCAAAGTCACTATGAAGATTAAAATGATGTGTATAAATATTTATTTTTAGCATAATGCATGAGATGTAAAAGTCAACATATGGTGGTACAAGATAGACTGATATCATCAGCATAGTTACTTATTTGGCTGTGTGGTTTCAGAAGGGAAGGACTGTCATTCTCAGCGTCATTTTTTTTAAGGGTACAACAGGCTATTTGTTTCTGGGGAATAATCTATGACTTTGAACATAAAGATCTATTAAGAAAGGCAGAGGCTATAGACCAGATCATGAAATTCTTACAGCCATCTCAAGTAAGGTTGAGGTTATGTGAAGAAAATCTGGAAATTCCTATCCTGCTTTCAAAATTTAATCAGGTATAAAATCAATTATATTTCATGGAAATCGTGCCAACCTAAGAAATTACAAACTTTTCCTTTACTGCGTCAACCACTTTGCTCCTTGGACAAGTTACCTACATTCCCTAAGACCAGTTTTCCTATCTGTGAAATACGCCTTATGTGCTTGGTAGGCATTTGACACCATTACTGCTTAAAGAAAGCTATTTTTATTACTGTTTATTTTCTATCCCCATACTCTGACCTTATATGTAGCCTATTCAACAGCAAAATTCAGGTAAAAGTCCCCTCATAAATACCCTGGTACTTTTCGATGTTCTGCTTTGGCTCTCTCATCGATAAATTCACCCTCTATTTTTTAGTATTTTATCTTAGGTTGGCATTATCTCTCAGATCAAATAAATTTTGTGAGGTTGTTTCACTTTGCCAAGAAGTACTCATTTTATTTCTCCCAAACTTTACTCCCTAAATATTCAATATGATAGGTGTTGGAAACATAATTTTTAAAGTATTTCATTAAAAACAGCTGTTAATAATAGCTTCAACAACTACCATCTTAAAAGAACAGCCCACCCACCTCTAAATTAAGCACCTGGAACAATTTCTGAGGATTCATTGAAATCAAAGGGCTGTGTGGAAATAAACGTCTTCTAGGAGCAAACCTAGCCACTCAACTAATACAAATTAACACTGAAGAGGATAAGATCAACATACCGTTAACTTTTGATATCTAGCACATTATATAAATTACATCTTGCAAAGTGATGGTGAAAACCATTCCCTGAATTACCTTTCATTTTCGAAATTTAGATCTGAATAAATCTGAATACAACTAGTTAGGATGGCCTCCCAGCCTCACTGCACTGTGTTCTTTTCCCTCTCAAATGGAAAGATCAGATTTTTACTTTATTACAAATGTATTACTTTCCCCTTTAAATATATCTGGCGTTTTATTCAAAAGCGTGATTACATCATCTTGGAGCTAGCTTTTCTTCTCAGGAAAATGTCTGTTATTTCGTAGTCAGGTCACTATAAAAATACTATTTTTGGCGTATTATTTTCTTGCCAGCCTTTTCTGATTTCGCATAATACGTTATTCCATTATTAAAGCTTTCCTGGAATGACACATTTTTCTCCAAATAAAAGTAAAGTGCCAAAATCTTGTCTGTATCTAGATATTATCTAAATAATATCTAAATAAATGTAATTAGATATTATCTGCCTGTTTTCACTTAACTCAAAGTACTTTTTTTTTCTAAATCAATATAGGCTGTAATATTGGAAATGAAAAATTTTGCTTTGAAATAAAACTGGGTACCAGTTTTCATTACTCACAGAGACTTTATAGGAAAGATAATCAAGTTTTAAAATATCTCTCCTTTGAAAAAAATTTAATGCTAACACAACTAGAAGCTAACTAATCAAAAACAATCTTTAATATTGTATAAAAATTTCAAATCATTTCATGAGGAAAAGACCCATGACCTAAGAAAATTCTATTTTAGGAATAATTTATCAACATAAGAAGCAATTGGAAACAAACAAAACTGTCAGTGAGTTCATATAGTTGTAGAAAAAGTTGCATTCATATACAAGAGATTTAATAGTTTACTTTTAATAACATTATGCATTTGAAAAAGCTTGATGATTATCTATTTGTAAAATACGCAATTTCAAACTATTACATAAATTCAACACATTATCACTGTATGAATTTATGAGTTTTAGCAATATTCAAATTAGTCTAATCATAGCAATAATGAATATTATCCAAGTTAAGTATTTATTAGTAAAATAAAATCTTTCATCTTCGTCTAACATTATAGGATATTTGATCATGATTTTAGTTTAATTGGGTCTGTATATATCAGAGTGCCATGGATTTTTGTCTAAATTTAAGTTGATATTTATCTTCCTGTTTCTGTGTATCTGTGTGTGTTTTTAGCACCTATTTTTCACTTTAATAGTAGTTATCAAATGTATTTCATTTATTTACTTACATGTTGACCATTCTTTCCCATTAGTATTCACAAAGGAAAGTCCTCATTATTCACATCATCGTGCCTGCCAAAGAAAGACCACAGTGTGGTTCTTCTCTAGTTTCTTCATGTCCAGTCTGTGATGACATTTTTCAGGATTTCAAATATGCACTTTATCAAAGGCCAACTGGAAACAAGCCTGGGATGTATTCTAAGGCCCATTTCATGTGCCTCCAAATTCTTTGTTCTTTATATAACATCAGTTTTCTCACCCATTTTCCAGAATTTTTATCTTCTTGTTCTAGAGACGTTATAATTGAAGAAGAAATTTTGGATCATTCAGTATGATCATTAATATCATTTCCTTATGCTTATACTTCCGGTTATATCCAACCAATTACACATTACAACTTACACATTACATACACATTACAACTATGGGCAGGAGCTGCCTCAAGTCTGCACCTTGTTAAGTGCCCCTGGAATCCTGCCTAACTGAACTTAAAATGCTACTTATTTTAACACTAGGCCTAACTCTAATACCATAGTTAGACTGAAACTACATTGTGCCACTCATCTACACAAATTATGTTTTTTAAGTTAGTAAATAATTGCATTGTGAGTTATTTTCAATGTCAAATAGCCCATAGCAATTTGAAAAATTGCTACATGTTGGCTATGTAATCATATAAATCTTTGAGTGATACAAATTAAAAAAAAGAACAATTACTTAATTAGTATTATTTTATATTTAGAAAAATGAGTTCTAGATAAATAGGTAACATGATATAAAAAGTTAATTTTTTAAAGTAGATAGCTCAACAAAATGGAAAATGCATTAAATGAAGTTTATAGCAGGATGGTGTAACAAGTATATAAATTTAAAATTAAATTAGAGATATGAAATATAACATGATATAAAATAATGTTTTTATGAGACACAAAAGAAATTCTGAAACTTCTAATGTCCCTCTGCCTGTCACCTGTACTTAGATAGGAGTTTTCAACAAACCATAGCACTCAAATTTTTACCTCTAATATTGTCCTTACTATGAGACAGCAAAATTAATGCTTCAGACAAAAGAAGTCAAGATAATCCAGGGATTTCTCATTACTGAAAGAATGAAAAGATAATTTCAAATATGTCTAAGATACTACCAATAAGAATGAGGATGTCAGACTATCAGAGTCCCTGTCAACCTAATAATAATAATTTGAGCCTCATGAAAAGAAATAATAATTTCAGTCAGTTGTATCAAGTTGATTCTTTATAAGGGCCTAAGTCCATGATGACACTCACAAAAGACAAATACCTTAAAATTTACTAATGATGAATCATACAGAATTTTCCTAAGTATATATTTTTAAAATATTGCTGTATGATTAAAATAAATTATGTAAGTAGGCTATTTAAGTTTTTGTTATTGCCTGGTTGAGAATATTCAGGGTATGTGGCACTTGTGAGAAAATACATAATAAAGGTAACATTTTAAGATATTTATATTGCTTGTTAATGTTAATAAAAACTGTAAGAATACGTGGAGCCATATCAAAGATTCTAATAAATTAATACTATAGCATCAATATCATAGATGCCATAATTTGTTTTTACCAAAACATCAGAGGTTCAGTCTAAGTCCCGTTGCTCACATCACAGAAAGCCAATTCCTGAGACAATGTGTATTTCCAGGGAAGAAGGCTTTATTTGGGTGCTGCAGCTGAAGAGATGGGAGATCAGTCTCAAATCTATCTCATTAACTGACTAAAACTGGGAGTATATAACAGGGAAGGAATGTAGCTACCTGTGGGAAAACAAAATTTAGGGAGGAATAAGGAAGAAGAATTGATCAACAGGAAGCCAGTGGTCAGTTAGGAAAACAGGAATTACAAGAAGTTTCAGTTCCTTGATAGTATCAGGGAAGGCTGAGGTTGGTTTCCTGTGAAAGGAACTCATGTAAAACAAATGTATATTTCAAGCCTTAAGACTGGAAGATTAATTTCTACTTTTTTTATTAAACCATAAACATTAGTTCTATGGGACAATTGACTGAGTTTCAAAATCACATAAAATTAGCAAAATATATAATATAATAAAACAGAGTATGTCAGGAGTTTACACCTTCATTATATTATAGATATCAAAACAACTAAAGAACTCAACAATAAGTTAGTAACTATCTTTTAAGACAAAATTAAACAAATGCAGTAAAATAGCTTGCTGAAGTTTTCACAGTATCTCACAACTAGTGAGAGGTTTCATGTTCCTGATCTTTCTTCCTGTCAGAAATAGGGACACACTTATACAGCACACTTTACCCCATAGAGCCTTACAGGATTTTTATCTGATGTTCTGCCAGGCGTATAAAACTGGTTTGAACTTTAGTTTCATTAATATTCACCTTGCTTTAGTTTTTCTGAAAAGATTCTAGGAAACCTTAATTATGCTGAATAGTATTAAACTTGAGGTAGAGAACAAGGTTTCTAGGATAAATTAAAGATGGAAAACTGTAAGTTAAACTAACTTCAATTTTTATATTTTGTTTCAGAGTTTATTGAAGCTTTAATAATTTAATATTTGTTGAATCTTCAAAGGTATTAATGAACCGCAGAATTGTGTTCTACTTTGAGAATCTTGAGGAAATATATTTTTGCAAAATGCACTTTATAAAATTGTTTTCATTTATTGCACAAAAGGCACAGTATTCTAAGAATCAGATTAGTAACACACTTTGCAACTTATATTTCTGCCATTTCTGAGATTGAAAGAAAGTTTTGTGGTGTGTAGAGTGCTCAGGATGCTTGTAGGATTGCACTGGCATCAACCTAGCTATAAAAGTTTATTTAAGAAAATTTTTAAAGGAAATTTTTAATAAAAAGAGAAACTGCATACAATGCAATTTACCTGTTTTTTTCTAATACAGCATTCAGTACTAAAATTCACTTTATGCTCCAATGTACATTTTACAGAGCTTAATGTACATAGAATATATAATAAAGAGTAATTTCTCTTCTGATTTATTATTTATTTGAGATCCATAACAGTAAACATGGCTTTCTCTAAAAGTATATTTTATATTATGCCAGACTAAGATTTTTAAAATTTACCAAAGTTAAGACTTTTTCTAGAAATACATTATAATAGCATCAGGAATCTAATTGGAAGTTACATTAAAGAGAAATAACATTTTCTCCCTCTCTAAAAGCAAAAAGTAATACTTGTTTTGGATTTGCAATTCCATAATGTTCTTTATCTGAATACTTCAAATGCTCAGCGTGTGATTATAAGGGCATCAGGTTTACACAACAGGCTTATGAGAAGAAGGATTTTGTGTAAATGAAAACATTGTATGATTTCAGAGAAAATTTGTTTTCAAAGTATTTGAATATGAGCTGGGAGTCTGTGTTTTGTTACTGTGATTATAATAAAGGTAGTTTTTATTATCTGCCTAGTAACTTTCAGGGGATTAATGACTCAGCAAGAATCAGGTGTTTCGACTTGTATTCAACATGACAGCAAACATTTAGTTATTTAAAGTAAAATACTAAATACAGGAAGATAGGCCAAAAGTTTTAATACTTAGTAGTAAAAACTCTTCTGTGACTTCTTTAACTTCTTCAGTACATCTAGTTTTATGGGCCTTAGGACAATTCAGTGTGGGCATCATACCCTGTCAGGAAAATGGAATCAGCTTGTCCTGAGTACTTTTATCCAGTAAGCTAGATCATATGGCTCTCCATAACAGTGAAACCATGTTCCAGAGACCTCATTTCTGTGTTCTTGGTGTTAGATTTATAACCATGCCACATGTTTTGTAATTTTTCAACTTAACATAAACTCTTGCACATTACATAGGATTTCTCACATACACAAGTTTCTAAGGTAAGGGCTTTGCAAGCAACAGTTTGGCTATGGCCCACCACACTGAGTAATTGCTAACATTATATCTAATATTTTATAAAGCACTTTTGTCAAGTTCCTTTATATTTTGAATACAATAGTTTTCCTGAGAAAATCAGCCATTATTAGCCCAGAACAATGCTGCATGTACATTAACCAAAGATGGTTCTGAATAGATGTTTATCTTGGATGAAAAGAAGACAAAATTAAAAGTGGCAACAGTGTGAGTGGGACAAAATTTAGCTATGCTCTGCCCTATTTTTCTATCATCAATTTAATGTATTTTTTAAATGGAATAGTCTGAGTGGATTTACTAAACCTAAATGAGTTCAAGGACAGGAAGAGCTAAAACAGGAATGAAGTTCCAGATGGTGAGTGTAGCACCTGCCTGCCAGCACCTGCAGCTTTGATCTTAGTGTGGGATTGGCTGTTCCTATCAGTGTACACCAGAAAGCAAACTAACTCGTAAACAGAGAGCACACAGGGCCTGCCCAGGCGTGTTTGTTTGTATACTGCTTATTTAACTGCTATACATTGAAAAGCATAAGTTCTACATTTTTCTTCTTATTGTAAAATATCAAGTATATACCAAATATGTAAACAACACTTTCACACATCAGTATTATCTTTCAACCCTTGCTATCCTCCAAAGGAATATTACCATTTTACAGATGAAGCTAAATTAGGCTCAAATTAAGCAATTCGACCGAAATCATTAAAATTAATAAGAAAAAAGAGGAAGAGTTGTTATATTAATAAAGATGCCAAAGTTGGCTCTCTTTCCTTTATAACCTAATCCTTCCATTTATTCATACATTGACTATTTGCTGAAGACTAACCGAGTATTCACCTCTGAGCTAAGTGAAAAAATGTATGTGACAGTTACAATAAGCACCCTTCCAGGAGCTCTTGTCTCTAATTCTATTGCTAACAGAGGGCCAATGTCATTTGAGGCATCCCCAGGGAATGTTTTCCTGGAGTCATAATAACCCCACTCCTCTTTGGTGGCTACATACTTTTCCTACTTCCCTTGCAGCTATAAGCAGCCATGTAACCCAGTTATGGGCAAGGAGACTTTTGTGAAGCATTGTTTCTTTGACGAATAATCGTACCCTCTCAAGGAGAATGTATTGCTCCAACCCTTTCTTTCTGCTAGGTTGCTGGAGTATGAAGATGTTATGTGTAACTGTGGCAACCACCTTTTTGTGATAATGAAAGACAAAGATGATAAGCCAACAGTTTGAAGAGAGTGAAGAAGACAGAATGGGTTGATGATATCATTGAAGCACTAAGTAAAGTCTGATCTAACCTCTAAATTAATTCTAATTAACCTAAACCTAATTAGGTTAGGAAAAACATCTCCAAGAGTGACATAGACCTGAAAGATCAATAAGGATTAATTAAAAAGAAAGAGCAGTTCCTCCCAGGCAGCAATGTAGCATAGTGCGTTTTAAGAATTCAAATATATGATGTTGTGCAGTAAGGGTTTAACCTTGACAAAAGGTTTGGCATTTTGCCCTCAGCCTCTGGGAGGCCTAATCTCAAAATCTTCATAAAATCCTGCCTGTAATGAATAACTCTTTTTACCAGGGGGTCTTGGCCCATGCCATGTGGTCTGTGCAAACAGTGTAATTTATGGTGGGGCCTTGGAGAGGCTGGAACCTCTGGAGGGCCTTGAAACTAATGTCAGCCATGTGAGCAGTCAACCATGTCTATGTGACATAACCAACAAAATCTCTGGCGCCAGGTGATCATCCCCGGTTGGCAACATTCTATGATGCGTATTGTCTCACATAGTTTCTGAGAGAAGTAAATTCTGTGTGTACAACCTCACTGGGAGAAGACAATGTGAAGCTCCACACTGGGAAACCTTCTGGTTCCCACCCCACATGCTTCTTGCTTTTCTGATTTTAATACATATCATGTCAAGGTAATAAACTGTAACTTTGAGTAAAACAGTTTTCATTGAATAATGTGAGTCAATCTAGCAAATTACTAAACCTGAGGGTGGTCTGGGGGAACATCAAATTTGCAGTTGTGCCAGAAGTAAGGACTCTTTGGGAGACACCTATACTTTGCAGATGGTTTGCAGATTATACACAGTAAAATTTTAGGTCAAAAAAGCAGCATTATTTACATTTTTTATTATATCTGGTTCTTGTGTTTTTATAAAGAGTTATTTTTGCGATGGCTGGAGATAGTATATAGAATTATGTAAACTTGACTATTAAAGAAAAGTTTTTCTGCTTTAATTTTAGTCTTTTTTTGATTAATCTATATGCCCAGAAAATTTTAAAGAAGGATTCTTGTACTAGTTTGCTGGGATTGCAAACAAAGTAACACAAACCGTGTGGCTTAAAACAACAGAGATTTACTGTCTCACAATTCAGGAGGCTAAAAATTCAAAATCTAGTTGTTAGTGGGGCTATGAACCTTGGAGCAAAAAATCTTTTCTTACACTTTCCTAGCTTCTGGTGATTTGCCAGAAGTCCTTGGCATTCCTTAGCGTGCAACTGCAGAACTTTAGTCTCTGCCTCTATCATCACATGACATTCTCCCCTCTGTGTCTGTGTCTAAATTTCCCTCTTATGAGGACTGCAGTCATGCTGAATATCAAGGGTCCACTCTACTCTATGATGATGATATCTTAGCTAATTATATCAGCTATGATGCCATTTCCAAGTGAGTTCACATTCTGAGATACTGGGGTTTAAACATGCATTTCGGGGGGACACAATTCAACCCATAACAGTTCTCATATTTACTTTACCTTTATCTATTCATAGGGCATTGTGATACATGGAGAGTTGTATGTGTTCTAATGGTGACATCTAGCCCAGCTATATTCAAAACTATGGCTATGGGGACTTAATGGAGTGCTCACGTTTGGCTGAATGTGAAGACTTTAAATTAGGCTATCACATTTCCCTCAGGCTCCAGTCTATGAAGCTATTAGGGTTTCATCACAAATCTAAGTTCCTGTAGAAAATCTCTATCTACTTTGGAGAGTAGTAGAGAATAAAAAGTAAGAATACTTGGTTGGAATCTTCTATTTTCTATCCTCCAGGTTCTGTTCCATTTCCAATGGAGCGAGCAGTTTAGGATGACATTGCATATACATTGTATGGTGAGAGGGCAGGGACTATGACTTTGTTCCTGGAACTGAGTAGTTACAAATTCAGCTCTGCACTGGATGGTGAGAACATAGTTACTATGGATATATTCATTGATAATAATTCTTCACTTATTTTTCAATCTTCTGAAATGATAACATCCTTTACTGGATCAGATGCATAGGATCAAAATAAGTAAAGTATGCATTTAGTTTTTGACCCCTTTTCATTAAGGATTATTGAGGGTGGCCATATAATTTTCTTGAACACTCTTGGGCAAACAAGATATTTGGTTATTATGGTACCCAATAACTGATTTGAAGATGAGGGTCATCTTTTAGTTATTTCTGAAACAAGCAGAGTGAAGGCAGATCCTCCATTCCAAATATAGTTACCTTAAATTTAGCAGTTTTGGATTAATTACTTGACCCTTTAATTAAACTTATTTATTTGATCCTCATATTGAAATGTATATCCCTTTTCCAGAATGCTCCTATATTCTTAATGATTTAGAGAAATGATAACTATAATTCTCTTAATTTTTTGTTCTAAACCCAAGTAAAAAGAGGAATAAAACTCAGATGAGTAGTAGAGCATCATCTGAAGCAACACTTGATGGATAGGTTTGGTTTAAATCTGAAACTAAAATAAACATTTGTATTCCTTTTTATTTGAATTAAATTGGTGTTGTCACACATTACTGCTTGTTTTACAAAAATCACCACTAGTAAGCCTTTTAGTTTTTGCAAGTAAGTAAAATATGTCAACAGCTTACATTTATGGAAAGTATTAATTCAATGAAATAATCTGAGTGCACATTACAAAGACTAAAGGATTAAAGGGTACACTTCTTATCATAAATTATTTGACTGTCTGTAGATCCTTTTGCCCATCATTGGGGAAATACAACAACTCTATAGCAGATTTGTTTTACTGTTATGGACTCAGTCTGTCCTAGGGCAAGATACTTCTCCTTAGCAATCTTAAATGAGCTTCCATTTAAACCATTAAGAAACAATTTAAGAACATCCTGGCATGAGCCTCCATTCACATTTAGGAAGAGACTATCGAAAAATATTGCTTTAGCCATGGGTTAGTCCAGCATGGAACAAGTCATTAAGCTGAGTAATTGACATTATTGGAACTATAAAAAACTGAAATTATCATGATTATACATCCTGAGTAAAGTTAAAAGTAAAAACAAATAAAATGTAATAATGTGAAGAAGATAACATCTCATGAAATTATAAACAAATTAGAAATGAGGGTGCAATAAGCAGAAAAAATGGTACTATCAAGATATACACAACTTAATTGAATATCATATGTTACATAACAAAGAGGAATTTGGGTAGCATGGAGAATGAAGGTTGCTAATTAGCTGACCTTAAATAAAGATATTATTCTTTATTAATGGCTATATGTAAAACAGAGAGGGAGAGGTGTGAGTGTCAGTGATGCAAAAGCCCAAAAGAAGGAAAAGGGCCATAAGTCAAGCAATATAAACAGCCTCTAGAAAATGGAAAGGCAAGAAAATGGATTCTCGAGCCTCCAGAAATAAATGCATCCAGGCCAATGAGACCCATTATGGACTTCTGAGCTCCAGAACTGTAAAAATAATAAATTTTTGTTATGTTATACCACTAAACTTGTGGTCCATATGATAGAGGAAGGAAAGCAGAAAAGGGAGAAAACAAATAAAAAATAGGATGAAATAGTAAATGTATAAAATATTTGGTAATGGAATTTCTAGAGAGAAATCACCAGAGATAAAAGATTCTTTGCTTTTCTTCTAAAGCTACCCCCACCCTGAGATTTTTCTCCTTTCAGTACATGCCACACCATCTACCAGATGTCCTGATGTATGAAAGTATGCATCAGTGTATCTATGAAAGTATGATCACAGGACCAGGGTGAAATTAAAATTGCTAATGAAGTTTCATGTCCCACTGGGCAAGCATTGTCATTGATAACATCTTTTCAGGAGACAGGGTTTGAGAGCAGACAACTGGTCTGACTAAAATTTACTAGGCAGGAATTTCCTCGTCCTAATAGGCCTGGGGGTGCTATGGGAGACTGGGGCTTATTTCATCCCTTATATACAACCATGTAAGACAGACATCCCCAGAGCAGCCATTTTGGAGACCCCCCCCCCCCCCCCCCCCCCCAAGGAAAGCATTCTCTTTCTCAGGGCTGTTCCTTGCTGAGAAAAATAATTCAACGATATTTCTCCTATTTGCTTTTGTAAGAAGAGAAATATGACTCTGTTCTGCCCAGCTCCCAGGCAGTCAGACCTAATGGTTATCTCCCTTGTTCCCTGAACATCGCTGTTATCCTGTTCTTTTTTCAACGTGCCCAGATTTCATATTGTTTAAGCACACATGCTTTAGGAACAATTTGTGAAGTTAACACAATCATCACAGGGTCCTGAGCCGACATACATCCTCAGCTTACGAAGATGATGGGATTAAGAGATTAAAGTAAAGACAGGCATAGGAAATCACAAGAGTATTGATTAGGGAAGTGATAAATGTCCACGAAATTTTCACAATTTATGTTCAGAAATTGTAGTAAAGACAGGCTTAAGAAATTATAAAAGTATTAATCTGGGAACTAATACATGTCCATGAAATCTTCACAATTTATGTTCTGTTACGGCTTCAGCAGATCCCTCTGTTCAGGGTCCCTGACTTCCCACAACAACCTAGAATGGTGAAGGGAAGACCTCACAAAAGAAATAAATTCTCATTTGAGATCTGAAAGATGACTTCCTATTATGTTGGGTATTTCATATGCCTATCATTTGCTCTAAAAATTATGTGAGTTGTTCATTTGGTAGAAATTGGAAAAAAAATCCACTTGAATGTGAGAAGTTTCTTTATGAAAGCTGGAAATCATTTGTCTTCTGAACTTGAAAAATTTTATTGGAAACATTTTGCAAATGTGATTTTATATACATGAAAGTCTTACAGAGTCATACTGAACTAAAACCAAAACCATGAAGATACTATGACTTGGTTTATCCAAGAAGAAATCACTTAAAATTCATATTTTTTAATTAAAAAATGCAAAGCATTATTTTCCTAATTTAATCATAAGCAATTGCAGTTAAGAAGCAATCTGCTATTGGTTAAATGGCAAGATACATAGAGAAGAGTTTACCTCATCCTTCTGAAACTTGAAAATAACAACTTAGTTCTTTTATCATGTATGTTTTAATAAAATTCATAAATGTAATATGTCACATTTTATAGCTTTTTCTACTATGATTTGTGTTTTAAGTTTAGTTTTATGTTTGGTTCTCTGAGGCAATATAACCCTGAGTACAACAGACTATTTGCCCAATAACCTATAGAGTAATACACATTTTTCACAATGGAAATGTCAGCAACAATTATGTTTTTCTGAACAGTACCTCCAGCACACTGACAGCACAGGCATGTGCCTGCTCTCAGGGACAAGAGGCCATTCCAACTCTGTTGTGTTCATTTTTCCTTCTTTTACACTGTTTTCTGAAACTAATGCTGATGAAAATAACTTGGGGAAATAAGAGAAAAAGTTAATTAGGTGAAAGGAAAGCAACGCATCAAAGTCTGCAGCCTTGAGCTAAAATGCAAAACAATATTATTGTTCTTACAAGAAATCCTTTCTTAGCTTTCAATATGTGAAAATTGTGGAGATTAATGATCCTTTAGTTGAAAGACTCCAGCAGAAAATATCCGTAAATCATTTGTTAGTTTCTAAGAAAATACCCCAAGAAACTTTCATTAGATGCTGTACTTCAGTAATATCATTTTTCTTTTTCTCCAAGCTTTTTATTTCTCAGTGTTGCTGGGCTTATAACCCATGAAGACATGTTAATTTCATTTATCTCCATTGTGGCTTCATTGTAGCACCAAGCTTTCTGTTTATCAGATTGCTCTGAATGGGGTTACCTGACCTACTGACATTCCCACAACCAGTTTGATACACTTAAAGATTGTATCTTTAGTTCTTTCATCTTGGTTGCAGACATAAAAATATACAAGATTAATTTCAAATGTGCTCCATCCTTTATAATATGTCCTTACTCATCTTTCTTTACTAAAACTGGGAATCATCTGTCTTCTAAACCTGAAAAATTTCATTAGGCAATTCATGTTTCACTTTAAAATTACTGCTAATATCCAGAATCTACAAATAACTTAAACAAATTTACAAGAAAAAAAAACAAACAACACCATCAAAAAGTGGGCAAAGGATATGAACAGACACTTCTCAAAAGAAGACATGCAGCCAACAAACACATGAAAAAAAGCTCATCATCACTGGTCACTAGAGAAATGCAAATCAAAACTACAATGAGCTACCATCTCACACCAGTTAAAATGGCAATCATTAAAAATCAGGAAACAACAGATGCTGGAGAGGATCTGGAGAAACAGGAATGCTCTTACACTGTTGGTGGGAGTGTAATTTAGTTCAACAATTGTGGAAGGCAGTGTGGTGATTCCTCAAGGATCTAGAATGAGAAATACCATTTGACCCAGTAATCCCATTACTGGGTGTATACCCAAAGGATTATAAATCATTCTGCTATAAAGACACATGCACACATATGTTTATTGTGGCACTGTTCACAATAGCAAAGACTTGGAACCAATCCAAATGCCCATCAGTGATAGATTGGATAAAGAAAATGTGGCACATGTACTCCATGGAGTGCAGCCATAAAAAGTGATGAGTTCATGTCCTTTGCAGGGACATGGATGAAGCTGGAAACCTTCATTCTCAGCAAACTAACGCAAGAACAGAAAGCCAAACACCACATCTTCTCACTCATAAGCGGTAATTGAACAATGAGAACACATGGACACAGGGAGAGGAACATCACACACCAGGGCCTGTTGTGGGTTAGAGACTAGGGGAGGGATAGCATTAGGAGAAATACCTAATGTAGATGATGGGTTGATGGGTGCAGCAAACAACCATGGGACATGTATACCTATGTAACAAACCTGCACGTTCTGCACATGTATGCCAGAACTTAAAGTATAATAACAAAGTCAATTAAAAATAAATATTTTTATCTGTCAATTAAAAATAAATAAATATCTGTCAAAAAATTACTGCCTTTTTTCTCTACATCAGTTTTCTACTCTGTTATTTTGTTAATTTCTTTGAGAGAAACATGAATTATAAAATTTGATGGCATTTTTGGATATTCAACATGGATTTCAAATAGTATTGGTTTTCAGTGGTTAAGTATTAAATAGTGACTATGTTATGGGACGAAGTTAGAAAGCAATAAGCACATAGAGAAACCCTATAAAGTGAATGTCAACACCATGGATAAAAACCTCGCCATATTCGTTTAGGGGATGAAAACTGTTGGAATTATCTTTTAATTTAAAAAAATGGGAGAAGAAACTCTATAATAGGAATGTGTTTTAAAAATAGATAAGCAAACTACAAGGAAGGAGTTCAAAGTTAATAACTTCTGCTTAGAGAAAACTTTTCATTGAGTGGGAAGTCTGTGTTCCAATAAAGATAATTTTATGTGTTTATTTACTAAAAGCTACAAAAATTAGTATTTTGGAATTAAAAAGTATTTGTTGTGCGTTCCTAAACTCATGTTAGTAAAGCCATGTTCAGTTACTAAAAAAATTTACTGAAAAAGTTACTAAAAATATATTTATGCAACTGTTTCCGTTACTAAAACACACACACACACACACACACACACACACACACACACAAAGACACAACCTCTGAATAATAGAGTAAAATGTTATGAGTCAAATTATTTCTTTTCTCACTAATCAAAACATGAAATTACACTTAATAGGAATATGGTGGTTCTCTAAAATTTGGTTTAGCACACTCTATGTGTGCTAAAATTCAAGAAAAATGTTGATTATTCTGTAAAGTTTCTGGTGTCACACAAATGGTTAGTATATTTTAAATGTACTTAACATAAAAATACATTATATTGTTTTACAAATTTTTAAGCAAAGAGACTTTAAATTTGTTAATGCATCGTATAGATTTGCACTTTGATAAAAGGAATGCAAAATAATTAATATAAAAATCTCTATATTATATATTTTCTTTGAACATTACTTTTTGTACATACAGTTGATACTTGAACGATGAGGGAATTGGGGTGCCAATCCACCACAAAATCAAAATTCCATATAGGACTTATTTATTTATTTGTGTATTTATTTAGTAGAGACAGGGTCTCACTCCATCCAAGATGGAGTTCAGTGATGTGATCATAGCTCACTGTGGCCTCAAACTCCTGGACTCAAGTGATCTTTCTTCCTCAGACTCCTGAGTAGCTGGGACTATAGGCACACACCACCATGCCTGGCGAATTTCTTTATTTTCTGTAGAGATAGACTCTTACTATATTGCCCAGTCTGGGCTTGAACTCCTGGTCTCAAGTGATCCTGTTGCCTTGGCCTCCAAAGGGGCTAGAACTGTAGGTGTGAGTCACTGTGCCCAGCCCACAAATTACTTTTGATTCCCCCAAACATTAATTACTAATAGCCCAATCTTGACAGGAAGCCTTAGTGATAACATGATCAATTAACACATATTTTGTTTGCTGTATGTATTATATACTATATTCTTACGATGAAGCTACAGAAAAAAATGTTATTAAGAAAATCATAAGGAAGAAAAAATATATTTACTATTCCTCAAGTGGAAATGGGTCATCATAAAACTTTTTATCCTCTTCATCTTCACATTGAGTAGGCTGAAGGTGGGGGGTGCTCTTGCTGTCTCAGGGGTGTCAGAGGCTAAAGGGGAGAAGGAGGTGGAAGGGGAGGCAGGTGAAGCAGGCACACTTGGTGTAACTTTAGAGAAATACCTTGTAATTTCTGTTGGACTTTTTTTTAACTTTTTAATTTCTCTAAAAATGTTTCTATATGATACCAATTCTTTTTTCACCGTTTACTTTAGTTTCAATGCCCATATTATAGAAGCATCCATGTCTTAAGAGTAGTCAAAAGCAGTCTAGACTAATAGGCACCCTTCTTTGAGATTATCTAATGTGAATTTGTTTTCTGACATTTTTTTTTTTTTCTGTATCTTCTTCCTGATTGTCTGGCACTGGTTTTGAAGCACTTACCTCTCTCAAGTCATCGTCTATTAATACCTCTGGTGTGGTATTAGGCAGTTCTAGTGTTGCTATTAAAAAATACCTGAGGCTGGCAGGGTGTGGTGGCTCACGCCTATAATCCCAGCACTTTGGGAGGCTGAGGCAGTTGGATCACGAGCTCAGGAGATTAAGACCATCCTGGCTAACACAGTGAAACCCCGTCCCTACTAAAAAAAATACAAAAAATTAGCCGGGCATGGTGGCAGGCACCTGTAGTCCCAGCTACTCAGGAGGCTGAGGCAGGAGAATGGCGTGAACCTGGGAGGCAGAGCTTGCACTGAGCCGAGATAGCATCACTGCACTCCAGCCTGGTCGACAGAGTGAGACTCTGTCTCAAAAAAAAAAAAAATACCTGAGGCTGAGTAATTTTTAAAGAAAATGGGTTTAATTGGTTCATGGTTCTGCAGGCTGTACAGGAATCAAGGTGTTGGCATCTGCTCAGCTTCCAGTGAGGTCTCGGGAAACCTACAATCATGGCAGAAGGCAAAGGGGAAGCCAGGGTATCATGTGGTGACAGCAGTAGCAAAAGAGAGAATGGGGAGGTGCCAAACACTTTTCAGCAGTCAGATTTCATGTGAACTCAGAGAAAGAATTCACTTATCACCAAGAGGATGGCACTAAGCCAATCAAGAGGGATCTTTCCCATGATCCAATCACCTTCCACCAGGCTCCACCTCGATTATTAGGGATTACATTTTATCAGAGGTATGGAGGGAATAAATACCCAAACTATATCATCCTGCTTCTGCCCCACCAAATATCACGTTCTTTTCACCTTGCAAATACAATCATCCCTTCTCAATCATCCTCCAAAGCCTTAACTCATTCCAGCATCAAGTCCAAAGTCCTAATGTGTCCAAAATTGGTGGGTTCTTGGTCTCACTAACTTCAAGAATGAAGCTGCAGACCCTCAGGGTGAGTGCTACAGCACATAAGGCGGCACGTCTGGAGTTGTTTGTTCCTCCTGTCCGGAGCTGTTCATTGCTCCCAGTGGGTTCGTGGTCTCGCTGGCCTCAGGAGTGAAGCTGCAGACCTTCGCAGTAAGTGTTACAGCTCATAAAAGCAGTGCAGACCCAAAGAGTGAGAAGCAGCAAGATTTATTGCAAAGAGCAAAAGAACAAAGCTTCCACAACGTGGAAGGGGACCCATGGGTTGCTGCTGCTGGCTGGGACAGCCTGCTTTTATTCTCTTATCTGGCCCCACCCACATCCTGCTGATTGGCCCATTTTACAGAGAGCTGATTGGTCCATTTTACAGAGAGCTGATTGGTTCGTTTTGACAGGGTGCTGACTGGTGCGTTTACAATCCCTGAGCTAGCCACAGAGTGCTGATTGGTGTATTTACAAACTTCTAGCTAGATGTAAAAATTCTCCAAGTCCCCACTAGATTAACTAGACACAGAGCACTGATTGGTGCATTTACAAACCTTGAGCTAGACACAGAGTGCTGATTGGTGCGTTTATAAACCTTGAGCTAGACACAGAGTGCTGATTGGTGTATTTACAATCCTTTAGCTAGACATAAAAGTTCTCCAAGACCCCACCAGATTAGCTAGATACAGAGTGCTGATTGGTGCATCCACAAACCCTGAGCTAGACACACAGTGCTGATTGTTGCATATGTAATCCTCTGGCTAGACATAAAAGTTCTCCAAGTCCCCACCCAACTCAGGAGCCCAGCTGGCTTTGCCTAGTGGATCCTGCACCAGGGCTGCGGGCGGAGCTGCCCACCAGCCCCGCACTGCATGCTCGCACTCCTTAGCCCTTGGACAGTCAATGGGACCGGGCGCTGTGGAGCAGGGGCAGCGCCCTGCTGGGGAGGTTCAGGCTGCGTGGGAGCCTACCAGGGAGGGGGGATGGTGTGGGCATGGTGGGCTGCAGGTCCCGAGCCCTGCCCCATGGGGAGGTAGTTGAGGCCTGGCAAGAATTCCAGTGTGACGTGGGCAGGCCAGCAGTACTGGGGGACCTGGCGCATCCTCCGCAGCTGCTGGCCTGGCTGCTAAGCCCCTCACTGCCCAGGGCTGGTGGTGCCGGCCGGCTGCTCTAAGTGCGGGGCCCACTGAGCCCGCACCCACCCGGAACTCACACTGGCCTGCAAGCGCTGCGTGCAGCCCTGGTCCTGCCTATGCCTCTGCCCGCCACACCTCCCCGCAAGCAGAGGGAGCTGGCTCCAGCCTCGGCCAGCCCAGAGAGGGGCTCCCACAGTGCAGTGGCGACCTGAAGGGCTCCTCAAGAGCAGTCAGAGTGGGTGCCAAGGCCGAGGAGGCACCGAGAGCGAGCGAGGGCTGCTAACATGTTGTCATCACTCACTAAGTCCCATCTGAGACTCATCTCCTTCCACCTATGAGCCTGGAAATAAAAACAAGTTATTTACTTCCAATATACAATGATGGTACAGGCATTGGGTAAATATTTTTATTCCAAAAGGGATAAATTGGCCAAAAGAAAGGATCAATAGCCCCCACACAAGTCTGAAAGTTGGAAGGCAGTCACTAAATCTCAATGCTCCAAAATGATATCCTTTGTCTCTATGTTCCACATCCAAGACACACTGATGTGAGAGGTGGACTCCCAAGGCCTTGGCAGCTCCATCCTTGCGCATTTGTTGGCTACAGCTTTTCCAGGCTGAGGAGGCAACCTGCCACTGTCTCTACCACTCTTGAGTCTGGAGGGCAGTGGCCCCCTTCCCTAGTGGGCAATCTGTGTGGGGGCTCCAATTCCACATTTTCTATTGGCATTGCCCTTGTACAATTTCTCTGTGGCAGGCTTTTACCTGGGAAGCAAGGCTTTCCCATATATCCTTGGAAATCTAGGTGGTAACTTCCAAACTTCCTTCACTCTTGCATTCTCTGTGCCTACAGGCTTAACACCACAATGAAGCTGCCAGTGCTATGGAATCTTGCACTCTCCAAAGTGGCAGTCTGAGCTATACCTGGGGCCTTTTGAGTCACAACTGGAGCCAAGCAGTCAAGTTGTGAGGAGTAATGTCTATGAGGTGGCACAATGCATTGGCACCCCAGACCTGACTCCCCAAACTATTTTTCATTTCCTGCTAGGCCTCTGTGCCTGTGATGAGAAGGGCTGTCTTCAAGATTTCTGAACTGCCTTTGGGGCCTTTTTAAAAATTGTCTTGGAAAATACCACTTGGTTCCCTTTTAATCATGCTAATCTCTTTAGCAAGTTGTTGTTCCATAGTCTACTTGAATTCCTCACCCGAAAATGCTTTTTCTTTCTTTGCCACATTGCCAGTCTCCAAAATTTTCAAACTTTTATTCTCTGCTTCCCTTTTAAATACAAGTTCCAACTTTAAGTCATTTCTGTGTACTCATATCTGACTATAGGTTGTTTGAAGCAGCCATGCCACATCTTTTTTTTTTTTTTTTTTTTTTTTTCCGATGGAGTTTTTCTCTTGTTGCCCAGGCTGAGTGCAATGGCACAATCTCGGCTCACCACAACGTCTGCCTCCCAGGTTCAAGCGATTCTCCTGCCTCAGCCTCCCGAGTAGCTGGGATTACAGGCATGCACTACCACGCCCAGCTAATTTTTTGTATTTTTAGTAGAGACGGGTTTTCTCCATGTTGGTCAGGCTGGTCTCAAATTCCCGACCTCAGGTGATCTGCCCACCTTAGTCTCCCAAAGTGCTGGGATTACAGGCATGAGCCACTGCTCCCTGCCAGCCATGCCACATCTTGAACACTTTGCTGCTTTGAATTTTTTTTCCACCTGATACCCTAAGTCATCATTCTTAATTCCAAACTTCCACAGATACCTAGAACATGAATACAATGCAGCCAAGTTCTTTGATAGGGCATAACACTGGTAATTTAATTGCTTTTGTTACAAATAATTTGTTCATTTCCATCTGAGACCTCATCAGCCTGACCTTCACTTTCCATATCTCTATCAGCATTTTGGTCACAATCAGGTAGACAGTCTCTATGAAGTTCCAAACTTCCCCTCATCTTCCTGTCTTCTTCTGAGCTCTCCAAACTCTTCCAACCTCTACCCGTTACCCATTTGCAAAGGCACTTCCACATCTTCACGTATATTTATAGCAATGCTCTACTCTTCAGCATCAGTTTTCTATATTAGGTTGTTACTGAAGATATAAAGACGTACCTGAGACTGGGTAATTTATAACATAAAGAGGTTTATTTGGCTCATGGTTCTGCAGGCTGTACAGGAAGCATGGTGCTGGTATCTGCTTGGCGTCTGGTGAGGCATCTGGCAGCTTAAAATCATGATGGAAGGCAAAAGGGGAGTTGGCATCTCACATGGTGAGAACAGGAGCAAGAGAAAGAGGAAGGAGGTGCCATACACTTTTAAACAACCAGATCTCATGTGAACTCAGAGCAATAAATCACTCATAACCAAGAGGATTGTGTAAAGTCACTCATGATAGACCTGCCCCCATTATCCAATTGCCTTCCACACGGTCCTACTTCCAACATTGGTGATTGCATTCATTATGAGATTTAGAGGTGACAAATGTTCAAACCATATCAAGTATCTATTATTACTTTGAATTCCTCCAAGTTCCATATGTTGAAAACCTTGACCCCCACCTTTTTTGCCAGTCCAGAGTGTCTTTCATGATCTCTATGATTGGCTCTGTCATAAATCCTGTGAAGTTATGTACAACATCTGGGCTTATTTGCTCCAGCAGGAATTTCATGTCTCAGGTTTGATAGCTCTCAAGGCTTTTTCTATAACAGTCATTGCATCTTCAATGGTGCAATCCTTCCAGACTTTCATGGTGTTCTCTCTGTTGGGCTTGTTTTCTGTAGCATTATTTCCATAGAGTACTAGGTTTAATGAACCTTAAGGTCCTGATGATCTTCGGATATAGAGACTGAATTACAGACATTGTTTTTGGGGCAAATAGACCATTTTGACACCTTTGATGTTGAACTCTGCATGGCCAGAAGTACTGCCCAATATCAAAATAACTCTACAACTAAGTACATTACTGGTAAGGTGCTTCCTAATTTCAGGGACAAAGCATAGATGGAACCAATCCAGAAGAAAATGGTTCTTGATATACAAACCTTCCTCTTGTACGATCAAAAAACAGACAGCTGGAGTTTATATTTTCCCCTCAACACTCAAAAATGAGCAGCTTTGTAGATAAGGGTAGTCCTGATCAGAAATCCTACTGCATTTGCACAAAGCTATAGAATTAGCCTATCCCTTCCTGGTGCTTCCTTCTCTTCCTTATTAATAAATATCGTTTTTGACTTTTTTTTTTTTTCAGAATAGAGCACTTTTGTCTACATTAAAAACTCATTCAGGCTATACATTCTCCTCAATGATTTTCTTTTTCTTTCTTTCTTTTTTTTTTTTTTTTTTGACAGAGTCTTGGTCTGTTGCCCAGGCTGAAGTGCAATGGCGCCATCTTGGCTCACTGCAAGCTCTGCCTCCTGGGTTCAAGGGATTCTCCTGCCTCAGCCTCCTGAGTACTGTGATTACAGGCATGCGTCACCATACCCGGCTTTTTTTTGTTGGTTTTTTTTTTTTGTATTATTAGTAGAGATTGGGTATCACTATGTTGGTCAGGCTGGTCTCAAAATCCTGACCTCAGGTGATCCTCCCTCCTTGGCCTCCCAAACTGCTGGGATTACATGGGATTACATGTGTGAGCCACCATGTCCAACCCTCAATGATTTCTTCTTTTTTTTTTTTTTTGAGATGGAGTCTTGCTCCGTCGCACAGGCTGGGGTGCAGTGACATGATCTCGGCTCACTGCAAGCTCCAGCTCCCGGGTTCATGCCATTCTCCTGCCTCAGTCTCTGGAGTAGCTGGGACTACAGGCGCCTGCCACCATGCCCGGCTAATTTTTTGTATTTTTATTAGAGATGGGGTTTCACTGTGTTAGCCATGGTGGTCTCGATCTCCTGACCTCATGATCTGCCTGCCTTGGCCTCCCAAAGTGCTGGGATTACAGGCGTGAGCTACCGCTCCTGGCCCACTCAATGATTTTCTTAATGGTGTCTGGAAACTGAACTTGTCTTCCTTGGTCAGCAGAAGCTGCTTCTCCTGTTATTTTGACACTTTTTTAAGCCAAACCTCATTCTAAAATTATCAAATCTCCCTTTTTTGGAAGTTTTAGATCTTTCACCTTCCCATATCTTTAAGTTGTCATATAATTACTTTACTTTTTCTCAAATCATATCAGAGTCAATAGCTATGCCTTTCTTGTAGCAATACTGCAACCACATAAAATCTGCATTTTTAATACAAAAAAAGGTATTTTTGCAAAAATTACGAAGTTTTCTTGCCTGCTGGCATAAGCTTGCCTGCTGGTATCAATGACTTCACAAATTTTATTTATCTTGAATTAGTGGACAACCTCAGCTGCAAACTTCAAGCAATTCAACTTCCTCTTATAATGTCATGATGTTTCTCTGTCTCTGCTTTTTCCTTTTTTCTCTTTTTTTTTTTTTTTTGAGACTGAGTCACACACTGTCATCCAGGCTGGAGTGCAGTGGCGTTATCTCAGCTCACTGCGACCTCCGCCTCCTGGGTTCAAGCGATGCTGTTGCCTCAACCTCTGAGTATTTGGGATTGCAGGAATGCATTATCATGCCCAGCTAATATTTGTATTTTTAGTAGAGACGGGCTTTCACCATGTTGGCCAGGCTGGTCTTGAATTCCTGACCTCGGGTGATCCACCCGCCTCGGCCTCTCAAAGTGCTGGGATTACAGGCATGAGACACCATGACAGACCCATTTCTCTGCTTTTTGGAAACACTTCCAGCATCACTAGTCGCAGTGTATGTGGCTCACACAGTGTTACTCAAGGTTTATGATATTGCACGAAACATGATAAAAATACTCAAGAACTCCAAGAGATCATTTTTAATGCAATATGCAATTTACTGGAGAGATAAACTGCTAACTGGTAGATGATTAGCGTCGTAAGATGTTTTAATCAGAAACACGCAAGACTTGAGCTCACCACAACAGCAACAGGAGGTGACTATGAAATTATTACAATCATGAAGTATGTACTACAGTTAATTTTTTGCAACTATGATTTAACATTGCATCCTTACATTTGTTTACATTTTCCTCATCTGCAAATGGCAGCACGTATGGTCGATAAATTTTTTGTGCATATGTTTTGATAAATGTTAATGTTTTATAATAGACACATATACAGCTTATATGGTATCTTTTATGGTAGTAAATAATAAAATAGATTATTATCTACATATATCTCATGTACATATATCTACATATAACTCATAACTTTTTTGATTTGATTTTTTGATTTTTTATTTGATTTTTAAAATATTTCCAGTCTATGTGATTCATCGTGAAATTTTAAATTTTGAATTTCACATAGGTTAAAAATATTTTCCAATATATTTATTGTAAAAAATTTGCATATAAGTGTACCCATGCAGGTCAAACCAATGTCATTCAACAGTCAACTGTATATGACAACTTTGTTTATTTCTGCTAGTAATTTATACTGCTCAATATATGCAAATTTCTTAGCATAATATTTGCCACAAAATAACTTATGTGCTATTAAATTTATCGATTAATCTGCAATTATTATATATATACTTATATACCTATATACACTAGATTTTGCTTCTGTAGGTTTAAAATGGACATATCAAGTTCCTTCAAGGGAGGGGCTCTCTCTATCTTTCTCATTGTTGTAACCCAGTATCTAGCAAAACAGCTTGCATATGGAAGACACTTTTTATGTAGGGAAAGATTGATAAGAATAATACAAATAAGTGAGATAATGTACTTCTGATAAAATATGAGCAATGACAGAAATAACAACTATTGAATTCTGATTCTACGTCTTATAAACACACAGGGCAGAAATATCATTATATAATGAGAATAACACCTTAAATTTTCTTTTCAGCTCAAAATAAAATTAGAAATAAATAGAGGGTTGTACATCATCTCTATGGTTCATTTACTTTTTAAATTTTATGACCTTATAGTTGTTGTAGCATGTCAATATTTCAATAAATCTAGCAAAACACCTTGTAGAATACTCTACTCATAGTTAAAATAGGGTAGGAAAAAACTCTTTTTATAATTGAAGAGTTGAACTTCCAAACTGTTTTATGTATGCTAGTATGTGTATGAAGAGAAATCATTACAATGGTTTGCATAAGACATTAAAGCCTACATGGAACACTACAATTCCACTTTCAATCTTAAAATGTTCACAATAACCCAAACAAATGATTGAAATAGCATATATTCTTTTATATTAAATCCATACTGAATCAAGTCTTTAATTATTTTAAATAAACATTTTAGTTATTTGCCATTAGCCTCACTATACTTCCTGAAGATAAACGGATGCTAGAAAGTGGTTGAAATCATTTTACTCATGAACTTAAGGAACTATAAGCCTCTTATATCCACATTATATTGTTTATCATCATAAAACCTTCTGAGTATTTAAGGAAAATGTCTACCTGTTAGTCATGTTTGTTTCATGATATACACACTTCGGTTTTATTGCCCTATTTTGGCAGTTGGCTTGCTATAAGGCATAACACAGCAAAATCAGAATTCTGTATCTCATCTCTGCTGGGTTCTTGTCTAACACAAAATGGAACATTAAGCCAAAAGGGAAATTTAGCACAAGTCTAGATTTATTACAGCTGGACTTTGATATAATGTGGATTCCAGAGAAATGAGTGCAGTTAGTTCAAGCATGCTGAAATGTCCAAAGCTATCTCTTATTCGGAATAGAAGAAGATAGATAAAGAAGGTCATTATGAAGATGGACTTTTCTATTTAATACATATTTCTTAAGGAATACATTTTTTCCCCCTCAGGAAAGCTTATGACTTGAGGCAGAAAGATACCTGCCGTAGTCTCTGCAATTAAACTACTGCTGTTTCTCTTCCAGAGAACTAATTCACCTCTTGACAAGGGCCAGGGATTAAGTTTAAAAGGCTAGGTTGAAAGTTCAACTAATTTATTGCTACTACTTCCAAAGAAGAAGGTGTGAAATAAATGGTAAAGTTATCAAACTTTGAAAGCTAACTATGAGCAAAGAACTGTTAAGAATTCATAGATGAATAAGGCGTAGCTTTTTCCTTCCAGTAGGTGCGTTCTGGTGAAGGAAACAAACCCTTTCAGCACAGTTTGGGACTAAAGTGGCAAACTCTACTGGTTTGGTAAAGGCAATGGGCTAAGAAAGTCCAAGGATCATAAGATTAGTTTTGACTATATGCTTGGGAAATCTGTGGGAAATGGGGATTAAAATTGACCTTAAAGGGTGGGTGCAAGGGGACTTTCCTGGGACTTTCAAGGAGAGGAAATTCAAGGCTAAGAATCACGGATAATGCTGAAAAAATTAGAAAAAGTCTCCTTATTTTAAATTGTAAGGATTCAGAATTTCATACCTGGAAACTATGTTGGAGTTAATTTATTTTTTGGGTCTTCAAATCACATTTCTTGTTACCCTAAAAGTAGAAGTATCTATAGGAGATGGAAACAAAGGGTAGCATATTTTTCTTAAAAAAATTAAATTTTGGTGCCAGTAGTCATTTCTAACTGTTCAATTTTACCAAACATGAAATGACTTCTTGGAAGAGGGATGTAATATCCATTTTGTCAGAAATCATTCTGCATGGAAGACACTGAAAAGTCTTTATTTGTATACAGCAAACTTTACCTTACCTTACTTCTACCACATCTTTATATAAAGAAGACTGAATCAATCTATCCAAATTAAAAAAAAATAGCATCCAAGTTTTGACAGTATCAGATCATAATTTTTCTTTTTATTTAACAAATTTTTAAACGTGATTAACGAGCCTCTGCTATATGCTAGGCAGTGTTTCTATGCATGAGAAATGCAGAAGGAAACAAAGCATAGTCCTGTTTATGTGAAGTGTGGATTCCAGCAGCTGGAGCAAGAGAGTGAATGAGAAAAGAGATGTTGACCAGAGAGTACAGGGTTTCAGTTAGGAGAAATAAGCTGTAGTAATCTATTACACAGAATAGTGACTATCATAAAGAATAATGCATTGCATATATCAAAATTGCTAAAATATTAGATTTTAAATGTTTTCTACACACAAAAAAGATAAGTATGTGAGGTGATGAATTTATTAATTAGTATGATTCAATAATTCCACAGTGTAGCAGGGCATGATGTTATGCTCTTGTAGTCCCAGCTACTCTGGAGGCTGAGGCAGGAGGATCACTTGAGGCCAGGAGTTTGAGGTTGTAGTGGGTGATGGTGATGCTTGTGAATAGTCACTGCTCTACAGGCTAGACAATACAGCAAGACCCTGTTTCTAAAATAAATACCTTAAAGATAAAAATAATCATTCTACATTGTAAACAAACATCAAAATATTACATTATACCCCGCAATACATATAATTGTTTGTCAAGTAACATGATATTAAATAATAACAAAATAAAATATGGTTTACAGTGAAATAATTTTTAACAGCTTATTATTCATAACGTGTACATTATTATTAACATAATCTCGTTGTTTTCAATGGAACAGCCTTACTCAGTTTGTAGTTGAGAGCAGAAAAATCATTAGGAATGTGGGCTCGGGTAGTAAAATGTCAGTATTTAATCTAGCCTTTATTCCTTATTGTGTGAATATCCATATGTAAATTACTTAACCTCTCCGTGCCTCATTTTCTTTATTTGTAAAGTTACATAACTATGATGTTGAGTTCATAGGGCTGTTCTGAGGTTTAAATGAGATAATACATGAAAAACATTTTCGAACACCATGTGGTATATAGCCAGGATTTATGATCATTTTGTTATTCTCTTTTTAAAATTTGTTTTAGTTGCTGTTCCTCCCACAGTCATAGTCCTTTTCTGGTCTTTTATTTTTAACTTCTTTATTAAAATATAATTGACATTCAAAACAGGTATATATTTAAAGTATACCATTTGAAAAGTTCTGAGATAGAGCTATATCCTTGAAATCTTCCATCACAATCAAGATGATGAACATTTTCTATCACCTTGAACAGTTTTATCACATTCCTCTGTAATACCATTTTCCTCCTCCCTACCTGTTCCTAGGTAACCACTGGAGACTACACTTCCATTTTCTAGAATTTAATGTAAATAAATCACAGGGTTTTTTTTTTCTGACTTCTGCTCAGCATAATTATGTTGAGGTTCATTCACATTGTTGCATGTATCAGAGTTTTAAACAATCAGATCTCATGAGAACGCTGTCATGAGACAACACTAGCAGAATGGTGATAAACCATTAGAAACCACCCCATGATCCAATCACCTCCCACCAGGCCCCACCTCCAACACGTGGAATCGGAATCACAATTCACTATGAGATTTGGGTGGGGACACAAAGCCAAACCATATCACTCCACATCTTCACTAACAATTGATGTTGTTAGGGTTCTGATTTCTTGCCATTCTAATAGGTATGTAGCGGCTTCCCACTGTGGTTTTACTTTGCATTTTCCTGATGATATATGATATGGAGCATATTTTCACATGCTTATTTGCTATGTGTATATCTTCTTTGGTGAGGTGTCTGTTAAAGTCTTTGGCTATTTTTTAATCATTTTTTTATTGTTGAGTTTTAAGAGTTCTTTGTATATTTTGAATAATTCCTTTATCAGATGTGTCTCTTGTGTATATTTTCTCCCGGACTGTGGTTTGTCTTCTTGGTCTCTTGATGTTGTCTTTTGCAGAACAGAAGTTTTTAATTTTAATGAAGTCCAGCTTATCAATTATTTCTTTCATAAATTGTGCCATTGGTATTGTAATTAGAAAGCCATGACTATACTCAAGTTCATCTAGGATTTCTCTTATGTTATCTTTTAACAGTTTTATAGTTTTGCATTTTGTATTTATGTCTGTAATTCATTTTCAGTTAATTTTTGAGGAATGTAAGATATATTCAAGATTTTTTTTGAATGTGGGTGTTTAATTATTCCCTCATTATTTATTGAGAAGACTAACTTTGCATTGCCTTTGCTTCTTTGTCAAAGATCAGCTGGTTTTATGTATGTAGATCTATTTCTAGGCTCTCTACGCTGTCCCATTGATCTATTGGTCTTTTTTTTTTTTTTTTTTTTTTTTTTTTTTTTTTTTTTACTAATACCACACTGTCATTATCACTGTAGCTTTATCATAAGTCTTGAAGTCAGGTAGTGTCAGTTCTCCAACTTTGTTCTTCTCCTTCAATACTGTGTTAGATATTTTTGGTCTTTTGCTGCTTGCTTTTTAAAGTCTGGAATGGTTATGCCATGAACAGTCACTGAATACAGGTCAACAAATTGCAGACAACAGTTTGGGAAACTCTGGATAGGAATGCAGTATAATAAAACTTTTGTTTATTTTAAGAGTGTTTTTTAGCTAAAATTAATTGATTTGATGTTTCTATTCTGTTATCATATTTCTGAAAACTGATAAGCAGCAAAAACTTAGGTGAGTCGAGCTCATTATTTAAATAAATATTGATAACTTTCAGGACCATTTCTGTCTCTATTAAACATATATATTTTTGGCATATTTTACATTTAGAATGCACAGCAATATAATAAGCTTGATTATGTTGTGCTAGCAAACAAACCCATAATCTCAATAGAAATATATTTTTCTATCATACTGCATCATCACTGCCTGTCTTTTAGGACTCATCCCTATATTGTTTGTACCCTGGGATTAGGTTGTCTGCCTGAAATATTGTCAGCTTTTATTGAAAAAGTAAAAAGAGACAGCATGGTGAGTCATGCACTGACTCTTAAGGTTTTACCCAAAGGAATAAATATTTCTTCTACTCATGTTTAATTGACTAATTCACATGGCCACCCTTAATTCTAAGGGTCAGTGAAGGGAGACCCCATCATGCACCCATAAGGAAAATTGGAAGTATTTAGTAAGTTGTACTAATATCTACCTGTCTTTAAGAAAAAAAAAACACTAAAATTTCGGATTTGACAATGATATATACACTGCAAAAGTAGACATATGTAATTAATGCAGTAATAGACTTAAGAGCAACTGGAATAATAGAAAAGTTGTTTTGAGTAGGATTGTTTCAGAAGGTTCCATGGATGTAGTATTTGAGCTGGACCTGCAAAAGCAGGAAGTAGCCACAAAGGTATATGAGCCACCTACCCATGTTAAATAGAGTGGACAGTCATCATAACGTGAAGGGTAGACTAGAGAATAGCGAGAATGGATGGAACGATCTTTGAAAATCCAAATGATAACAGTCAAAATGAAGGACAATGGCATAAAGAGGAAGGGTAACATGCAAGATTGCCTGAATTTGGTCAATAGTAGGAGTGAAAGTAAGAAGAAAGAATTTCATTGACAAATTTGTGGTTGTAGCTTGAAAGATTCTTCAGAAATAGAATTATATGCAACCCTAGTTCAGTGGCGTGGTAATTCTCATCCTATAGAAACATTACTCATGATCAAATAACATTGGAAAATATTGCACCTAAACATTTCTCTGTATAATTACCACATAAATATTTGCCCATTAAGATTATGGGAATTCCTACAATGAACATATTTAAGTAGAGTTCCCAACTTGATAATATTGTTTTGTAAACAATATCTGTTTATCATCCTACACACAATAAAAACAAAGCTTAGATGTTATGAATTAAGTACAAGGTAGATTGCCTACTATATGACTAGGAATGTTTTGCTTAATTGCTTATACAAATGAAGTATCAACTGCCAAGGGGGAAAGATGAATACAAAATATATGCCAAATATGTGCCAGAGTCTTTATTAATTCATAAGTCACTTCAGGATATTGAAAAGTTTCAGGGTTCTCATTATGTGCTATGATCCTAAAACTGGAAGAGTCAAGAAATTATTTTCAATCTGTATTAATCTTATTTCTTATCTTGGAAACAAGCTGTGAAAAATAGGCTTCTAAATTCAGCCTACTTCCTTGTCAGTTTTGTTTACTTGAAAGAACATGAACAAAAGATGAGTAGTGTGGATTTTAACATCTTAAAAAAATACATAAATCTAGATATATATTAGCTCTATAATCAGCACAAATAACTTTGGGTCTTTCTAATTAAATCATTTTTCTTCCTCACTCTTCTAATATTTGTATTGTTATAATTGATGTTATTCTTTTCTAGAGAGATTTGAGAGTGACATAATGAATTCTGTTTTTAACTGGGAAGATTTCAGTTATCTGAAGCAATAATCGTATTTATTTTAATTACCAAAATTAACAAAAAACTCAAGCTTCTTTACTGATATAGAGTCTGGCATATATTAAGCGATCTGAGTTGAATAACTAATTAATTTTTCCCACAAAAGAGTATTCTCAGGTGTTCAAGTATAAAGGACAGTCTTATTTTCAGATCCATGTTGTGCTATGTCATAAAAGGTAAATCTACATTAATGAAAATACAATCTATTATCGATGACATGTATATATATTTGGCATATGTATAAATATGCATGCCTATGCCTTATTTTTCAAAATGGGGTTATATGTGATGTACAAATTTATGGTTAACTTATTTATGGAAAGTTGAATTTATCATAAATTTGGGAGAAAATAATTAGCAAATCCAACTACAATTACATTGTTATCTCATTATTTAAAAATATATGTATAATTATAATGTGTCAATTAATAATGAAATAAACCTTTAACATTTTTCAATAACATTTGTTTCATCATAAATAACTTCTATAAAAATGTCAGTGGATCTTCATCAGTTACTATCTTGCATTTATTAGCTGATATTTAATATGACTCAACCTTTGTCCAATAATTCCTTGTTGTTATGAACTGAGTATTTATGCTTTCATATTCTATTAGATATACTTTACTGGCAATAATAATTTTTATATTAGCAATGCAGCAGATACACACATCCTTCTACTCATTGTCTTCCCTTTCACTCACTCCTCTATCAGCATATGTGTTTTATTTTTTCCTTTTCTTTAATGTTATAAGTTTAATTATACAATCAATTTTCTGTGAAATGCAATATGCTTTAATATTGTGACTGCGTATAAAGAATTCTTAGGAAAACACATCAAATATAATTGTTATATAAATCAGGTGAGAAAGTTTGTCTCTGAAAAATCATTTGGAGTCCAAGAAGATAATGTTTTCCTTTTGTATGTTTTACTACTCCTATGCAGCTAAGTATTTGTTTGGTTGACTGACCTAACAAGATATACTCCTAATGGAATAATTGAATAATTATTTAGGGTACCATATGTGTGTATACACATGCACTCAAACACATGCAAACACATATACATAAGTATAGACATATAGCCCCTGACACCATAAATTAAAGCATACTCACTTGAAATTTTAAAAGTTGAGATCTGAAATATCATAATTTGCATCACAAAGATGCCAGTTTTGAGCAGCTAATTAGCCTTTTCATTTGGAACACACTGTAATTGAATATCTTCTATTATGGAAGCTGAAATCGAAAGAAGTATATTTCATACATTTATATCCCTAAATTGTCAAACATAAATTAATTTCTACAGGTAATGTACTTGTAATTTACATATTGTTGTGATGTATCTCTGTCTTGGAGTCTCTTTATAATCCATATTACCCTGGAAATTCTTCATTTGAAGAACTATACAGTGTGTTACAACATCAACTCATTTGTTCAATGCCACTAAAATAGTATCATCTAAAAGGAAATAACTTTGATTATAAACTAATAAAACATTTTGGCACACTTTCTTATGATTTGTAACCCTTTTTATTACAAACATTATAAAATAATAGAGTATATTCAAATAGAAAGAGGAGACAATTTGTAATAATTTTAATTTCTTGAGACATTTAGATATTTTTACATTGATACATCTATACTTTGAATTATTTTACATTTCTAAATATAATGGTTTTAAGGAACTAAAATTTCTGAGAGAGGAATGTTTGCTCCCCTCGAGGGAGACCGTAAATGAGAAAAAAATATTATTGAAGTTTAGGGATTTACAAAGTGTCAGATTCAGTATATTTTATTTTATTTTATTTATTTATTTTTTTGAGACATAGTCTCATTCTGTTGCCCAGGCTGGAGTGCAATGGCACGATCTTCGCTAACAGTAACCTCCGCCTCCCAGGTTCAAGCAATTATCCTGCCTCAGCCTCCTGAGTAGCTGGAATTAACAGGCGTGTACCAACAAGCCTGGCTAATTTCTGTATTTTAGTGGAGATGGGGTTTCACCACATTGGCCAGGCTGGTCTCGAACTCCTGGCCTCAGGTGATCCACCCACCTCGGCCTTTCAAAGTGCTGGTATTAGAGGCATGAGCCACGGCGCCTGGCCAGATTCAGTATAATTTATAATTATATTTTTAGTAATATAGAACTCTTGATAATTGGTTGTTTATGCTACCAAACAGTAGATGAGGGAGATAATTAAATACCATAGTATATGATTAATAATGGGTATATGGTAGCCTAGAACAGGAAGTATCTAGACAGAAAGTATTGGTAATTGTAGGAAAGGATATGTTGCAGGAACAAACAAAAAAAACACATCAGATTAGTTCTACAAAATCACTAATTTTTTCTCACCCAGTATCCAATTCATGTTTTGGTTGGTTCAGCTTCACAAAATTAAAAGGGGCCCAAGATAATGGAGACTGCATTGTCTTTTATGTTAACTTACTCTCTGTAAAGATGAGATCTCTTTGAAACAGGTGAAGACATAAAGAGTTTTGCAATTAAATGACTTAGCCTAGAAGCAAGGTACATCCCTCTGCCCACATCACTAGTACAAGAACAAATCTTAATTCTCTATCTTAATGAAAAGGTATGAGAAAAGTTGGTTTTCTCTGTGAGCCCCAAAGGAGAGCCAGATGGTTGTAAGCACTAATCATATTTACCCTAGATATAGCATTTGAACTTACTAAATATAATTGGATTGATTCCTAATTATAACATTCTATTTCTTCAATATATTTTGTGCATTTTCTATTGTGACCCCAAAATGCATATCTACTTGGAACCTCAGAATGTGACTCATGTGGCATTAGGGCCTTTGCAGATGTAATTAATTAAGTTAGGATGATATTGCGCTGGATTACAGTAGGACCTAAATTCAATGACTGGTATCCTTATAGAATGAGGACGGAACACAGAGAAAGCCCATGTGAAGATGGAGGCAGAGATTGAAATGATACAGCTACATGCCAAGGCATGCCAGAAAATACTGGCAACCACTAGAACATAGAAAGAGGCAAGGAAGAATTTTTCATTAGTGCCTTCAGAGGGAGCGTGATCCTGGTGACACCTTGATTTTGGACTTCTAGACTCCAAAACCGTTACAGAATAAACTTCTGTCGTTTCAAGCCACTAAGTTTGTGTTATCTTGTTATGGCAGCCTTAGGAAATTAATACAGTGTATTTAACCCAGTTTTCAAAAATTCAGCTTTACTTTTTGTTTTCCTTATAAGGGTCTTGAGTGACTCTTATAATGAAAAGTTGTATTGAAAATTATACTACAGGCTTTAAATTCTATTTAACTCCCTATTTCAACCTTGGATTTTCCACTAAAAGTTGTGTCTTCTTTTGGAAGAGAAAAATCCTCCTATAAGTCTATTTGAATTAAAATGATCATCTTAACAGCATGTAATAAATTAAAATAATAAAGGTCTAAAATTGCAACTTGGCATTTTTAAATCTATACAATTCACATTATATTTAATGTGTAATTTTATATTTTAAAATGTTTTCAGTGTTTCACACTGTGCAGGTATTCAATAAAGAAAAACATAAGACATAGCTCAATTGTGATGAAACTGGTGTGATTCTATGTAATTGATAGTAATTATATAAATTACTATTAGATTTAGACAATAGAATTTTACTATTTACCCTGAATCATTATTTTCTGACTCTATTACTTGGAATTAATCAAAATAAAGTAATATCTTCAAAATAAATATATAAAGAAAATAGAAATATGCATAAATACACTTATTTACACTTTATATAAAATGACAACATCCAAAACCATCTATATGAGTGAGGAACGTCCAGAAAAACAGAACCAATAAAGACAGACAGATAGATAGATAAATGATACATAGATAGATAGGTAGATAGATAGATAGATAGATAGATAGATAGATAGATAAAAGAAAATTTATTATGGGAATTGGCTCACACAATTATGAAGGCTGAGAAGTCCCACTATGTGCCTTCTGCAAGCTGAAAAACCAGGAAGGCAGCTGGTGTAATTTAATCTGAGTCTGAAGGTCAGAGAAACAGGATCCCTGATGTCCTAGGGCAGGATAAGATGAGTATTTCAGCTCAAAAAGACAGAAACAGAATTTACCCATTCTCTTCCTTTAAGTTCTTATGTGGACCCACAATATATTGTCTGATGCCCACCCACACTGGTAAGGGCAGATCTTCTTTGTTCAGCCTACTGATTTAAATGCTAACTTATTCCAATAACACCTTCCCTAACACACACTGAAATAATTCTTCACCAAATATCTGGGCATCCCCTAACTCAATCAAGTGTATACACAGAACTAAGAATCACAAAATCTAAAATGAAAAAGTAGAAGAACATATTTAGATAAGTTAGAGACCCCTGAGGAAATTTTTATTCAAGTATTGGAATAATAACTTTGAAGACTACAACAGAAACATAGAAGATTTTATAGTAACTATTAAGAAGGAATAGGCAAAATAAAAATTGCATTTTATGTTTTGACTGTTGTGAATAATGATGCAATTAACATAACAATGCAGATACCTCTTTTGACATAGTGATTTCAATTCCTTCTTTGATACCCAGCAGCAGAATTGCGGCATAATGTGATGATTATTTTCTAATTTTGCTGCATCATGTGTTGGTTATTTTCTACTTTTTTTGCGAACCCTCCATACTGTTTTTCACAATGTCTATACCAAATTACATTCTCACCAACAGTAATACTAATAATAATGGAATATTATTCAGCCTTTAAAAAGAAGGAGGAAAAACACAGTGTGCTCTCAGTGGGAGAACATTTTAGCAGAAAAATAGAAATTGTATCAAATAAATAGAAAGAATAAAAGAGAACCAAATAGAAATTCCAAAAACTGAAAAATAAATATCTGAAACAAAAAATTCATTGGATGGATTGTGCCACCGAATGGAGATGACAGAGTGAAAGAGTGTATGAATTTGAGCTTAGGACAACAGAAATTCAAGGTAAAGAACAAAAATGAAAAATGAATTGTAACACAAGAACACAGTATTAGGGCCTGTTAAATAATAACAGAAAGCCCAATTATGTTTCATTAGGAAACAGGAGACAATAAGAATCAACATGTTTGAAAAAATAATGATCCCACATTTCCCAAATGTAATGAAATCCAGAAGTTTGCAGATACAGGATGCTAAGAAAAACCAAGTGGACTAAACACAAAAAAAGTTTATGCCAAGGCACATGTCTTAATTCTTTTGTGTTGCTGTAAAGGAATACGCAAGGCTGCAAAATTTCTAAAAAGAAGATGATTATTTGGCTCACAATTCTGATGTCTGGAAAAGACTAAGATTGAGCACCTGCATCTAGCAAGGGCCACAGCCTGCTTCCATTCATGGCAGAAGGTGAAGGTGAGCTGTTGTGTGCATAGGACACATAGCAACAGAGAAAGCAAAGGAGAGAGTGCAAAGATGCCAGGCTCTTTTTAACAACCAACTCTTATAGGAACTACTACACTGAGAACTCACTAGCACTCAGACTATACCAAGCCATTCAGTAGGGATCCACCCCATGAACCAACCATCTCCCAGTGGGCCCCACCTCCAACATTGAAGATCAACATGAGATTTAGCAGGAACAAACATCCAAACTGTAGCAGCACATAGTAGTTAAGTGGTTAAAAGCCAAACATAAAAAGCAAATCCATAAACAGCAATAGAAAAACAATATATTTCACATAAGGAGTAACAATTCAATTAACAACTGGTTTCTCAGAAAACCAAAGATCAGAAGAGGGTGAACCTATATATTTATATAAATCAATTCAGAATTATATAACCGTCAAAAATACCTTTTAAACATGAAGGTAATGAAAGATAGTTTTAAATAATAGCAAATTAATTTTTTGCAAGCCAACCTGCACTATAAAAAAAATTCCAAGGGGAATTCTTTGGGCTAAAGGAAGTTATAGCTAATGGAAACTCAAATTCTCAGAAAAGAGTGAGGTGAATTGGAAATGATAAATATTTGGATAAATGCAAAACACTATTTTTTCTTTGTCTTATTTTCTTTATTTATAAGTCGCATGATGAAATTCTATAAATCTATTCCACTGCTGTCACAATTATTCACATCCCTTTCCTTATAGCCTATGTAACTGCCAATAACTTTCAACTGCCTTTCCTACCTGTAATCACTCTCATTTCATGCCTACACGTGTGCACATATGTGTATGCATGCACAAGTGTATACACACATGCACACAAGTTCATCTTCAATAACTGTTTCTAAAGCACATTTCACTATGTCATGCTTTCCTTGCAAAAACAATTTTTGGTCTTTCAAATTGCTGCTGAATTGAATTAAAAAGTGGCATTCTCCATATTTTAGATATCAAGTATCATCTCCAAACACCTCATCAACCTTAAACTCTAACCACCTCCCTTCCAGTTTTCACACCCATGACTTAAAAGCTGAGGAGAGGGATGTATAGTTGAATAATTAAGCAGACCAAAACAAGTAGTAATTTCCTTGCTCAGATCAGGTCTTTATGTAACAAAAGAAGTAGCTGTGGAGAAAAAAATATTTTACTTGGAAGTCTCTCTCTTTTTATTGCCATGAAGAACATTCATTAAAAAATAGTGGAGTGATGGTTCCCATGAGGAAAATGAGCTAACATTGTTCTACAAAATAATGTTAAATGCTATGTTCGTTGTAAATGAAGCAATTTGCAAATTATAGCATGGTTAGAAGGAAATACATTTTTCTTTTTTATAATCTAGAATGTTGTGTCTCTCAGGATCATATTTACATATCTGGGAAATGTGGATGTTAGGGAAGAAAGGTGATGAAGTGGGGAAGAGGGAGAGAGAAAGATCAATCTACCAGTTTTTCACTAATGTCCAGACAAACAATTTTGCATGTTATCCTATTAGAAAGACTTAAAAAGGTGCAAGACCTAGAGCCCTGTTCTTATTCTGAATTTCTCTGGGGTATGGAAGTAATAAAACATCTCTATTTCTGAGGGCAGAATATATTCTGAAGTCCATTTAATCCACATCTCCGTATCTTAGGTACTAAGTTTTTTTTAAGTTGTCTAGAAATTTCAATACTGCAGGTTTGAAAGGAAAGCATTTCATACCACATGAAGCCTTGACCAATCCAGTGAAAATATATGGAGGGACTGCTGCCTGTCTGAGTTTTCCTGAAATAATCTGAAATGGCCATTCTTTCATCCCTGTGTTCTGGACCAACACGGGAGTTGCCCCTGTGACAGCATGATTTTGGCCTCTACAGCTGAAGCAGACCTTGAAGCAGCGACAATTAAAAACATGTCTGCTGTCTGCACTTCCCTAGCTGGGCAGCAAGTTTGTTTTGCACTGGGATGTGGGCTACTTCTGTCTCTCTCACAGTCCACTTTTTGTGTTTTCTGAATCCTCTTATATGCTCTGGAAGCAGCTACTCTAAAATTCTTATGAACATTTCTTTCTCAAGAGAAATTAGAGGAGGCTAGTGGGACAAACAACAGATCCTGCTCTGCAGCTGGCCTAGAGCTTAATTGAATCTTATGCACTCCATGCTCCATTATTCATTCTAGGTTACTCTTACCCTTGACTACTACATTACCTAAGTGGCTTTATTAAAGGCGTGGCCTTGTCACCTCACAATCCAGAGTTAATGTATCTATCCATTTACAGTCATCATAGTTAAGCAAGGAAGTACCAAGAAGTATCCAAATATATCATCTGGGTTCCTCACATTTTTCTCCTTGCCCTCATTGTATATTAATGCTCTAGTGTCTCCTGATGATCAGGGTCAATTATCACTGCTAGCATAGTAATACAATTTTTCTTCTGGTCCCTGAACATAGGATGCCAAGAGCAACATGTTAAAATTTAAAGAGGTTCATTCTTGATCAGAATATAGCCCCTTTGATGTCAAGTTCCTCTAACTCTTTTGAGGCCAGAATTGTGAGAACAGGAAGCCCAGAGTCTATGAGTGGTTTTGGGGGGGTAATGGTATGTATGGCCACTCTTGCTACCACCCCTAGTATCTCGAATGCAAGTATTCTAATCACAGCACTTTGGGAGTCTGAGGCGGGCAGATCACAAGGTCAGGAGTTTGAGACCAGCCTGACCAACATGGTCAAACCCCGTCTCTACTAAAAATACAAAAATTAGCCAGGCATGGTGGTGCGCAATTGTAATCCCAGCTACTCAGGAGGCTAAGACAAGAGAATTGCTTGAACGCGGGAGGTGGAGATTGCAGTGAGCCGAGATTGCACCACTGCACTCCAACCTGGTCAACAGAACGAGACTCTATCTCAAAAAAAAAAAAAAAAAAAAAAATCTTCGATTTATCGCCTTTACTGAATCTTGCAAGGTGACTATCCATCCTCACACACACACACAAAAATAGCTTCTGGACCAGTGTTTCAGCTGTACATTCAACAGGTTGGCAGCTTCAGAGTGGTACAATACCTAATCATGTTACTACCTAATCCCATTACCATAGGCTCATTCCCTTTAAAATATTTATTTTAAAATATTTCCTGTTATCTGATGTGATATCATGTGGGATCCCATGCCAGGGATCAAACACTTCTTACACCCTCAGCAGCAGTGCCGGTTAAAGTCCTGCAAGTGAGAAAGGCAAACTCATTGACAGAATACCTGTTTATTTGTGTGAGAATCAATCAATCAATCAGTCAACTAAGCTTGTCTTTCTGGGAAGGAAAGGGGCATAACATAGTCAAATTTCCACCAAGTTGCTAATTGGCCTTCTTGAAAAACGTTGTCAAATCACCATGTGATATAGTTGGGCTCTGTGTCCCAAATTTTATCTCTGTTTGTAATCCTCACATGTTAGGGCAGGGACCTGGTGGGAGGCAATTGGATCATGGAGATGTTTTCCCTCAGGCTGTTCTCCTGATAGTAAGTGAGTGCTCATGAGTGGCAATGGTTTTCAAGTGTGGCACTTCCTCGCTCTCTGGCTGTCTTTCCTACTGCCATGTAAAACGTGTCTTGCTTCCCCTTATCTTCCACCATATGGAACTGTGAGTAAACCTTTTTTATGAATAAATTACCCAGTCTCAGGTAGTATCTTTATAGCAGTGTGAAAATGAACTAATATACCATCTCTGTTGGTGGCAGAGGACAGTTAATGGCAGCAGTAACTAGAATAACCTGTATAAGTGTGAATGCATTCTGTTGAGCCTATATATATCCTTCTTTTTTTTTTCTTTTTTTTTTGAGATGGAGTTTTGTTCTTGTTGCCCAGGCTGGAGTGCAGTGGTGGGATCATGGCTCACTACAACCTCCGCCTCCTGGGTTCAAGCGATTCTCCTACCTCAGTCTCCTGAGTAGCTGGGATTACAGGCATTAGCCACCACGCCTGGTTAATTTTTGTATTTTTAGTAGAGATGGGGTTTCACCTATATCCTCCATTTCAGTTACCCAGCCAAACATTTTGAAACTTCCCAACAGTTTGTATATATTCTAAAATTGTTCTACATGGTTCTCCACATAAAATGGATGGCTGTGTTCACCATGTTCAGTCCATTGAGAAGACTTTTCCATTTCAAACTATTTCAAGAACACCTGAAATAAACTTGCAGTACGTCTAGGGTGTATATTTCATCTTTTCCCAACAAAACTAGCTATTCCATCAGTAAACCAAGCTCTGACTTCTTCCTCCTGTTTTTCATGCTTGCAAATAATTTCCAAGTGTCAGAGGTGAGAGATGAGGAAGAGTGGTGGATATCGCTGGTCTGGGATTATGATTTATGCAACTTGTTTGTGCCTTCTGTTTTTGTTAATGCTCAATCTTATTTGTGACACTTTCATTTTTGATCAATTTTATTTTGAGCTTCCTAAAGTTCTTAATGTGGTGGTTCTGATAAGATCCGTCTTCTGATAAGCAGTCTTAGATAGAGGGTTACTTGGTTTATTATGTATTCCTTCTCCATCAGGGACTGGGTGCGTGCTAGAAGAGGTTTTTCAGAATGTATGTAATTCATCAGTGCAGGTACCATCATCTCGCTCCAGAAAACCATGGAATGGTATTCTCCTTTCCCCCCTGGGATTTGCCACAACTCTATATGGCATCATTTACCATCACCGATCTCTCCAACACTACCTGGTCTCCAAGTAGCAGTGTTGCCTGTACCACAGCCTGAAACTTTGTCTTGTCTGAGCCCAACTCAAATTCACAGGCTTTCATATCCTCTAGTACATAAGGCAGAGTAATACCCAAAGAGATCTGCTAGACGTTGTGCTCTGGCTTGGATGGACAGAACAGTGTGCGGAGGATTGTATCATAAATTTTAGCTCCAGAATGACTGCAGGAATAAACCAGGAACAGGAATACACCAAATACTGTAAGTGCCCAAACTGTAGAAGTGGGAAAGGAAGATAGAGCCTCTGCCCCCGAACACACACCCCCACTGGGGAAACTGAAGTTCTGGATTGCAGGAGAATTTTCCAGTCTCACCTGGAGATGAGTCAATTTGGAGAGCCAAGCAAAATACAGGGGTAGAGGAACCAGCGGGAAAGGCCCTGGGAGCTCGCTGGATTCCCAAGCAGGCCATTCCTGCCTGGCACCATAGGGATCCTTCGGGAGGGCAGCCAGAGGTTGGGGAGAATGCCACAGGAGAAGGACGTCTCCAGCTAAACTTTGTAATAATTTGAACTGGGTGAGAAGACTCCTGGCCAGAACTCAGGGGAGGGCCTGAATCTGGCGTGCAGGCCCCACAGGCAGGGGTAGAACTAAAGCCCTTTTCTTTCACAGCTGGGAGGCAGGTAGCCTGGGGCAAGTTCTCATCCCTGCTTGCCCTCTGTCTGGAAACAGACTTGGTGCTGTTAGTGGTGTGGGAGTGAGACCGGCCCCTTGGATTGCCCTGGGAGCTGGGCAAGGCCTGTGACTCCTGGCTTTCCCCCACTTCCCTGAAAACCTGCATGACTCAGCAGAGACAGCCACAATCCTCCTGGGTACACAACACCATTAACCTGGGAAACTTACCCCCATCCCCTACAGCAGCCACAGCAAGACTCGCCCAAGGAGATTGAGCTCAGACATGCCTAACCGTACCCCCACCTCATGGTCCTTTGCTTCCCACCCAGGTAGTGGAAGACAAAGGGCATATAGTCCTGGGAGTTCTAGAGTTCACTCACCACCAGTTCCTCCCCATACTACCACAGCTGATACTCTCTGGAAAGCACCACCTCCCAGCAGGAGGCCAACCAGCACACAAATAGAACATTAAACCACTAAAGCTAAGAACCCTCACAGAGTCCATTGCACCCTCTGGCCACCTTCACTTGAACAGGTGCTGGTATCCATGGCTGAGAGACCCACAGATGGTTCACATCATAGGACTCTGTGCAGACAACCCCAGTACAAGCCCAGAGCCTGGTAGATGTACTGGGTGGCTAGATCCAGAAGACAGATAACAATTACTACAGCTTGGCTCTCAGGAAGCCACATCTACAGGAAAAGGGGGAGAATACTACATCAAGGGAAACCTTGTGGGACAAAAGAATCTGAACAATAGCCTTCAGCCCTAGGCCTTCCCTCTGACAGAGGCTACCCAAATAAGAAGGAACCAGAAAACCAACCCTAGTAATATAACAAAACAAGGCTCTTTAACACCCCCCAAAAAATCACACTAGCTCACCAGCAATGGATCCAAACCAAGAAAAAATCCCTGATTTACCTGAAAAATAATTCAGGAGGTTAGTTATTAAGCTAATCAGGGAGGCACCAGAGAAAGGCAAGGCCCAATGCAAGGAAATCTGAAAAACAATACAAGAAGTGAAGGGAGAAATATTCAAGGAAATAGATAGCATAAAGAAAAAAACAATCAAACCTTCAGGAAACCATCAGACACACTTACAGAAATGCAAAATGCTCTGGAAAGTCTCAGTAATAGAATTGAACAAGCAGAGAAATAAATTCAGAGCTTGAAAACAAGGTCTTTGAATGAACCCAATCCGACAAAGACAAAGAAAAAAGAATAAGAAAATATGAACAAAGCCCCTGAGAAGTCTGGCATTACGTTAAATGACCAAATCTAAGAAAAATTGGCGTTCCTGAGGAAGAAGATAAATGTAAAAGTTTGGAAAACATATTTGGGGGAATAATCGAGGAAAACTTCCCCGGCCTTGATAGATACCTAAACATCCAAATATAAGAAGCACAAAGAACACCTGGTAAATTAATCACAGAAAGATCATCACCTATGCACATTGTCATCAGGTTATCTAATGTTAACATGAAGGAAAGAATTGTAAGAGCAGTGAGACAAAAAGTTAGGAGTTCCAGGCCAGCCTGGCCATCATGACGAAATCCTGTCTCTATTAAAAATACAAAATTAGCCGGGCATGGTGGTGGGTGCCTGTAATCTCAGCTACTGGGACAGCTGAGGCAGGAGATTCACTTGAACCTGGAGGGGAAGGTTGCAGTAAGCTGAGATCGCACCACTACACTCCAGCCTGGGTGACAGAGACTCCATCTTAAAACAAAAACAAAAAGTCCATTTTCTCTCTATAAACATAGAATGTATCAATATTGTTTATCATTATAGCTTCCGTGCCTTATTATAATGGTTGCACATTTTTGGTCCTGACAATTTGAGTATAAATAAAAGGATGTATCATAATGTAGGGAAGGCATTTCCTGATGTTCAAGAATATGATTATATATTGAATGTGCCAGAAAGTTCTGGTCATGAGATAATCTTATTTTTTCTTTTATCAAATTAGAAAACTGGGTCATAATACAGATTTCAATTACGACTTTCTTTAAGTAGTCAACTTTATATGAATTTCTCTATTTTTGAGAAGTTTTCATTGCCATTATGATCTCATATTTCACAAAAGAGTATGTGATATATAGATTTTTTTCTCTACATAATTTTGTAGCATATTGAAAAGATGAATTTGGTGGCGTATTTATCATAAAGTGAATGATAGTAGTCTAAGAGAATGGCAAATGTGTAACCTATGTATATGGTCACTACATTGTAAGATGCTGATATGAAGAAAAATTATAATATGAATCCAAATTATTTATTAATTCATTTAGTAATAAATATATACTGGATATAGATTTTAGCCTTGGTTTTATGGTATAAATAAAAAAGAAAATGTCTTATCATTTACGAAAAATCTTATACTTCCTAGAAGAAGAGACAGATAATAAACTAAGCAGATGCATTATGAAGAAAAGAAATTGTGAGAATTACTGTGATTCAAGCAAATAAGTAAATATACTATTAAAACTGTGAAAATTTAATTTTTATAAGATGGTCAGAGGAAGCCTCTTATAAGAATAGACTAAAAGAATTTCAGGTAGGCAGACAAAACTCCTTTTGGTACTTTTATATGTCAAGTATAACTAAGTTACATTGAATTTACAAGTGAAGTTTTGATACATTGTTTATATACATATATTTCTCTGCCTTTAAAGATACAAATAATGTAAGAAATTGCCTATACTATTATACAATGTAAAAATCAATTTCCAGAAAGTAAACTTTCCTATGGGTCTTTTTATGGAACTTAAATTCCCCTTCAGTAGTAGGATGACAAAATATCTGATCAAAGTGGTTAAATAGTTGTAATTTTAGATGACTGATTGGTGTGTACACATAGGAGAAATAATGCGGGGCTAATAACGACAGGAAGAATTAATTTAGAGAGCCTGAGAAGTATGCATGTCTCCATCAACTTCCATCATAGAAGACAGTGGTAAAAAAGAAATAGATACATCTGAAGTTCCTCATATGTATAGTACTTGTTTAATTTGTCATTTCTGTTAAATGAATGCTATTTTCACTCTTCTGCAGTTCATATTATTGTCCCTGATATAGGATTATGTAGAAAATTATTGAAGCTATTCTATTGAATGGCTGGGGGTGAGGGGGGTTAGATTGCATTCCATACGATGTTTTAATACTTTGACCAACAGTCCAGAAAAGAAATAAAAAGTAAAAACTACCTCCAAGCCAAGTGATTGAATGTAGCAGTGACCTAGAAGATGATTTATAATCAATAATCGATTGTTATCATACAGTTTGGGCTGAATGATAATCATAAACAAGATCATAGAATGTCTTACAAAATAATCTTTTTTCACTTGCTGTTTGCTTAAGTTTCTGGTTTATATTTACAGCCAATTTTATCTAAAACAGGCAGAAAATAACGATGTAGAAGATGCATACAAATTGGTATTACAAAACAGTTTTCATACTTATGACCTGTCAAGAGAACAATTTTAACTGAACCTAATAAAAACATTCAGACTCAAAATATAAATTTCCATCAACAAATTAGAATGTTTTCCACAACATTATTGGGAAAATTAAAAGATTTTCTTCTCTCATAATGAATACATTTCCAGCAAATATTTATCTAGGTGGTTTTATTTTTATTTATAGCTTTATTCCCCTGTTATGTTGCCACAAGTCCATATGCCACTCGCTGCTGGGTACAGTTAGAAGAGTTACTGTATTATATGTAAAGCCTGCGGTGCAATTCAACTTTCATTTGCTAAGATACTTCTGTTAAGGAGGAATTCATCTAGATAGTGATAAACAGGAAAGGACTAGGATTGCATTGGAGACAGAATCTCCAATTAATGCCAAAATTCACAGACAGTGTAGGATTGTGGATTCCACCAGCAACACAGCAATCTCCACAGATGAGAGTATCTTCAGCATTGGCTGCTGTGGCAGATTTGCAAACAAGACTTTCCCAACAGATTCCAGCATCAACTTTAGCGGCAACCACTTGCAACACAGTGTTTCCGATTTTCTAAAATGTTTAACACCCAAAATAAGTTGGATGGGGTACAGAGATAAAAAGTGATGTGATTGAAGAATATAATAATTTAGATAAATTATTCATACTTATGTTGACAAAATGCAACTCAGGAATATGTGTATAGGAAATGTGGAAATTTCTGTAGCAATTGTTTTGACAATGCATTGCAGGTGGTTTTCTGATGAAGTGGAAAGGTACATATATTTTTTTCAATTTATCACAACCGCTTCCCTGGTTATATTACAGACACACAAAACCTGGTTGCAGGCAGACAATGAATGAAGATATAGTCACCTGTACACATACCTTATCTTTTATAATTCATCTTGAGTTCTCTTTTATTTATGTAAAAATTTAGAAGTAGCAGTTACTCTGTAAAAACTAATTGTTAACGGAAATATAATGAATTAATTATAATATGTCAAGTATGGTAGGCTTTTCTTCTTTTAATTTTGCTCTTCTCCCAATCACAAGAGATCAAACCTACTATTAGTTGATGTGAGATATTAGCAGAAATCTTGAAGCTTAAAAACCAGAATATGTTCTTAGCACATAGATTCTTCTTAAAATTTGCTTTTCTGCCTGCCTGCTGTTTTTTTCCTACTAAGTTTAAACCTCATTTTCATATATAGCTGAGTCGAGGGGAAAATTATAACTCAAAAATGGCAAATTTACGTGATTTTAAAAGGCATACTGAAAATTAGAAATAATATTTAAAGAGAAAATATGATGGCAAAATGAAAAGTTCCATTGCCCGCAAAGGTAACAATAAAATAACATAGGTCCTTAGAGACAGAAAGCAGATAAAGACCATATACTTTCAGGAGACACAATAGCAGACTATTCGTTTTATAGGTCAGGACCTTAAAATGCTTTGGTTTTATGGCAGTTAACAAAGATATATAGTTCAGATAATGATTATACTGGTTAACATTTTAAATGTGCAAACTTTAATAACTTGACATCACTGTTTAGATAGGATTTTAAGAAAATTATCAGATACTAAACGTCACCACCTGCTAATGAATCACTTATTGCTTTTGAAACCAATTTATTTCTTTTCCAAAGCTATTTCAGCTGAATTCAAAGCTATAAAAATAATTAGATACAAGTGACATGCTGGGAATATGTGGAGGAAATAATCTATTTTAAAATAATTATTATTTCTTAGAAGGGGAATCCAACAGATTAGACTACTACTGTATTATTGGTTTCTAAATCATCAAACAATCAGAAAACTTGGGACTTTTTCTCTTGCATCTTAAAATATTATTTTTATTGAGATGTAATTTATACACAATAAATTGCACATATTTAAAGTGTACAATTGTTAAGTTTTTATATATGTATATACTCATGAAACCGTCACCACAATCAACATGCAGAACATAACTATCACCCTCAAAAGTATCCTGGTGCCACTTTGTAAAGCTTTCTTTATATCTTTTCCTGAACTTTCCTTCCCCAGGCACTGCTGACTTGTGTTTAGTTTGCATTTTCCAAAATGTTACATAAATTAAATAATACAGTATATATTCTTTTTTCTTTTTTTTCACTCAGCATAATTATTTTGAGATTCCTCTATGTTGTACTACATACGAATAATACATTTTTTATATTGTCTACTATTATACCATTATGTTGCTGTACTTTAGTTTGTCATCTATTCACTTTCATCTGAACAATTTTGGCAATTACAAATAAAGCTGCTATGTACCTTTGTGTAAAAGTCTGTGTGTGAATGGATGCTTTCGTTTCCCTTGGATAAATGCTCAAGGGTGCAATGGCTGGATCTTGAGAGAAGTGTATTCACATTTTAGAAATGGACAAATTATTCTCCAAATAGTATTTTACATTCTCGTGACTAGGTGTGAGATTTCCAGTTTCTCCATATGATCACCAAAACTCTTTTATTACCACTCTTTTTGCTTTCAGCTATTTCAATTGATGTTTAGGGTGTGTAGTGTTATGTCATTTTGGTTTTTATTTGCATTTTCCTAATAATTATTGATATTGAACATCTTTTCCTGTACCTATTTGTCATTTAAGGATCTTTTCTGGTGGAGCCTATTCAAATATTTGCACTTAAAAAATTGGGTACTTTGTTTTCTTGTAATTGAATTTTGAGGGATTTTAATTATATACATATATGTATATATATTTAGGATACAAATTCTTTATCATACATATGATTTGTAAATATTTTTCCTAGTCTCTAAATTGTCTTATTTTTTACAGTGACCCTTCCAAAAAGGTTTGTTGTTGTTGTTATTATTTTTGTTGTTGTTCATTAGTTTGATGGTTTTACTTAGCAAGCAGTAGATGTCCATGGAAAATCTTTTAAATATATTAATTACTGAGCTTCGTTTCTGGTGATTCTGATCCATTGAGTTTGGAGAAGAGCTTGGGAATATGCAGTTCTTCAAAACTCCGCAGATTTTCTGATGATCAACCAAGACTGAGAACTATTGTTCTATATAATACCCTATAATAACCAGATTTATATTAAAAAGAAAAATAAATGAGATACTTTACCAGATTGCTTAAATGTATATACTTAGTTTAAAAAATTATAGTATTGATTTTTTGGTTAGTTGGTTAATCAACTTCATAAAGATATGATTTACATAAAATTAAGTTCAACAATTGTAACTTTAGAGTTTGAAGTGTTCTGAGAAATATATGCTTTTGTGTAATTATCACCAAAATCAAGATGTAGAATGATTCATCTCCCCCCAGATTTCCATCTTATCTTGTAGATAGTCAGTACCTTCCCAGTACCCCCAGTGTCTTTCAACCAATGGTCTACTTACTGGAGCTATAGGTTTGAATTTTTAGAAAAATCATAAAAATATAGTCAGACAATTGTACTTTGTGTCTGGCTCCTTTCACTTAACATAGTGCGTTTGAGATTCATTAGTGGTGGTGGTATCAGTGATTTGTTCTGTTTTGTTGTCGAGTAGTGTTTTGTGGTATTTATGTACCACCCTTTTTATATTTATCCATAATTAATGAACATTTTGGTGGCTTCCAATTTTTGTCTATTATGAAAAATGTAGAATATTTGCTTAAACATTTTTGTGTTAGGACATGTTTGCATTTTTTTAGTATAAATCAGTGATATATGAAAGGTCTAATTGCTCCACATTCTGTTCAACGTTTAGAATTATTAGTAGTTCTGGTTTTAGGTATTCTTATGAAAGTCTAGTTGTACCTCATTGTGGTTTTCGTTTGCATTTGACTAATGGCTAATCATTTTAATATTTCTTACATGTGTATATCTGTATAACTTTTCCAATAAAGTGCCTGCTTAAATATATAGCCTACTTAGATTCATTCTTTGGCTTCTCATGGTTGAGTTTTCAGAATTTTTTAAAATATAAATCTTTTACTAGATAATATGTTTTGCAAATAACTTATCTCATTCTATTTCCTATGCTTTCATTTTCTTCACAGTGTCTTTCAAAGAGAAATTTTAATTTTCATGAAGTTCAAGTATCTAATTTTTATATGATTCTTGCTTAAGTTTAATGTTCTGCTAAGATATGTTTGCCTAAATCAGGGGCATCTATATTTCATCATAATTATTCTCTGGTAATTTCAAAATTTTGACTCTTACGTATATCAATAGATCTCTATTTCATTTCTTGGTTAATTTTTTAAAAAGAGCTTGGCATATGGGTTAAGTTTTTTTTTTCTCCCTATGACATCTACTTGTTTCAGCATTATTTTTGTGTAAACACCTAGTTTTTCCATTGAATTGTTTTGGCACTCTTGTTAAAAATGAATGACCATATATGCATAATTCTATTTTTAAACTTCCTAAACTGTTCAACTGATGTCTAGTCCTATCCTTAATGTCAGTCACATGCTGTATGATTATTGTAGTTTTGGAGTAATGCTTTCAATACAGTAGTTTAAGTCTTCCGTTGTTGTTCTTTTTAAAGTCATTTTTTGTTATTCTAGCATCTTTACATTTCCATGTAAGTATTGAATCAACCTGTGAATTTCTACACAAAATAATTCTTTCTGAATTCTGATTGGGATTTGAGTAGTATTGATGGCTTAACCATAATGAATCTTCTAATACAAAAAATCATGCAAATTTTTAGATCCATATTCCCCTTCTCCCTCATATTATACGTGTCATATGTGTGTGTGTGTGTGTATTCACACATATATATGTATATGCATTTTTTTCAATTTTTGATTTAACTTTTATTTTAAACTGGGGGTTACATGTATAGGTTTATTACATAGCTGATATGGTTTGGATTTGTGTTCCCACCCAAATCTCACATCAAATCAGAATTCCCAGTGTTGGAGGAGGGGCACGGTGGGAGGTGATTGGATAACGGTGGTGGTTGCTAATGGTTTAGCACCATCCCCAGATGTTGTTTTGTGATAGAGTTCTCACAAGATCTGGTTGTTTAAAAGTGTGTAGCACCTCCACTTTCTCTCTCTCTTCCTCCTGCTGTGGACATGTGAAGACGTGCCTCCTACTTCTTTGCCTTTTGCCATGATTGTAAGTTTTCTGAAGCCTCCCCAGTCATGCTTCCTGTGCAGCCTGCAGAAACATGAGCCAATTAAACCTCTTTACTTTATAGATTACCCAGTCTCAGATAGTTCTTTATAGCAGTGTGAGAACAGACTAATACAATAGGTAAATGTGTCATGACAAAGCCACGAATAAACCTAAATGCCCAGCAATGAAAGACTGCCTAAAGAAAATGTCGTACATATACACCATAAAATACTATGCAGCCACAAAATATGAGATTATGTCTTTCGCCAAAACATGAATGGAGCTGGAGGCCATTATCCTTAGCAAACTCACACAGGGAAAGAAAACCAGACACTGTATGTTTTCACTTTTAAGTAGGAGCTAAATGATGAGAACGCATGGACACATAGAGGGGAACAACACACACTGGGGCTTACGAGAGAGTGGAGGGTGAGAGGAGCAAGAGGATCAGGAAAAGTAACGAATGGATACTATGCATAATACCTGAGTGTTACATGTTTAAATCTATCTACATGTAAAAACTTTTAGACTATTCTCTAATGTTTTATTTAAACATCAATATGGCTTATAACAAATTAATATAAAAAAGGCTAAAAATAATATTTTATAATTTTCAGTTATTTATTACTTCTGTTATTCTTCTCTCTTGTTTTCCTGAAGGATTGGAATTTCTAACTGATATATTTTCCTATTAACTTAAAGTACTTACTTTGGCAATTCTACTGAAATGAAATCATTTTACCTTTTCATTTGAATGCATTTATTTCACTTTCAGTCTTGAAGTTTTTGCTGGATATAAAATCTGGGTTTGATAGTTTTCTTATTTGATACTGTGGATTATCCTTTATTTTTATTTATGAAACAGAAAAATAATACCCCAAAATACTAAATATCATGAAACTCCTCACCACTTCCTGTTCTATGTGGGTGTGCATGAGTGACTCATGGACACATATGAACACGCATGACTGCTTCCACTTACAAATCTGGAAACAAATGAAACAAGTTTGGGAGAAGGTGATACTTATCAAAATGACCATTTAAAGAGCTCCAACCTAAGACATGGGTTCTTAAAAACTGAAATTTAAGAATACAAATTGAAGCACCATTTTCTCATTTTTTCACCTTTATCATTTTTAAAATTATTTTCCAAACCTAAAAGTTCAGTTATTTTCAATTCATATATTGTAACAAATATTGATATAAATAAACAAATTTATGAAATATTTCTTATTTTCTACACAACCAAATATTGCCCCATCTAGAATATACAAAATAAATGTTTTGTGATTGAAAGATGAAATTAGCCCTCAAAGCTTAGTATTTTAATAATTTCAAGAGAAAAAAATTAGTATTTCAAATTGATACATATGTCAACCTAGTTGGAAATCCATAATTCATTTACCATTGCTACAAATCATTCAAATTCAATTTTAAATATAATTAGTTGATTAAAATAATCACTGAGACATATAACCAGGTCCTTGCATTACTAAAGAACTGAAGGAATTAAAGTGAATTTATTTTTAAAAAGTAGTTTTTAAAATTACAATACTGAAAAACTATATGAATTATTATAATATAGCTATATAATAAAATATTTTATATAGTTTCTTTTTTAATCTGTATGTCTATATAGAAGAAAATCGTGAAGACATATTATCATTACTTACAGTTGAGAAACTGAAACTTGAGAGTTTAGATGATTTGTTTTAATCACACTGCTAAAAATTCTGTGTGCAAATTCAAACATTTTGATCCTCTTTTGAGAAATAGCTTGCCCAAAAATCTGAAAATGTAGAAAAAGAAGAGAATATAAAAAATAAAAAGAGAAAAAAGCTTTATATTGTCTGAAGCACTGGCTTTGAGATTATGGCAGATTTTTGGATCCATTTTCAATTAAAGCATACTTTTTAAATCCATTATATATCAGTTGTTTTCTTTATTGTTTAATTTATCTGTTTATTAGACAATATCATCTTTAACAATACCCACCAACATCGTCATGATTCTTTTGCTTTAGGCCCAGTGGGATGGTGCCTATTCCAAATATTTCTAGTTTATATAGCCAATGTTATTTTAAACTTAAATTCAAAGTAATACCGTGCAAAATTCCAGACACCAGGGACTGTTTAAATGTTTCCTCTTGCTACAAAATTAGGTTAAAACTACTAAGCGGTGTAGGCACTCTGATAAACATCAATTGAAGAGTCAGTTTTTGAGGGAGATGCTTTAAACTTAAGGGCAGGAAATCTGCCCTCTGTGCTTCTGCCATTCTCTTAACAGCCAAGATGCCATGTACAAGTCAAATCTGATTATAGAACATGATCACTTGTATTGAAAAGTGAAAAGGAAGCAAGCTAATAAGAGGGGAAAATGCTAGTTTCTGAATATGTTTTAAATTTAATGCATTATTTGAAATGTAAAATATATGTGCAAGACAAGGTTGGAAAAGGTATACTTGTAAAAATATTCAGATAATTCTGATACTGGAAAATGGAATCCCCTTCATACTACAGATTATTTTATATTATTTGAAAAGCTAGATGATTGGAATACAGGAGCAACATAACACAGTGCCTTTGGGGCTGGTTTTCTATGAACTTTGAGGCTGCTTGTCTTGATTTCAATGAAGTGACCAAATGAGGGCATCCAAATATCTAAAGGAAAAAAGAGAAAATAAGGTCTTCTCATTTCTCATTTAAGACTATTACTTTTTCTTTAATTCCCCTCTTCTCTAGACCTGCCATTTATTACTTCTATGTGAAATGCTTCACTTCTGTAATCTGCATACTACTAGCTTCAAATCAAATAGCAATCATCAATAACTATCTTCATCTTTAATAATAAATTTCTTTCCAATTTGCTTCTTGATTGGCTTAATGGAAGATGAAAGATAGGTATCTGTTATACTGAATCTGAGAGACGAAAAGCTAAAATACTCATAAAATTTACAAAATACCTTTCTTCAGAGCTTACCTCAAAACACCCTTGGAGAATATGTCTGCCTCTATTCCAATTTACACGTTACATAAATCTCAAACTACAATAGCTTTTAAACCAGAAGGTCTTTAGAACAATTTGATATAACAGCAGGGAAGGTGACCAGTTGTGATTAAGAGCTTCTTTGTTCAATTTCTTTGCTAGAGCAAGAAAATTGTTCAAATTCATCTTGGCTTCTTACCTTGATGTTTATTACAGCAGATGAGACTTGCCCTCCAGGCAGTCACTGTGTTATTGCTCTTTTCATAGTACACACATTTTGCAGTGCATCTGTGTTAATCTTCTTTTTTTTTTCTTTCCTTCTTCTTTCCACCCATCCTTCCTTTCTTTCTTCCTTCCTTACTTCATCCCTCCCTCCCTCCCTCCCTCTCCTCCTCCCTCCCTCCCTCCCTCTCCTCCTCCCTTCCTCCCTTCCTTCCTTCACCAGCATTTCACATATTAAGTTATTTTTTAATTTTATATTTTATATATCCCAAATCTCGATCAGGTGTAAAATTGTGATCCATTAATTGTTAATCAGTTCATTTTAACAACCTAAATTTAATTTCAATGAATCTGTACATCTTTATAAGTTTAAATTATGCTCTGAAGCCGGTGAAATGAGGTGTAATTAATTATATGTATGACTGAGCTTTATGGAGTTCAAGTCAGATGTTTGTTGTATTAATAGTGACTCAATAAATATTTTTGTTTCATAGGCTTAATTATTAATGCTGGACAGATAATATGAGTATATATGCAATTGATTTGAAATAGGATAATGTTTTCTGTCCTAGAATGTTTTGTAGTTTTTAAAAGATTTATCAATTTAATGTTTTGAAGTTTTAAAAGGACTAGTTGTTATTTCCACAATTATAACATTCAAGTCCCAGAAATTATGTTGTTTCCTATTTTTTCTTATTTTTTCTCATAAAATAACAGAGAAGTGTGTGAAAAATAACACACAAGCCCACCAAAGTAACAAGAAAAAAACACTTTTAGAGGTAATATTGTTGATGATAATAATTTGAATTTAATTGTATTCAAATTATGTATGAGCTTTTATTCAATGTGAATTTTTTATAAGGTAGTTTTTGCTTGTTTCTTGTAAATAGCACTAAAATTATATCAAGGACGTATACTCAAAAATGTTGGCCTAATATTTTCAACATTTTATCTTGTATGAAAGTACTTTTATATACCTATCGAATTGTTAGTTTTTCAAAAGAGATTTATTTTTATTTTTAAATAAATTTAAGTGCCATTTAGAAAACATGTGTCATTTAAATAGAAATAAATACAGGGCATTCAAACAGAAAGAAGGGAAGTCAAATTATCCCTGTTTGCAGAAAACATGATTTTATATCTAGAAAACCCCATAGTCTTGGTTCAAAAGCTCTTTCAGCTGATAAACAACTTCAGCAAAATTTCAGGTACAAAATCAATGTACAAAATTCACTCGCATTCCTACATACCAACAACAGCCAAGCTGAGAGCCAAGGCAAGAATGAAATCTTATTCACAAAGATTCACAAAAAGACTAGAATACCTAGAAATATAGCTAACCAGGAAGGTGAAACATCTCTGCAATGACAATTACAAAAGACTACTCAAAGAAATCAGCAATGACACAAACAAATGTAAAAACATGCCATGTTCATGGATGGGAAGAATCAATATTTTTCAAATGGCTGTACTGCCCCCACACAATTTATAGATTCAATGCTATTCTTATGAAACTACCATTGAGACTCTTTTCAGAACTAGCAAAAAACTATACTGAAATTTATATGGAACCAAAAAATAGTCCAAATAGCCAAGGAAATCATAGGCAAAGAGAACAAAGTTGGAGGTATCATGTTACCGTACTTCAAACGATGCTATAGGGCTAGAGTAACCAAAGGAGCATGGTACCGGTATAAAAACGACGCATATACCAATGGAAGAGAATAAAGAGCCCAGAAATAAGGTTGCACACCCACAACCATCTTACTTTCAGCAAAGCTGACTGAAACAAGCAATGGAGAAATGATTACCTACTTAATAAATTGTGCTGGGATAACTGGCTAGCCAGATGCAGAAAATTGAAACTGGACCCCTTTCTTAATATATATATATATAAAATCAACTCAACTCAAGATGGATTAAAAACATAAATATAAAACCCAAAACTATAAAAACCATGGAAGACAACCCAGGCATTGTCATTTGGAGATAGGCATTGACAAAGAGTTCATGATGAAGATGCCAAAAGCAATCACAACAAAAGCAAAAATTGGCAATAAGATCTAATTACACTTAAACTTAAGAGCTTCTGCACAGCAAAAGAAACTATCAACAGAGTAAGCAGACAACCTACAGAATGGGAAAAATATTTGTAAACTGTGCATCTGACAAAGGTCTAGCATCCAGCATCTATAAGGAAATTAAACAAATTTACAAGCAAAAAACAACCCTATTAAAAGGTGGGCAAAGGACATAAACAGACACTTTTCAAAAGAAGACACACAAGGAGCCAACAAGTATACGAAAAAAAGCTCAACATCACTGATCATTAGAGAAATTCAAATTGAAACCACGATTAGATACTATCTCACACCAGTCAGAATGGCTGTTATTAAAAAGTCAAAAAACAACAGATATTATTAGCAATGCTGTGGAGAAGAGAATATTTATACACTGTTGGTTGGAGCGTAAATTAGTTCAACCATTGTAGAAAGCAGTGTGGTGATTTCTCAAAGAGCTAAAAAAAAGAACTACCATTCGACCCAGAAATCCCTTTACTGGGTATATTTTGAAAGGGATGAAAATTGTCATACCATAAAAGAGACATGCACATATATGTTCACTGCAGCACTATTCACAATAGCAAACACATGGAATCAACCCAAATGCTCACCAATGGTAGACTTCTGATATATATACACCGTGGAATATAATGCATCCATAAAAAGAATGATATTATGTCCTTTGCAGGACCATGGATGGAGCTGGAGGCCATTATCCTAAGTAAACTAACTCAGGTACAGAAAACCAAATACTACATGTTCTCACTTATAAGTGGGAGCTAAATGATGAGAACACAGGGACACAAAGAGTGGAGCAACAAACACAAAGGCCTACTTGAGAATGGAGTTTGGGAGGAGTGACAGAATTAAAAAAAAAATTACTGTTGAGTACTAGTATTAGCACCTGGGTGACTAAAAAACCCGTACAACAAACCCCCGTGATATGAGTTTACCTATATAACAAACCTGCACATGTACTCCTGAACCTAAGATAAAAGTTAAAAAAAACTTTAAAAAATGTGCTATTTAGAAAATATGTGTTATTTAGAAAAATACCAAGCAACTTCAAAAAAATGAAAATAGAATTACTGTATCACTTAAAATCTTTTTTCTTACAAATAACCACAATTAATTTTGTATGAGCACCATCATAGCCACTTCTCTTTGCCTATAGAGTTATATTAGATATAATGTAATAAAATACAATTGGGTTATACTTGTTTATAAAAAAATTAAGAATGTTTAAGTACATATTTCTTTATGAAACAAAATGGAATTTGTAGAAATTACTGAAATTAACAAGTTTTTTTAATAAACAAATGTGTATGTATACAATACACCTCTTAAAAAGTGGAAAAAGATAAAAATAACAGACATTTGATTTCTCAAAGTGTTATATGTTTAAAATGTAGCTACATCTATAAATTTTATTTAATAAAATATAGAAGATTATGGAGGGAACATTTCACATTCTCCTATTTACCCTGCCTCATCTCCTGTAAAAAGTTAAAATATCACTTTTATATTGCCCAAGTGTGTAATACATTATTTTCTATTTCCAAATAAATGATTTCTATATTCACCATCTGTTTGTTATTTACTTGTGTGGAGATACACATATTTTCTGTTGTTATTCACAAAGTTTAGTAACTTTGTCATTGTGTTAGTTATTTTTTTTAATTAACCTGAGAAATGCAGAGTCAGTTAAGGATTTTAGAAGCATTTCTTCAAATGTTTTTCTGTTTATTATGCTAACTTTGTCTAGAAAAATTATTAATAGTTTGGAAAAGATTTTTTTTCCACCCTACTAAGTACCTTAAAGAAAAAGAAATATCCTTTTCTATTCAATTTTATCTTATGTTGTCTGGACTGCTCATTTTGGTCATTTTAACTTATTTTTGTTATCATTTCTTTCAGAGTGGGCTTCATTTCTGTAATATACATACATATATTAATTTTTGCTTATTAAAATTAGCAGCTTCACTTTTTACCTCTTGGTTTTCTTACAATTTGCTTCAGTATTTATAATTATTTAATAGATATTATGACTTCTATAATTTTGTTATTTTATATAGTATTGTTTGTTAAGAAATATATGTATAGACTTTGTGTTCCTTTCTAATTGTTGTCAATAGTTGAAGGGAGACATCTTTTTACTTTTTAAAAAGGTTAGGGATGGCAAGGTAGTAAAGAAAAGCTTTGAATACGGTTTTCTCAAATATACTAACTACCAATTGGTTATTTGTTTTGCCATTTGTGCGGACTTGTCCTCAGTTTCGGTGCTTAATGACTCAATGTGACTTTATTTTAAGTCTTTACATTATAGGCTCTGTAAGCAAAACTTATCTCTGCATCCCCTCTCTGACTCTACTTTGCTTCAACTCTGGCAGTGGATCCCTGTGGGGAATCTAGGCTGCACATATTAGAAAGAAAGCATAGTTTTCAAATACCTTCTTCCATTTTATATGCTGTCAGCTTGTTCATAGTTTCTTTTGCTGTGCAGAAGCTCTTTAGTGTAATTGGGTCCCACTTTATTTTTGTTTATGTTGCAATTTGTTTTGGAGATATAGCCAAAAATTCTTTGCCAAGGCTCATGTTGAAGAGTATTTTCTAGGTTACCTTCCAGGATTGTTATAGTTTGAGGTCTTATATTTAAACCTTTAATCCATTTTAAGTTAATTTTTATATTTGGTGAGTGGTAGTGCTCTACCTTCCATCTTCTGCATGTGGCTAGCCAGTTATCCCAGCACAATTTATTAAATAGGAAGTCCTTTCTCCATTATTTTAACTGGCCTTGTGAAAGGCTAGATGGTTGTAGGTGTGCAGCTTTATTTTGAGTTTTCTGTTGTATCCCATTGCTCTATGTGTCTGTTTTTGTACCAGTACAAAGCTGTTTTTGTTTCTGTGACTTTATAATGTAGTTTCAGGATGGGTAGTGTGATGCCTCCAGCTTTGCTGTTTTTGCTTAGGATTGCTGGGGCTATTTGGGCACCTGACAAGGTCTTAATATCCAAAATCTGTAGGGAACTTAAATAAATCAACAAGAAAAAACAAATAGCCCCGTTAAAAATGAGCAAAGGACATGAACAGACACTTTTCAAAAGAAGACATACAAATGGCCAACAAACATATGAAACCATGCTCAGCATCACTAATGACTGGAGAAATGCAAACCAAAACCTCAATGAGATACCGTCTCACACCAGACTGGCTATTAATAAAAAGTCAAAAAACAGCAGATGCTGGCAAGGCTGTAGAGAAAAGAGAATGACCATACACTGTTGGTGGGAATGAGAATTAGTCCAGCGGCTGTGGAAAGTAGTCTGAATATTTCCCAAATAACTAGAAACAGAGCTGTCATTCAACCAGCAATCCTCTTACTGGGTATATATATCCAAAATAAAATAACTCATTCTATCAAAAAGACACATGCAGTTACATGTTTATTGCTGCACTGTTTACAACACCAAAGACATGGCATCAACACAGATGCCCATCAACGGTACACTGGATAAAGGAAAGGGGGTATATATACAACACGGAATACTATGCAGCTATAAAAAGGAATAAAATCATGTTCTTTGACACAACATGTATGGAGTTGAAGGCCATAATCCTAAACAAATTAAAACAGGAACAGAAATCCAAATATGGCTCTTACTTATAAATGAGAGCTTAACATTTAGTTTGCATAGACATAAATGTGGGAATAGACACTGTGGACTGCTAGAGAGTGGAGGGAGGGGGAGCAGTGGGTCCCTGTCAGGGTGCCTCTTTTGGTTTTCTTTCAGTTTGCTTCAATATTTATAATTATTTACTAGATATTATGAATTATACAATTTTGTTATTTTATATAGTATTGTTTATAAATATTTTTTTCTGAGATCTTCTACATTTAAGTGGTTGATTTTCCCTCTGACAAACTATATTTTTTTATTAGCACATGTTCTTTTTATCTCCAAATATGTGTATAGATTACCTGTCAGGTACAGTGTTCATTACCTGTGTGATGGGATCCATACTTCAAACCTCAGCATCATGCAGTATTCCCATGTAACAAAACTGCATGTGTACCCACTGTATCTAAAATAAAAGTTGAAATTTTAAAAACATTACAAAGGAGGATGATGAAGATTCAGTGTTCGACTCAGTCTCCACCTGCCAATCTGTGTTATTGATTTAAATCTCCACAAATCTGGTTTATTCATTTTCACTATTTTTCCTCTTCCCATAAAGTAAACATTTGCCATTTTGATGACAGCCAATTTCTTATCCTATTATTTTTCCATCCTTCCCTCTTTCTATTTTCACTTTCCTTTCTTCTTTTTCTAAATTTGAGGTGTTTTGTGTACGATTTTTATTTTCATTTATTTGTTTTTTTGAGACAGTTTCACTGTGTCACACAGACTGGAGTGGAGTAGCACAATCTCGGCTCACTGCAACTTATCTCCCAGGTTCAAGTGATACTCCTGCCTCAGCCTCCCAAGTAGGTGAGATTATAGTCACCCACCACCATGCTTGGCTAATTTTTGTATTTGTAATAGAGACGAGGTTTCACCATGTTGGCCAGGCTGGTCTCGAACTCCTGACCTCAAGTGATCTGCTACCTCAGCCTCCCAAGGTGCTGGGATTACAGGCACATTTTTTTTTTCTATTGTCTATGTAAAATAGTACGCCAACATCTCAAAAGTTTCACACTTACAAGAAAATAAGATGAGAGTTCTACTTGACCTTCAAGGAATTTGTTAAAATGGCAACATACTTGTCACATGTTTTTAAAATTTGGTATGACTTGTCTTGGATATGCTATGGTTTATTAGGTAAAATTGTAACTGTTTTCTTCTTTAAAAATAGAATTTTTCCCTTCTTCTTAATCTTTGTTTTCCCCAGTACGTGGTATTATATATATAATCCATATTTCATTACTTGTTTTACTGATATCTTATCAATTTATTTTTTATCTTATATGCATGCCAGTACTCACACTTTCCCAGTAAAAGAGATTATAATCAGTGAGCAATAAAAATGGATGACTTATTATTTATTTCTGAAATATATGAAATCTCTTCCTTTTACGGTCTTACCTTTTACGGTCTTCTAAAAAACTAAGCATAAAGAATAAAGTGATCAATTATATCAAATCATTTTTCTAAATAATCTGTGCAACATGTAGTCTTGTATATGAACAAAAGCAAGCACTTTGAAAAAATTTTCTCACAATATATGAGAAAATATTAAGATTACACATATTTCAGTTGTAATTAAATTTAGTACAATAATACTGAGTACAATTAAAATGAATATTATTTCTACAACCCAGAGAAACAAAACACTCATAATGTTTATATTGTATGTGCACATATGAGACTCCTTTGACCATTATTTTAGTATTATGGTTATTTGCAATCATTAATATAGACAGAAAAGCAGAAATGATTATTTACTTCAGTTACCTATCCTGATGACTATTTGCATGAGATTATTACATTATTATTACAAACATATTTCATTATGAAAATATAAAAAAGAAATTTTTGACAAATTAGGGAAGGGGTCTAAAAACTACTGCCTACAGACCAAATCTTGATGTCCATCAGTTTTTATAAAGTTTTACTGGTACCCCACCACACTCATTCATACATGTATTATCAAAAGCTGCTTTTGTGCCACAACACAAAGTTGAGTAGGTTTAACAGTGGCATACGGCTCCCAAAGCTAAAGATACATGGCCTGTTACAGGACCTTGTCATCTCTGAATTGAAGTATTACATTTAAAAAATAATTATTTGCTGTAAAACTTATATTCATTTATCTTTTGCACTCATTTGTATAACACTGAAAATTTTAAGTATATTTGCATGTCATAATACTGTACCCAGATACTAACTGAGAAACCCCATCATTTCAATAAATTGCCATTATAACTGAATAAATCATCATTTTTATAAAGTAACAGCAAAAGTCAACAGAAGATGCTGATATATACTGATTTATTATTTTCCATCTTTGGCCAAAGTTTTTTCTTCATTAAATTAAATCATGAAAGCCAACTTCTTTCAAATTTAGATCATAATCCAATTGGTTATCATTTTTAAATTTATTATGAATCATTCGTGGCCAACAGCAATTATAATCTTTCATTTTTAAATGAAAGATTTAAATTTTTAAGTGAAAGATTTAAATCTTTCATTTTTAAATGAAAGTATTAATGTACTAACTAGGGTTTGTTAGTTGCAAGAGATAAAAAAAAACTAAGGTTTTACTTAAGAGAAAAAAAGAGGAAATTATTTATACAATATTGGGTTGCTCACATAATGGATTACTATGTCAGGATATTTTGGCTAGAAACAAACACGGCAACCAAGATAGGAATCAGCCAATTTAAAGCATCTAGAGAGCAACTGATACTTAACCATATTTCTCAGTATTATTACTAAGATAAGTATATAAATCACAGTTCTTCTTGAACAATTCTTCTTATAATTCAAAAATACATAAAAATAATTCAGTTGGCAGAATTTAGATAACCACATCCACCTTTTCACTCTATCATGGCAGGATGAGAATGGATTTAATAGTGGGACTATCTGGCAGACTTTAGGGTTTTGTGCTAGCAAAATAGAACACTTTGATTTATCACCCTACAAAGATGATAGGCAATGAATTGGATGCAGTACCCCACCTTAAAAATGAACAAAAAATGATATTAGAATAAAAAATAAAAATATTCACTCTTTTGACATTTATTGAAAATAAAATTTAACAAAGGAAGTGCTACGTGTTTTATTTCTTCCTGGACACATAAGGATACTATACTGGCTAACATCTACTCCCTACTTTGCATCTAAATACTACCAAATACTGGAATGTGGATAAAAATATCAAATATTCCAGGTCTGAATACTAAGGTATCTGCCATGATTGTCCATCCTGTCTCTTTTCCTTATACAAGGAGTTGGAAGTGAAAGACCAGGAGGTAACAGATACAAATAATAGAAGAAGATGCATCCTTACTCCTGGAGGAAAACATTTAAGAAAACTATCTGACCAGAATCTGACTGTCATGCAATTAGGAACCAGTCTTTATTGAGTTAAGTCACTGACTTCTGTTTCTTATTTTAACTAATACATGAAAATAATTATATTTGGAATTTAAGTAATGAACGTGGCCTATCACTCATGGAAACTCTCTTTTTCTTTCTTTTCCTTTTTTTCTCTCTCTCTCCAGTAAACCAAATTGCCTTGATTGTGTACATAAGACTCAACAACTGTTACTTTGTCTGAATTTCCATTTTTAAAATACGAGATATGCTTCCTAATATAAAATATAAAGTTATTCAAGTGGATACAAACTAGAATTTATTATGCTCATTGCTATTGAGTCATTTTATCACTTTAAATGTATCTTTCTAAAATTATTTTCTAGATTGTATATAAGGCATTTAGAGGCCCTGCTCTTGCCCTGCTCTTGCAGTATCAAATTAAGATTTTTAAGAAAACAATATTACCTTAACTAGAATCAGAACATTTCATTTTTATTCTTTTCTTTGAGATTGCATGGAGGTTTTAAGTGAAACTCTAAGCAGAAGTTATTTTTCCCTTTGAATTTCAATAGAAACATTTTTCACCTGGCACTTGACATTTAACTTATACTTCCCTGAATTGTAATTTTGTTTGTACAAGTCTTATCTGTTCAACCAGATTGTAAATACTTTAAGATACCAACATGCTTAAAGAATCTGTGTACCCTATGGCACTTAACAGGCATATCTAGTAAGTTTTTTGCAGAATGATGGCTGTTAAAAGCTCCAAAGGGACACATGTGGCCCTAAAGCCTTAGTTTGATCATTTTCTTACAACTTTATTTATTAAATGGACCTGCATGCCAATATATAAGCCTGTAAAAAAATGAAATAAGCTTTCTTTTACTTTTTCCTCCCTCTTAAATCACTGGTCCCCCAGCTATTATAGAAAACTTGCACAATTATTTTAACATTAACTTTTAAATATTTTGTTTTGTATTATATCTGTTATATGACCTAGTTTAAGCTATTGGGTGAACATTTATCTTTCCTCTATGCCTACAGTTCCCCCAAAATAAGGCACTGAACTGTAAAATCAGCTGTCATTAAAAAGTTTATAAAAATATAAATGAACCGGCTGGGCGCGGTGGCTCACACCTGTAATCCCAGCATTTAGGGAGGTCGAGGCCGGCGGATCACGAAGTCAGGAGATCAAGACCATCCTGGCTAACGCGGTGAAACCCCGTCTCTACTAAAAATATAAAAAAAAAATTAGCAGCCGGGCATGGTTGCGGGCGCCTGTAGTCCCAGCTACTCGGGAGGCTGAGGCAGGAGAATGGCGTGAACCTGGGAGGCGGAGGTTGCAGTGAGTCGAGATTGCGCCACTGCACTCCAGCTTGGGCAACAGAGAGAGACTCTGTCTCAAAAAAAAAAAAAAAAAAAAAAAAAAAAAAAATATATATATATATATATATATATATATATACACGAACCACAGTATTTACTTATTACTGAATAATTCTATTGATTAGTGATTTCTTTTATTCTATCCATTCATATAAAGGATACATTATTAAATATTAATATTAACTACTATTAAATATAAATGTAAAGTCACATTGTTAAAATTTTTGGCACATTTTATCATTATGCTGTTGTCCTTTCTTGTTAAGAAAATACATATCGGAACTATTTGAAGTAATGTTTTACTGAACTTCAAAGCAATCATATAAACAGAAGATTAAACTATCCCCGTTTTAATCAACATCTGTTAAAAACCTATCTTTGATGTCTGATGTTCATATTCATGCCTATATATATATTTATCCTCTAGATATCTAATATTTATATTTTTGTTCCTCATAATTTTGCTAAAATAAGAACTAGATCATTTATTTTGGATCCTACATTTTGCAAATGTAATTCAAAGAAAGCTACAAGTTAATCACAAAATAGTAAAATTTTTGCTGCTTCCTGAGTGAATCATTGAAAAATAGCTAACCATTCTTGGGTATAGTAGTATGTAATATGGGCAGCCAAGAGGTGGATTTTTTTTTTAAAAGTCATACTGAGTTTTATCGTTAACCTTAGATAAAGAATAAATAAAATGCTTCAGTTTGACAGCCTCATTAGAAAGCTGAAATAGATACTTTTATTTTAAGGACTGCAGTTAAAAATGACATAGGAAAAATATGTGAGCATGTATAAGACCTAGTTATAGTCAAAACAGTTGATGCCATTTTATAATTACAATAATTATAGTTTTTCCTATTAAAACTATCAGGAGTTGGATTCATAAGAGAAAAAGAAGATATAACAGCTATGACAGAGAGAGACTAGTGAAGCTAGCTTTAAAATTACATTATTATTATTGTTATTGTCATCATCACTCACTAGACAAATGAAAACTGGCATCATTTTTGTAATTGTAATTAAGAATAAACTAGTTTATTTGACCAAGTAGCTAACTTTAGGAATTAATAGTAATACAGTCTTTCTTACCAGTAACCTAGTCACTTGTCCATCACATGCTGGTCAAATTACATTTTTCTAAATATAGCTTACTTGGGTTTTACATTCTTCTTTCTAATTCATTAAGTTCAAAAACTTACATCACAGAAAAACTTTTACTTATCTTTTAGATTCACTAAGGGACGTGAAAAATACAAGAATATTAAGCAAATGCACGTGAACAGATGATTTTATAGTAGTGATGCTCCTAATGGTTTAGAAATTTTAGAGTTTATTTGTAACTAGAAAACTTCAGGCAGCTTGGGTAACATATGATTCTTGCCATTTATACTACCGTTTAGCCAAGACATCTGTACACATTCATAGGTACACACTCTTATACATATATATATACACACACACACACATATACACACACACACACACACATATATATATATACACACACACACATATATATATATGTATATTCCAAGAAACAGGTTTTAGGAAGATTCAAATATAGAAAAGGAAAATAATTTAATGCTCTCAAGCCAAAATGTCCTGGAACATACATTCTCAAATGAGTCAGGGATACAATTAAAAGTAACAAACTGAAATAATGTGCTACAAAAGTTTAATATGCTACTTTATCCTGAATAACCAATTCATAAAATTTTTAACCAAAATGATGGGGAGTTTTCAATATCATTAAATGTACTAGATTATGGCAAAAAATAAATCCAACTATGGTCTTTTATTTGCAAGACTGTGGTTCAGCTGCACACAGACACACAGGTACACACACACACATTCAGACACACACACACACACACATGCACACACACACACAGAAGAAATAAGAAACAAGACAGGCTTTTAGTGACTACCATGGATTTGGCCAACTTGTGGTTGATGTAAACTGTTACCCTGCTCATGTTCTTGGGTAGGGTTTGGTAAAGATACTATTGTGAGCAATTTCGATCTTTTTTCTTTTTCCTTGAATATCTTACAGCATAAATATCAATGTCATCAAAGTATCCATAAGGTTTGATATTATTATTTCAACTATTATTAGGTTGGTGCAAAAGTAATTGCGGTTTTTGCCATTGAAAGTAATGGCAAAAACCGCAATTACTTTTGCACCTACTACCTCAAGTGGAGTGTCCTAGCTAACATCTTTCCGAACTGTCCCTTAGACTTATTGGCTATGAGACACAAATAAGTTTCTAAAATATATTTGAGTTAGCCTAAGACAAAAATTTAGAAATCTACTGCTGAACATTTTCCTCAATATATATAAATGTCTCCTTTGTATAAATTTGTAGACGTTAATGATCACAGATAGAGATTTTGATGTAACGCTTCAAAAATAAAAATGTAGTTTCAATTTCTTCCTTAGGTTTTATATCTATATGAATACCCTAGCTTGTGTAATCTAGTGACAATCTGCAGGAACACTATTCAACCTGCCTACACACCTTAATCTAATTAAAAGAACAAAAAGTTTTTATATCAACATTTAAAAAGAAAGACGACGTGTGCATCGCATGGATCCATGTTGTAGGAGAGGCAGTGAGATGTGACAGAGCTGTCAATTTTCAGAGGCATTTGTGGTGCTGAGCAGCACTTAATGTTGTGTAGATTTAGAAGCTAAATCACTAATGTGAATAGGAAAATTAGAACTTTAAAATGACTTCGTAATAAAGAAAAAACTTACTGTTTCCGTTAAGGTAAATATTGAGTATTTGTACTAATTTATCATATGGGATCATATTAAGAATGCCTGATTATAACATTTGTCAGATTAATTTTGTTTTCAAATATTACTTTTTTAACAATTTAAAATGTTATATGTACAAACCGCATCTTTCTGTATTGCTAAGTGGTCTCACTTGTCAGCTCATAAACATTAAATAACTAGAAAATCATTGGTAGTGACAAGTAGAAAATATGATGGAAAATGTGAATAAGAAATTGTGTACTTATGAACTTCCTGAATTATCAACTTGTTAATAACCTGTTACAAACAAAATGTATTGGTAAAGTATAACTACGCCTATTAGGGCTCACGGTAGTAAGAAAGAGCACCATCTTGACAATCTTAGTATTATCTGAGAGGAAAAGATATCATAGGTTTGAGGCCTGGGCTTAAGTCGTTTGAGGTAGATCTTAAGTATGGAAATAGCTATGGTTGAGTAAAATTTGGAGAAATAATAATTGGTTATTAGTGGTTATAAACAGAGAAAGGTTTGTAGTGAATCTTGCTAGCTACACAGTTGTCTGATAAGCAAGCTTGTTTGCTCAAGTAAGTTGACCATTGTCTCAAATAAATTGATCTGTATGAATTCATGAAGAATGATGTGATATATTTCTTTACAGTCTTGTCTGTAAAGGTTTCCTGAAGCAAATGATCTCTAAGAATTAGGTCATCCAGTTCTCAACACAAATGTATTTTTTAAGATAAATACATTATGATTATACAACTGTAAAACAGAAACTATCCATAGATTTCCTTAAAATATCAAGTTTCTATAATAGTTATTTTGTATTATTTTACTGAAAATATTATTTTACAAGTGTCTATAAGTCAAAGTTAGCAATAATCCAAATGACATTTTTTATTACAAACAATATTGTATCATCAAGTATATTTCTAATAATAACTGAGGGCAAAGGTGTAAGTCTGAGGAAACTTCTTTCATGTGTCCCCTAACTATTAATTAGGTAAATATACCTCTTCTGCCTCTGCATTGTTGGCAATACGTTTCACGCATTATTCTGCCCATATCTATGATAATTACCACTGTTTCCAAAATAAAAGAATACACTGTATTTAAGTGTTAAAAGCTGCTTTAAGCATTATTTATAGTAAACATGTAGCAAACAAGTTTATTGTAACAGTGCTTTATCTTACTTTATATGTATTTTGCTAAAATAATGTTTTTAAATGGCTTAATTTTGAGTTGAAAAATTAGGGAAATAAATGTGGGTAAAAAAATAATCTGCCTTTGATTTTGCTGAAGTTGATATATGTTTGAGAGAGATGCAATTTATTTACAGTGATAGATTGAATAGTGTTTCATTATATTTTATACAGATATTTGAGTGTTGTAATTTTTTTTTTACAGTAAAGTCCTATAAGACAAGGGATGTTTTACACCATTGGTATTACAACTAATGTCACTCTTAGGTAATGAGATTAGAATTTAGTATGTACAGGAAAACAGAAAATAAATATTTTAATGTGGGAATTCTAAAATTTCTGCTTTCGGATCCTCTACAAGATTTTTGACAAATCTATACTCTCTCATCAACACTATTTAAAGAATATAGGCATTAGCTCTTCTTTAAGAATGAGAAATTGTTCTTTATATCTTCTTACATTTGAATTTTTATTTTCATTCTATTTTCCTGCAGAAATTTTGTTGTAACATACAGTATTACATTTGAGTGTCTAAGATTTGTAACCCTGTCATAATTCTATGTAATAAAAGTATGTATATAAATTGAAATTAAGTTTATGTATTATATTAAGAATGCAAGGCACTAAGTGCTAAACAGTTTATCCTTGATTGAGCTAATTCAACTGAGGTTAATATGCAATTAAGCCAAACCACATAAACATATTAATATTTAAAAATAAAAAATAAACATAATGAAATACAAAACGTTATTGAGATTGCATCAATTTCAGGGATGGAAGAGGCTTCTTTTTAATTTTTCAAGTATGTATAGATTAACTTTATTCTTGGTTTTAACCTTAAAAGTAATTGCTTAGGAAATAAGTTCATGTTGAAAAGTAGATTCAGATAAAAACAGACTCAATTTTAATGACGTCACTTCATACTTTACTTCTAAGTGAGAAAAATGAAAAGAAAGTCTTGGTATTATCTGTCATAAAATATTTTTAATTATTGATCAGCTCAGAACTCATTTAGATTCTCCTTTAAATTTGTTGAAAGTAAGAAAATAGAAATTTTCTGATTTGCCAAAGAAATCTGTACCCATTAATTAAATTCATTTACTTCCTTAACAGCAACATCACTCTTTTAAATTGTACTTTTAGAACCCCAGACATTTTCTAGCCCTAAGCAATGATAACATTTGTACCAGGTGGGAGACACATAATTTTTTAAAGCAGTGTAAGAATAATTATGAGTGGGTTATACTTAGGAAGTTAGTTCAGTTTTAGCCAAAATTGCATACTGAATTTGGGAATCTCACTTATTTCCTTGGAGATTCATTGCATATGCTAAGCTAATTCTACCCCATTGTAAATGCCACTGTTTTTAGAGCACATTTGGTCAGACAGTGCAACTTGTGGTGAGAGTCTACTTGAAACTGCAGCTGTGGAGATACATCCTTGTAAGATATTCTTCAGAGAGATGATCATGTCATTTGATATGGTGGGAAGTTAACAGATATTCATAATATTAAGGAACATAATTTATTTTATTTTGTTTTATTTTAATTTTTTATATTCTGGAACCTAGATAAAGCCTAACACTTTATAGTTTCTTAATATATTTTGGTTGAAAGAATAATATGGAATGTCACATTGCTAATATTGCCTGTCAACTTTAGGTTGATAGTAACATTTTTGGATTGGGAAGGTGTGATGCAATACGCTGAGTAGGATGTCCACAGGAGTAGCTGGGACTAACCTCCTACCTAGTAGTGTTGGCAGGATGAGGGGACAGTGCTTCCTAATGGCAATGGGTGGCACACAATATCTGGAATTTCCATTCAGATGAAGTCTACTGAATATCTCAGGGCATTTCTCTGAAACTGAAGCAGTCCCTGAAAGGGCTGACACTTAAAGTTTGTTTGTTCACAGCAGTCCCATCAGCTGGTCAACTAGTCTTTCCATGAAAGGGAATCAGAATGGCTCTTTTCTGTACCATCCAAATCCATATAATGTGAGTGTGAGAGCATGCAGTTTAGTAATATAACAAATTAATAGTAAATAAATGTATTCAATGTTTACTATGCCTCATGTGCTATTCATAATATTTTGTAATTCTTAATTAACTTGGCTAACAAAACTATTTTTTGGCTCAAATTTATAAGTGAAGAAATCAAGGCAAAGAGAAGTTACACAGCCTTCCTCACTATGTCTAAGTGACAGCTATTTTGACTTCAAAGGCAAGGCTCTGAACTACAACGTTATTTGGCCTCTCATAATCCTATATAGGTTACATATTTCTAAGCTCACAATATATAGAATTCGTGTCATCTAAAGAGATTCTATAATATATCTGATCATTGATTGCTAAGAAGTTTGAAGTTTATATCTCATACAATTTTCTAATTACGTGCACAAAGAGGAGGGGGTATCATAATGTTTAATGATCCTGAGCATATCTCTATAAAGCAAGTCTTATTACTGTATTATTATAATACTTAATGTACCTATGAAAAAACTGAGACCCAGTAAAAAAATCAACTTGTTGGAAATGAAAAAGAAAAAAGATAAGTCAGATTTTATATTAAGTATTCAAATGTCTTTGTTAAAATATACTTTTTTCCCCTTACAATTTCACAGGCAGTCAGAGAATCTAATTACCCCACCACAGTATTAGGAAAGAAGCTAACTCCTTTATTCAATATGATATGAAAGCCTATACCTTCTTTTCCTTCTTCTTTTTGTGGTCTTTACTTTTTTCCAGCTTTTTAAAGGTATAATTGACAAACATTGTATGTATTTATGGTATGCAACAGGATGTTTATTTTTATTTTTTATTTTACTTTAAGTTCCAGGATACATGTGCAGAACGTGCAGGTTTGTTACACAGGTATACATGTACCATGGTGATTTGTTGCACCTATCAACTCGTCATCTAGGTTTTAAGCCTCACATGCATTAGGTATATGTCCTAATGCTCTCCCTCCCCTTTCCCCCCAGCCCCCGACAGACCCCAGTGTGTGATGTTCCCCTCCTTGAGTCCATGTGTTCTCACTACAACAGCGAGGATGTTTTGAAGGGCATACAAGTTGTAAAATGATTCACCCATCAAGCTAATTAACTTATGTATGTACGTATGCATATATGTGTGTATTTATTTATTTGGTGAGAATACTTAAGACTTCATCTCTTACTGAATTTCAATTTATAATACATTATTATTAACTGTAGTCACAATGCTTCACATTTGACCTACAGAATTTAATCTCCTTGTAACTGAAGGTTTGCACTCTTTGAACCACTTCACTCCATTTCCCTACACTCCAAGCTCTGGCAACCCTGGCAGCCACCATTCCTCTTCCTGTTTATATGAATTTGACCTTTTTAGATTCTGCATCAAAATGAGATCATGCAGTAATATCCTATGTCTGCTCTATTCCACTTACAATAGTCTCCTCTAGATTCATCTATGTTGACACAAATGACAAGATTTCCTTCTTTTTAAGGCTGAATAATATTCTAGTGTGTGTGTGTGTGTGTGTGTGTGTGTGTGTGTATCACCTTTTCTTTATCCATACATTCATCAGTAGACGCTTAGGTTGTTTCCATATCTTGGTAATTATGACTATGCTGCAGTGAGCATGGGAGTGCAGCTATCTCTTTGAAATAATGATTTCATTTCCCTTGGGTAGTAGTGGGGTTGCTGGATCAAACAGTAGTTTTATTTTTACTTTTGTGAGGTAACTCCATACAGTTTTTCATAACGGCTGTAGCAATTTACAATCCCACCAATAGTGTACAAGGATTCCCTGTTTTTTCACATTCTCACCGTGACTTGTTATGTTTTGTCTTTTTGATAATAGACATTCTAATATGTGGGAGATGATGCCTCATTGTGGTTTTGATTTGCGTTTCCGTGATGAATAGCGATGCTAAGAAGTCCCTTTTCATTTATCTGTTGGTCATTTGTATGGCTTCTTTGGTAAAAGGTATATTCAAGTCTTGTGACAATTTTTTAATCTGTTTTTTTTTTATTGAGTTGTGTGAGTTCCTTATATGTTTTGGATTTTTGCCCCTGTCAGATATATGTTTTGCAAATATTTTCTCTCATTCCATAGTTTGCCTTTTTATTTTGTTGATTGTGTTGTTTGCTGTATAGTCACTTTCTAGTTTGATGTAGTCCCACTTGTTATTTTTACTTTTGTTGCCTGTGCTTTTAGCAACATATCAGAATAAATTATTGCCAATTTCAATATCTAAGTGTTTTTCCCCTATGTGTTTTTATAGGGTGTTTTGGTTTCAGGTCTTACATTTAAGCCTAATAATTTTAGGTTGATTTTTATGCATGATGTAAGATAAGAATCCAATTTTATTCTTTTGCATGTGGATAACCAGTTTTCCCAAAAGCATTTATAAGAGATTATGTTTTTCCCATCATATATTATTGCCTTTGTGAAGATCAGTTAACTGCATATGTATAGGTTTATTTCTCAGCTTTCTATCCTGTTCTACTGATAGAGTCTATGTGTCTCTTTTTAGGTCAGTACCATACTGTTTTGACTACTATAGCTTTTTAAAGTAATTTAAAATCAGGTACTATGAGACCCTTAGCTATGTTTTTCTTGCTCAAAATTGCTTTGCTATTCAGAATCTCTTATGATCCCATACAAATTTTAAGATTTTTTTTCTACTTTTTGTGAATAATGATATTGGAATTTTGATTGCATTGAATCTATAGATAACTTTGGGTAATAAGAACATTTTTAAGGTATTAATTCTTTTGTTCTTTTATGCTACTGTGAATGAGATTTTTCTTATTTTTTTAAGATAGTTATTGTTATTGTATAGAAATGCAACTGATTTTTGTATGTTGATTTTGTATTCTACAACTTCATTGACTTTGTTTATTTGCTCTAACAATTTTTTGGTGGAGTCTTTAGGGTTTTATGCAGAGAAAATCATATCATCTGCAGACAGAGATGATTTTACTTCTTTCTTTCTTGTTTGCATGCTAGAGTATAACTTCTATATGAAGTTTGCAGCCACTTTAAACAGGAATATAGTTACATTACTCTGAATAATAAAGACTAGAGTTTAGCTCAGGAAAGTGGCTGACTGAAACAAGCTTTCAAACCAAAAAAGGATGGCAGTGCCATTTTTGACAAACAAATCCAAAGAACAAATGACATGTCTGCACCCTAATTGACAGGTAGTGTATATGACCCTACAGTATAGCAGGAAAGGCAAATAGAGGTACATGGATAATGACAGGTAATCAAATTTCTACATCTGTATTTGAATGCACCTGTTTTGGATGATGTTAGTCTGTTTTTTTTCTTATCAACATGAACTGATATGGAGGTATAAAATAAAATGTATTTTTCAATCTGAGTACATAGGTTGAAGCCTGAAAATTTAAATTTTTGTTTGTTGACTAAAAATAAATTCTGCCTAGTGAGCACATGTCTCCTTTTTATTACATTTCTCTTTCAGCTTTCCCAGTAGAAGAAATTCAAGAAAGGCAAACGAAAATAATAATAAATTGTGTCATCATCATTTCAAACACATATATACTCACCATTAAGTGGAATTTTCTAATACCATCTTCTCCTGTTCAGAAGGCATAGTATGAGATAATATAGGGCAAAAACAAAAGAATTACCATTTGTACACAACTTCAGATGACTATAAGACTGGTACTTTATATAGTAAACATTTTTATACGTTATCAACTTATTATTATTACCTGATAAATTACATAGGAGAAAACTAAACCTCAGAATACCTAAGCAAAAACCACCCGAGTTTACATAGCTATTAACTGGTAAAGCCAGAATTGGAATACAAGCTTTTGTAATGCAAATATCTATGTATATCACAGGCTCCTAAAGTATCTTTCCTTGTTACAAGTAGAATCTGCATGTTTTTTATTGTTGTTGTTGTTGTTTTTCTATCTAAAAGGAGAGTAATTTAGGGTATGTTCACATTAAGCATTTTATTATGTATAAAATAAACCAAAAACATTGCTATGAATTGTTATATTATATAAGGAAGAGGAACAAAGAGGGAAAAATTTCAGTGTCTCCCGTAGTTTAGGATGGATGGGTGAGTGAGCATAAGTACAGTCTCTGTGTTCATGCAATATCTTATTTCTTACTTCCTACATGACAAAAATAAGTTAATTATGTGAAATATTTTGATGGACTTCTTTTTTCTCACCACATTTTAATCTTCAAGGTAGAAAACAATCTCAAATATGAAACTCAGAAAGTCACCTGAGATAAAAGCCAAAGCCCCATTTCAGCCTCTGCCCCCAGAGGTTTAACAGTTTTAGTTTAGACATTAAAAGCTCAGTTACACACCAGGGGATGCTTGCAACACTATTATTCCGGCTGCGACAAACTGTGTAACCGTCCTGCCTGCAGCCTATTTGCTTCTAAAAAAACCCAGCTGATACCATTTGTGATTAGCAGAAGACAAAATTGGAGCTTCAACTATGTAAACCAAAGCCTTCCTTTCATTCTTAACAAAAAAAAAATGAAAACAATATTATTATACATTAAAAAGCAGGGGCTCTGTTAACTATCAGAGAAAACTGGAAAGTATGTCAACTCTGCATTGTTTTATACATCTTTCAGCTTCAGAATTTTTGAGTAAGTAACTTGCCGTATCTGCCAAGGGTATTAGGTGGCAGCAAAGTTACTTTCCTTTTGATACTTAAATCACTTTAAAAACAGTGGCAATCATAATTTACTGTTGGCAACAAAATAAACCGAGTTAAACCATTAGAATGTGCTGTGTGCCCTGCATTGCTCCATTTATGGGTTACAGACAGTGGTGAGGTCTGCAGTGAAAGCATAAGGACATTTAAACCACTAATTTTCTTTAACTATTATTTTAGGTTCAGGGCTACATGTGCCAGTTTGTTATATAACTAAACTTGTGTCATGGGGCATTGGTACACAGATTATTTTGTCACCCAGGTACTAAGCAAAATACCCAGTAGTTATTTTTTTCTGATTTTCTCCCTCCTCCCTCCACCTCTCAAGTGCATGATACCCTCTAACCTCAAGTAAGTCACAGTGTCTGTTGTCCCCCTCTTTGTGTCTATGTGTTCTCATTATTTAGCCCCAACTTAAAAGTGAGAACATGTGTGTTTGTTTTTCTGTTCTCGTGTTAGTTTGCTAAGGATAATGGCCTCTAGCTCCATCTGTGTTGCTGCAGAGGACATGATCTCATTTTGTTTTATGATTGTGTAGTATTCCATGGTGTATATGTACCACATTTTCTGTATCCAGTCTACCACTGATGGGCATTTAGGTTGATTCTATGTCTTTGCTATTTTGAATAGTGCTGCAATGAACATATGTGTGAATGTGTATTTATGGTAGAATGATTTGTTTTCCTTTGTGTATACACCCAGTAATGGGACTGCTGGTTGAATGGTAATTCTGTTTTTAGTTTTTTGAGGAATGGACACATTGCTTTCCACAATGATTGAACTAATGTACACTCTCACCAGCAGTGTACAAGGGCTCACTTTTCTCCTCAACTTCGTCAGGATGTTATTTTTTGAATTTTTAATAATAGCCATTCTGACTGGTATGAGATGTAAACCACATATTTTTAACTTATAGCCTACTCACAATAGTTTGATTCAAAGTCAGATTTAGCTGTCACTTACAAATAAATTTATATATAAAATTATGATTTTACTGCTTCTACCAAGTAATATTTTCTCAATGATTCAGCCTAAGTTAAACTGAGAATTTGTCATAGACATTTTTAAAATAAAATAAAATTAAATTAAAATTATATAAAATATTTGGTCTATAATGTTTTGCTCTTTGCTAGGTGGATTTCGTAAGTGCTGATTTCTTAATATTTTAGTTTGTTTTACATTACTTATTATTTACTGAGGGCTTTCTCTTTCTCCCTCTCTTATTTAAATTTGCATTCAATGAAATGTTCAGCTCTTCAATGTAACATTCAATCAGTTTTGATAAATGCATATTGGGACATCGATTCTTTTGATTACATCAGAATATTCTCTCATGCCGTACTCCCAACCAAAAGCAACAATTGACTTGCTTTCTATTAACATGGATTAGTTTTGCATAACCTTGAATTTCATATTAATGAGATCATACATTATATCATTGGTCTAGCTTCTTTCATTCAGCATAATATTATTGAGATTCATCCATGTTATTGTATGTATCAATAGCTCATTGCTTTCTTATTACTGGGTAGCATACAGCACAGTGTTTATTCTCCTGTTGAAGAATATTGGGATTCTGTCCCGATTTTTTCTATAATGAACAAAATTGTTATGACTATTCTTTTCAAGAATTTTGAGGTCACATATTTTCATTTACTTTAAATAAATAGCTACAAGCAGAACTGCTGGATCATAGGGTGGTATGTATAAGTAAATAAAATGTCAAGCATTGTTCCAAAGAGACTACACTATGTTTGTATTTCTCTCAACAACATATAAAGTTTTGGTTGCTCCACATCCTCTCCACCTTTCAATGTTTTTGTTCATTCTTTTTTCATTTAGTTGTATCTTATGATAGATTTAACTTTCATTTTCCAGATGACTAATGATGTAGGTAATTTTTATGGGCTTATTGGACATTTTCATATCTTCTTTCTGATGTGACGTTTCAAATAGTTTGCCCATTCTTCTATTGGGTTGTTTGTCTTCTTAATGTTAAATTGTAGGAGTTATTTGTATGAATACAGGTCTTTTGTCAGATATTCAGATTCATGTGTTGAAGATTTATTATTATTATACTTTAAGTTTTCGGGTACATGTGCACAACGTGCAGGTTTGTTACATTTGTATACATGTGCCATGTTGGTGTGCTGCACCCATCAACTCGTCATTTAGCATTAGGTATATCTCCCAATGCTATCCCTCCGCCATCCCCCCACCCCACAACAGTCCCTGGTGTGTGATGTTCCCCTTCCTGTGTCCATGTGTTCTCATTGTTCAATTCCCACCTATGAGTGAGAACATGCGGTGTTTGGTTTTTTGTCCTTGCAATAGTTTGCTGAGAAAGATGGTTTCCCGCTTCATCCATGTCCCTACAAAGGACATGAACTCATCATTTTTTATGGCTGCATAGTATTCCATGGTGTGTGTGTGCCACATTTTCTTAATCCAGCCTATCATTGTTGGACATTTAGGATGGTTCCAAGTCTTTGCTGTTGTGAATAGTGCCAAAATAAACATAAATGTGCATGTGTCTTTATAGGAGCATGATTTACAGTCCTTTGTGTATATACCCAGTAATGGGATGGCTGGGTCAAATGGTATTTCTAGTTCTAGATCCCGGAGGAATCGCCACACTGACTTCCACAATGGTTGAACTAGTTTACAGACCCACCAACAGTGTAAAAGTGTTCCTATTTCTCCACATCCTCTCCAGCACCTGTTGTTTCCTGACTTTTTAATGATTGCCATTCTAACTGGTGTGAGATGGTATCTCATTGTGGTTTTGATTTGCATTTCTCTGATGGCCAGTGATGATGAACATTTTTTCATGTGTCTGTTGGCTGCATAAATGTCTTCTTTTGAGAAGTGTCTGTTCATGTCCTTCGCCCACTTTTTGATGGGGTTGTTTGTTTTTTTCTTGTAAATTTGTTGGAGTTCATTGTAGATTCTGGATATTAGCCCTTTGTCAGATGAGTAGGTTGCAAAAATTTTCTCCCATTCTGTAGGTTGCCTATTCAGTCTAATGGTGGTTTCTTTTGCTGTGCAGAAGCTCTTTAGTTTAATTAGATCCCATTTGTCAATTTTGGCTTTTATTGCCATTGCTTTTGGTGTTTTAGACATGAAGTCCTTGCCCATGCCTATGTCCTGAATGGTATTGCCTAGGTTTTCTTCTAGTGTTTTTATGGCTTTAAGTCTAACATGTAAGTCTTTAATCCATCTTGAATTAATTTTTGTATAAGGTGTAAGGAAGGGATCCAGTTTCAGCTTTCTACATATGGCTAGCCAGTTTTCCCAGCACCATTTATTAAATAGGGAATCCTTTCCCCATTGCTTGTTTTTGTCAGGTTTGTCAAAGATCTGATGGTCGTAGATATGCGGCATTATTTCTGAGGGCTCTGTTCTGTTCCATTGGTCTATATCTCTGTTTTGATACCAGTACCATGCTGTTTTGGTTACTGTAGCCTTGTAGTATAGTTTGAAATCAGGTAGCATGATGCCTCCACCTTTGTTCTTTTGGCTTAGGATTGACTTGGCGATGCGAGCTCTTTTTTGGTTCCATATGAACTTTAAAGTACTTTTTTCCAATTCTGTGAAGAAAGTCATTGGTAACTTGATGGGGATGGCATTGAATCTATAAATTACCTTGGGCAGTATGGCCATTTTCACGATATTGATTCTTCCTACCCATGAGCATGGAATGTTCTTCCATTTGTTTGTATCCTCTTTTATTTCCTTGAGCAGTGGTTTGTAGTTCTCCTTGAAGAGGTCCTTCACATCCCTTGTAAGTTGGATTCCTAGGTATTTTATTCACTTTGAAGCAATTGTGAATGGGAGTTCATTTGTGATTTGGCTCTCTGTTTGTCTGTTATTGTTGTATAAGAATGCTTATGATTTTTGCACATTGATGTTGTATCCTGAGACTTTGCTAAAGTTGCTTATCAGCTTAAGGAGATTTTGGGCTGAGACGATGGGGTTTTCTAGATATACAATCATGTCATCTGCAAACAGGGACAATTTGACTTCCTCTTTTCCTAATTGAATGCCCTTTATTTTCTTCTCCTGCCTGATTGCCCTGGCCAGAACTTCCAGCACTATGTTGAATAGGAGTGGTGAGAGAGGGCATCCCTGTCTTGTGCCAGTTTTCAAAGGGAATGCTTCCAGTTTTTGCCCATTCAGTATGATATTGGCTGTGGGTTTGTCATAGATAGCTCTTATTTTTTTGAGATACGTCCCATCAATACCTAATTTATTGAGAGTTTTTAGCATGAAGCATTGTTGAATTTTGTCAAAGGCCTTTTCTGCATCTATTGAGATAATCATGTGGTTTTTGTCTTTGGTTCTGTTTATATGCTGGATTACGTTTATTGATTTTCATATGTTGAACCAGCCTTGCATCGCAGGGATGAAGCCCACTTGATCATAGTGGATAAGCTTTTTGATGTGTTGCTGTATTCGGTTTGCCAGTATTTTATTGAGGATTTTTGCATCAATGTTCATCAAGGATATTGGTCTAAAATTCTCTTTTTTGGTTGTATCTCTGCCAGGCTTTGGAATCAGGATGATGCTGGCCTCATAAAATGAGTTAGGGAGGACTCCCTCTTTTTCCATTGATTGGAATAGTTTCAGAAGCAATGGTACCAGCTCCTCCTTGTACCTCTGGTAGAATTCGGCTGTGAATCCCTCTGGTCCTGGACTTTTTTTGGTTGGTAAGCTGTTAATTATTGCCTCATTTTCAGAGCCTGTTATTGGTCTATTCAGAGATTCAACTTCTTCCTGGTTTAGTCTTGGGAGGGTGTATGTGTCGAGGAATTTATCCATTTCTTCTAGATTTTCCAGTTTATGTGCATAGAGTTGTTTATAGTATTCTCTGGTGGTAGTTTGTATTTCTGTGGGATCGGTGGTGATATCCCCTTTATCGTTTTTTATTGCATCTATTTGATTCTTCTCTCTTTTCTTCTTTATTAGTCTTGCTGGCGGTCTATGAATTTTGTTGATCTTTTCAAAAAAGCAGCTCCTGGATTCATTTATTTTTTGAAGGGTTTTTTGTGTCTCTGTTTCCTTCAGTTCTGCTCTGATCTTAGTTATTTCTTGCCTTCTGCTAGCTTTTGAATGTGTTTGCACTTGCTTTTCTAGTTCTTATAATTGTGATGTTAGGGTGTCAATTTTAGATCTTTCCTGCTTTCTCTTGTGGGCATTTAATGCTATAAATTTCCCTCTACACACTGCTTTGAATGTGTCCCAGAGATTCTGGTATGTTGTATCTTTGTTCTCGTTGGTTTCAAAGAACATCTTTATTTCTGCCTTCATTTCGTTATGTACCCCGTAGTCATTCAGGAGCAGGTTGTTCAGTTTCCATGTAGTTGAGTGGTTTTGAGTGAGTTTCTTAATCCTGACTTCTGGTTTGATTGCACTGTGGTCTGAGAGACAGTTTGTTATAATTTCTGTTCTTTTACTTTTGCTGAGGAGTGCTTTAGTTCCAACTATGTGGTCAATTTTGGAATAGGTATGGTGTGGTGCTGAAAAGAATGTATATTCTGTTGATTTGGAGTGGAGAGTTCTGTAGATGTCTATTAGGTCTGCTTGGTGCCGAGCTTAGTTCAATTCCTGGATATCCTTGCTAACTTTCTGTCTCATTGATCTGTCCAATGTTGACAGTGAGGTGTTAAAGTGTCCCATTATTATTGTGTGGGAATCTAAGTCTCTTTGTAGGTCACTAAGGACTTGCTTTATGAATCTGGGTGCTCCTGTATTGGGTGCATATATATTTAGGTTAGTTAGCACTTCTTATTGAATTGATCCCTTTACCATTATGTAATGTCCTTCTTTGTCTCTTTTGATCTTTGTTGGTTTAAGGTCTGTTTTATCAGAGACTAGGATTGCAACCCCTGCCTGTTTTGTTTTCCATTTGCTTGGTAGATCTTCCTCCATCCCTTTATTTTGAGCCTATGTGTGTCCCTGCACGTGAGATGGGTTTCCTGAATACAGCACACAGATGGGTCTTGACTCTTTTTCCAATTTGCCAGTCTGTGCCTTTTAATTGGCGCTTTTAGCCCATTTACGTTTAAGGTTAGTATTGTTATGTGTGAATTTGATCCTGTCATTATGATGTTAGCTGATTATTTTGCTCATTAGTTGATGCAGTTTCTTCCTAGCCTTGATGGTCTTTACAATTTGGCATGTTTTTGCAGTGGCTGGTACTGGTTGTTCCTTTCCATGTTTAGTGCTTGCTTCAGGAGCTCTTTTAGGGCAGGCCTGGTGGTGACAAAATCTCTCAACATTTGCTTGTCTGTAAAGGATTTTATTTCTCCTTCACTTATGAAGCTTAGTTTGGCTGGATATGAAATTCTGGGTTGAAAATTCTTTGCTTTAAGAATGTTGAATATTGGCCCCACTCTCTTGTGGCTTGTAGAGTTTCTGCCGAGAGATCAGCTGTTAGTCTGATGGGCTTCCCTGTGTGGGTAACCCGACCTTTCTCTCTGGCTGCCCTCAACATTTTTTCCTTCATTTCAACTTTGGTGAATCTGACAATTATGTGTCTTGGAGTTGCTCTTCTCGAGGAAAATCTTTGTGGCATTCTCTGTATTTCCTGAATTTCAATGTTGGCCTGCCTTGCTAGATTGGGGAAGTTCTCCTGGATAATATCCTACAGAGTGTTTTCCAACTTGGTTCCATTCTCCCCGTCACTTTCACGTACACCAATTAGACGTAGATTTGGTCTTTTCACATAGTCCCATATTTCTTGGAGGCTTTGTTCATTTCTTTTTATTCTTTTTTCTCTAAACTTCTCTTCACACTCCATTTCATTCATTTCATCTTCCATCGCTGATACCCTTTCTTCCAGTTGATTGCATCGGTTACTGAGGCTTGTGCATTCGTCATGTAGTTCTTGTACCATGGTTTTCAGCTCCATCAGGTCCTTTAAGGACTTCTCTGCCTTGGTTATTCTAGTTATCCATTCGTCTAATTTTTTTTCAAAGTTTTTAACTTCTTTGCGATGGGTTCAAACTTCCTCCTTTAGCTCGGAGTAGTTTGATCTTCTGAAGCCTTCTTCTCTCAACTCATCAAAGTCATTCTCTGTCCAGCTTTGTTCCGTTGCTGGTGAGGAGCTGCGTTCCTTTGGAGGAGGAGAGGCGCTCTGATTTTTAGAGTTTCCGGTTTTTCTCTTCTGTTTTTTCCCCATCTTTGTGGTTTTATCTACCTTTGGTCTTTGATGACAGTGACGTACAGATGGGTTTTTGGTGTGGATGTCCTTTCTGTTTGTTAGTTTTCCTTCTAACAGTCAGGACCCTCAGCTGCAGGTCTGTTGGAGTTTGCTGGGGGTCCACTCCAGGCCCTGTTTGCCTGTGTATCCGCAGCGGTGGCTGCATAACAGCGGATATTGGTGAACCACAAATACTGCTGCCTCATCGTTCCTCTGGAAGTTTTGTCTCAGTGGAGTACCCGGCCAAGGTGTCAGTCCTCCCCTACTGGGGGGTGGCTCCCAGTTAGGCTACTCAGGGGTCAGAGACCCACTTGAGAAGGCAGTCTGCCCATTCTCAGATCTCAAGCTGCATGCTGGGAGAACCACTACTCTCTTCAAAGCTGTCAGACAGGGACATTTAAGTCTGCAGAGGTTATTGCTGTCTTTTGTTTGTCTGTGCCCTGCCCCCAGAGGTGGAGCCTACAGAGGCAGGCAGGCCTCCTTGAGCTGTGGTTGGCTCCACCCAGTTCGAGCTTCCCAGCCGCTCTGTTTACCTACTCAAGCCTGGGCAAGGTGGGTGCCCCTCCCCCAGCCTCGCTGCCACCTTCCAGTTTGATCTCGGACTGCTGTGCTAACAATGAGCGAGGCTCCATGGGCATAGGACCCTCCGAACCATGTGCGGGATATAATTTCCTGGTGTGCCATTTGTTTGGTCCATTGGAAAAGTGCAGTATTAGGGTGGGAGTGACCCGATTTTCCAGGTGCTGCCTGTCACCCCTTTCTTTGACTAGGAAAGGAATTCCCTGACCCCTTGTGCTTCCTAGGTGAGGTGATGCCTCGCCCTGCTTTGGCTCATGCATGGTGTGCTGCACCCATTGTCCTGCACCCACTGTCGGGTACTCCCCTGTGAGATGAACCCAGTACCTCAGTTGGAAATGCAGAAATCACCCGTCTTCTGCATGGCTCACGCTGGGAGCTGTAGACTGGAGCTGTTCCTATTCGGCCATCTTGGCTCCTGAAGATTTTTTTTCTAATCTGTATTAACAATGTTTTCTACTGCATCCTTCGATAAACTGAAAATATTACCGTATTATATCAGAGTCCAAAATATCAAATTATCTTTTGTTTTACAGTTCCTCCTTTTCGTGCTCTAAAAAATCTTGTCCTATCCCACAGTTACAAAGACAGTCTAGGTTTTAACGTAGCATCTTAATAAACATTATTTTAATTATCAGTTTTTGATGTTAAATATAAATTATATGAGTCTGTATTTTAAATTTCAATAATAGATATTGTATTTTAATACAGATCATTTCTCATTAACATATTAAGCAAAGAGTTAGAGGTCTGCTACATTGTGACATACCCTTAAACTAGATAATATATAGTCGTTTTAAGGAATGAGTTTTTTAAAATTAGGTGATATTTCAGATGTATTGCAAAATCGAAGAAAGCAAATTGCAGTGGAATGTGTAAGGAAAATAACATGACAGATGCATACATATATAGACAAAAGTAACAATTTTTGCAAAATAAATTTAACAATGGCTACTTTTGTGGCTAACAGTTTTGGATATAGTGGGAAAGGACTTTTGTTTTTCACATGCACCTTCCTTTATAATTTTTTTCTATACTTGTAAATGTATTATTTAAAGAAACAGCCAAAAAGTGTTATTAGGGCATAGTCATTTCTATGTGTGTGTATGTAGGGTTATGTGTGTGGGAGAGAGAGGGAGAGAGGATCTAAACAGAAATTAAAAGCTATAAAGGCAAGCATACTTATGGTATTTGAAATCAAAACAAAAGAAACAACAAAAATAAACAAAGTGCCATCTTCTTCTAACAAAACAAAAACAAAGATTACTATATTTTTCTGTTTTGGACCAATCAGAACAGAAATAGCATGCTTCTGTTCTTTGCTATTTAACCACCAATACAGAATGTTGAATCATTTGCACTGCAAACATTTCTGTAGGAATGATCTCTTTATACTATTACAAATTCTAGGGAGAATAAAAGCACACAAAATGTGAGTTGGCAACTACAGAATACATTCTTTATCCTAGGATACATTGCTGAACCATAGCACAGTGTATAATGCCTTGAAAAATATTTCTGATATAACAATTCTATGTGACTCATAATATGGCATTGATGCTGCCATACAAATAATACTACCTCTAATTTCTAACCATATTTGCCAATTTATACTGCTCATCATGTCAATAGATAAATATAAATTAAAATTATTTTTTAACTTTCATCATAAACTAGTAAAAATTGAAGTAAAAAAATTGTCTTTTTTGATGTTAGACAATTATAATTGTTTCATTACCTTTGTTAATAAGGAGTTTCTTATTCTCATGAAGTCACAGGACACATTTCAATTTGTCTTTTTTTCCCTGATCTCAGAATGCCAGCATAAATATCAATGTGGCATAGAATTAAGGTTTCCATTCACAATAATTAGTATTCGTCTCTCCTATTGTGTTTGCCTTTTAGACTGCTTTGCTTCAGGGAAAATTTGTTTGGAAAGTTGCATGTGGTACATGTGTTTGGAATCATTAATTTGTGGCTCAAGATACATTCTGCATACTTCTCCACCTTGCCTTCTGACTAAGAAGCTGAGCTGTATGAACTATATCAACAAGGTTCCCATGGCCTTTGTCTTCTGTCTAGGTTAAAATAATGTTGATCCCCATCAGAAACTGAAAGTAGAGATACCAGATTGTGGTCAGAGCGCTGATTACCTCTACTCTCTCCCAATGTGTTTGTCGTGGGTTGGCTGTTATCTTCCATTCAATATGGATGACCCTATGTAATCTTCTTTTTCTCTAGTTCTAAAAACAACCCCTCTCCTTTCCTTTGGTCTCCATTAGTTGCATGTTGAATTACCTCAACACTTACTAATGTAAAATAACCATTTACTAGGTTCACAGATCCTGTGAGCCATTGATCCAGACATGGCAGAGTAGGTTTAGGTTGTCTCTGGTTCATGATGTCTAAGGCCTCTGATGAAATATTTTAAAACTCAGGAATAGTAGATCACCAGGGTCTGGAATTATCTGAAAGCTTTTTTACTCTGATGTTTGATGCTGGCTCCCAGCTGGAACTTTAACTTTACACAAGAACACCTTCATTAAGCCCTCCAAATAGCCTGAGCTTTCTCACACCATGGTTCTTGGATTCAAATGTGAGTGCCCTGACTGAAAGACAGAGAGAGAGAGACAGATAGACAGACAGACACACACAGAGAGCGACAGAGAAAAATAGAGATAGAGATTAGACAGAAGCCCCAGTGCCTTTTATAATCTAGCCTCAGAAATCCTGAAGCATCACCTACTCCATTTTATTTTTTGAAGCCAAGTCCTGGCCAGTTTTAAGAGAGAAAATGGATTCTTTTAACTGGGGAGTGAAGAGATATTAGAAGTGTGTATTAGCCTCTTCTCACAGTGTTACAAAGAACTACCTGAGACTGGGTAATTTATGAAGAAATGAGGTTTAATTGACTCACAGTTCCAGTTCTGCAGGCTGTAGAGGAAGCATGGCTGAGAGGCCTCAGAAGACTTGCAATCATGGCAGAAGGTGGAAAAGGAAGCAAGCACATCTTCGTATGGTAGCAGGAGAGACAGAGTGAAGGAGGAGGTGTTATATACTTTCTTCTTAACAAGCAGATCTTATGAGAATTCCATCACAAGACAGCACTAGGAGGATGGTGTTAAACCAATGGAAATCGCCCCCATGATCCAACACCCCCAACCAGGCCCCTCCTCCAACACATGGGGATTGTAATTCGAGGTGCGATTTGGGTGGGAACACAGAGCCAAACCATATGAAAGTATTTCAGGACCCCCAGATATTGCTATGGATTTTTTGGGAAAAATCCTTTTCACCACAGGCTTAAGAGTAGTGAGTGTTTGCCTGCTACTAGTCCGAGGTTTCTATAGTACCCTTTGTGATTTATTTTTGTAATACTCTTTGAATTATGCTGATTCAGAGTGTATTTTGTCTCGCATTGGAACCCTGTATAATAAAGTACACTACTCAAATGCTATTTGAAAGAAAAAAAGAACTATTTTCAGCATATTGAAATAATCATATTCATAATGTACATGTAATCATCTTTGTTATTAATTTGAGTTGATTTTTGTTACTCGGAAATTATATAGAAAGCAAATACAATCCAAATAACACATATTTGCCATTTAATCCATGAAATTCCTAAGGAAAACTTTGAGGAGACCTGCTGCAACCAGTGTTTTTCAATATTGTTTTGAAACTTCTGGCTTTTGCAATAGAAAAAGAAAAAACATTAGAAGTAAAACTATTACAAAATACTAGAAAAAGTTATGTGCATTTTTAGATGATATATTCAAACATATCTAAAGCATAATAAAAAATCTAAAATCTCTGCAAAAATTAAATATAGAATATAGTAAGATCCAGCAATCCCACTACTGGGTGTATATCTAAAGGACATGATTAATATGTAGATGAAATATTAGCACTCCTATGTTTATTGCAGCATTACTCACAATAGCCAAGATATGGTATCACACTAAGTGTCCATCAATGAATGATTAGATTGATAAAATGAAAATAAAAAATTAACATATACGCAATGGAATGTCATTCTGCCTTTAAAAAGAGGGAAAATTTGTCATGTGCAACGACATAAATGAACCTGGAGGACATTATGTTAAGTGAAATAAGCCAAGCACAGAAAGCCAAAGACCCTGTGATCTCACTTATATATGTGCAACTTAAAAAAGTGAAACTCATAGAAACAGTAAATTGGTGGTTAGCAGGGGCTGGGGTCAGGTTGATGAGGGAAGGTAATATGGGAAATGTTGGTCAAAGGGCATACAATTTCAGTTAGACAGAAGAAATAAGTTCAAGAGATCTCTTGTACATGACGGTGACTAAAGTTAAGTGTTCACCACAAAAAACATGGTTAAGTATGTGAGGTAATGCATATATTAAATAGTTTGATTCAGCCATTCACAATGTGTATATGTATTTCAAAACATCCTGTTATGAATCAATATTTATAATTTGTATTTGTCAGTTAATACAACTTTAACAAATAAAAATTAAAGAAAATACTGTTGTAAGGTGTCTATTTTTACAACAACCATTTGTAATTACATTTTAGTAATTACTAAGTACCACTTTTGTGGTAGTTTGATAGCAGCATTTATCAGGATCAATGGTTTTCTCATTTGTACATCATTTACAATTTGCCTTTGTAGGTTCTCCCAACAAGAGGACCTGCAATAGTCTGCACTATTTTCTCACTTCTTAAATCTGTTCTGGCTGTGTGACTTACTTTCACCAAATGAGCACGGTAAGACTAGCATTAGACAGTTTAAATTCTAAACATTGGAAAGTCTTTCGTGGTTTCATTTTTTCTCTTTGAACTCAGCCTCCTTTATAAGAAAAAAAAAAAAAAAAAAACCTTAGTCTAGCCTATAAAATGGTGAGAAACTGCACACCAGCTCACTGCTAGCCAATGTCCAGAAACAGATCAAAGAACTAGCTGCTGATGATAGATGTAGACAGATGTAAGGAAGATCTGTGGACACTAGAAGGACTAGTTGACCTCATTCTGAATTATCAGCTTATGATTCAGGAGGTGATAAAAGATTAGTTCTTTTTCATCCATTGAATTTGGAGGTATTTTGTTGATCAGCAATCAGGTAACTGATGCAACACTAGTAAATGTTTCAAAAATATATAATATTTAGCAATATATTTAACATGAAATAAACTGTATACAACCATCTATCCACATATATAAATATCACCAAATATATGTTTCCTATTTTATATATATATATATATGCACACACACACACACACACGTGTACAATAATGCCTATGCCTATTCTGGGAGTGTTTACATTGTCAAAGATCTTGAAACTATTTGAATTTATATCTCACAGGCTATAGTTGAAGAGTTACCAGTACATGGGTAACATAAAATTATCTGACACTATTTAAATTAAATATTCATTCCTAATTGAACTATGACTAAATCACCTATGTTTGTGTCTAATTTTGTAAACTGAAGAAAGATTTGAAATACAGAAAGTTGATCTTTATTCTATTAAAGAATCATGATGATAATTTGTAGGATGTAGTACTAATTTTTCAAAATGCTTTCTTTCACTAGCTAAACTACTTATGTCCAATTAAAATTAATAATATGTAAAATTAATAGCTAGAATGTTAAGCTCATGAAAATGAAAACTAAAATATAGAGCCTAATGAGGCAAAACCCAAATAAACCAACAGAAAATATTTTGCTATATTATAAAGATAAATAGCTCAAGAATATCCGCTTATCTTAGTCTGGTGTGTTAATTCCTCATAAAGCTTGAGAATAACTTTTCTCTAGAGCTGTCAGATAAGAAGCCTGAATAATCAGGTATTAAAGTGAATGACTCTAGACCCTGTCTGTCTCTGTGTGTTCTAATACTGACCCCACTTGCTAATTAGCTCTATTTCAGAAATAGAACTTTGAACATAGCATTCCTGATTCTTCTGAACAAGCACAAAGATTGCAAAGGAACAAAAAGAAAATGGAGAAGAATCTAATCTTTAAAAGGAAATTTCAATATGTCTAAAGATGAATGGAGAAACATTTGTAAATTTAGGATCACAGTGCTTGAGAAATTAGGATTGAAATTAAGTTTTCATGTGACAAAAGTTTAACATTGATAGAATTATTTCTTTGATTTTGTTATATTTTCTAATTTTCAAGTGCTGTTAAGATTAATCTTTAGTAAACAATGCTTATTCAGTATATGACCTGAAACTTTATCTTAGCTTTTTAAGTTGGAACATATACAGGAAAGAAAAAATGGAAGTGTTGAGAAGTTATTAATTTGGTGTTAGAAGACTCATGTGCATAAAAAGAAGTGTTTAGGTATATAAAGAGAGAAATGTCTCTTCAACAGGAATACCCTAAGCTACTGAATAAGTGATACTGGAGGGTTAATATTTTGCTGCCTTGCTTAACAGGAAGGAGATAAAAAATTGAAATTTGATCAGTGTAATTCCTCTGCTCCTTCTCCTGAGACTGTGTGCGGAGTGCTGAGGACATCCAAGGACAGCTATGATTGCTTCAGTGGAGCAGAGCTTTCTATCCTAGCCCCCATTGGAGAAATCTTTTATTGAAGAATGGCCCACTTATTATAAATCATTATTCCTGTTCATGCACTGTTAGGAAGGAAGAATGACAGTCTATTCAAAGTGATACAAAGCTCAATGATTTCCTAAATTGCAACGAAACAACATGGAGTTTTACCAGTGAATTCTGGCTAATTTTTTTGCACTCATCTCTGTCTTATAATAAGCTGGGACCAGCCATAGCCTGAGAAACTTTTTAAACTCAAGGTAAAATTGCACAAGTTAAAACATTCTTATTTTTCTAAGTTGAAGTGCTTCACTTAAAGTATAAGGGAATGCAAGTTATTATTTTCCAATATAGTTTTTAAAAAATCTTGATAAATATGTTTCTAAGTACCTATTTTTACTTTTTAATACATTGTCTATGAAATTTTAATTGATAGTTTTCATAACCTAAGAATTCTAATGCTTATATTTTATATGGTTATTAAAATAATGAAGTCATACAAATATAACTGACATAACAAATACATTGATTTCAAGTCTTTTCAGATTAAGTTATCTGGTATTTTTATAAATTATCTTTTCTGAACGGGCACAGTGGCGCACGCCTGACATCCCCACACTTTGAGAGGCCGAGGGGGTGGATCACAAGGTCAAGAGATCAAGACCATCCTGGCCAACATGGTGAAACCCCGTCTCTACTAAAAATACAAAAATTAGCTGGGCGTGGTGGCACGTGCTTGTAGTCCCAGCTACTCAGGAGGCTGAGACAAGAGAATCGCTTGAACCCAGGAGGCAGAGGTTGCAGTGAGCCAAGATCATGCCACTGCACTCCAGCCTGGCGACAGAGCGAGACTCTGTCTCAAAAAATAAATAAATAATAAATAAATAAATAGATAAATATCTTTTTTTAAAGCAAAATTACCTAGGATGACTCATGACTTTTGGTTATTAAATTATATGATAACAAATAACATAAAGCTTAGATTTTTGAAATTTTTACAAGTTATAAAAATGTAGTAATAATAAAAATTTATATATGACATTTTTACATCTACAGAATAATTTTGTTTAATAAAACTCAAACTAGATAACCATAGACCAAGGAGATTATTTAATAATCATATTGAATTTTCTTATAAATAAATTATTTTAGTATTTATTCCAAGAAACATACACAAATACCGTTATAAACTAACAGTTCTTCATTAATTACAAAGAGAAAAAGAGTGACTTCATAATGGCAAAAGCTGGTGGACACATCTATAAACAAAAATCAAAGTTAACATCAGTAACAGTTGGACAAATAGACATTATATGCCTCCTGATGAGATGCACTGAGAAGGCATGTTGCATATTTCTTATTCCTGACCAAAATTTATAACCTGGATCCTTTATGATAAAATATAAAGTAAAATCACATTAGGCTACGTTCTACACACTAACTTGTGTTTGTTCTTCTAGAATTTCAGTGACTTTAAAGATAAAGATAAAGGAACTCCTCCAAATAAAGACAAAGAGATAAGACAACCAAACACAACGTGTGATCCTAGATCGTAGGATCTGGAGCTCAACAAAATAGCTGTAAAGGACGTTACAGAGATATATATGTCAAAAATTTAATGTCTACATATCAGACATTAATATTTTATTGCTCTAAAATGGGCCTTATTTTAATAATTAATTTTACAATGATTATACAATATTTTTTCTTTAGGAAATCACACTGAACTTATTGAAGTTCTTAAGCATGTCTGCAGCTTATTTTCAAATGGCTTTGCAAATAATAACAAATATCAAAAATACACACAAAATAAAAAGAAAAATGCATGGAAAAATAGGACAACTGTTAATATTTGACAAATCTTATCTTTCCTTTGTGTTTAAAATTATTTCAAAATAAAAAGTTTAAAAAGTAAAAAATATATAAATATATAAAATTGAACATATTGATCAATCAAAAACTTTAGGAAATGATTGTGGTGATATGTCATCCAGTAAAGAAACTATGTTCATTTCCTGATAAATAAAGTCTCAGTTTTGGTGTACTCTCCCTGAAAGCAAGGAGTTTAATAAATACCTTACTGTAATCTCATAAAGATACACCCTGTTTGAAGAACAATAAGGTGACACAATATCTCCGGTTTTCTGACCACCAGAAGGGAACAAATGTAATTCTTTTTTACTCTTTATTTCACATTTTTTCCATCAAATATCGCGCTAAGTTCCTGCTGTCTTTTTCACCAGGCCATGAGCTCCTTCAATTGCAGGCACCAGAGATAATTTACCTTGTTCCCATCATTTAGTACAGGGTATGAAATAGAGTTGTTGCTCAGGAAATGTGAATAGCTTATGGGTGGCAGTAAAATATTCTAGAAAAGTTGTAGTTTTGGGGTGTAGCCTGAGATTCTACTGTTCTTAAAAAGCTACCAGGTGATGCCACTGCCATTTGCTCATGGCCACACATAGAGTGGCCAGTTCTAAGATGGTAGATGCATATAAATTAATAACAAATTGTAGCCAATTACCATCAGGTTATAAGAAGTCCACAGTTTTGATTCCTTGTTTTCAATAATCTTTTTTTTTTTCAAATAAGAGTGGCATTCTTTTTTATTTCACAGCAATACTACAAAAACAAGGTTTGATTTTCATGCTGTGCCTCCTGTAAAATTATACAGTGGTCCACAGGAAACTGAATTAGTACATCAAATCACAGTGTATAAATAAGAACACAGATAAAGTGACTAGAAATCATCTAGAACTATGTCCTCTGAAGATGCAGGCACCGATAATTATGATCCAGGTCAGACAGTGTCAAAGGGCTCATCTGCGATAACTACCTCTTTATCCCTAGTTCACAGGACCCAGGACATCACACAGGGTGGCTGTGACAGTAGTTACAGGAGGACTGTAGCTTGGAACAGTTGCTTTAGTAATGCAATATCTTGGACATTAATTTAATTAAATTCACAATATTGATACTCATAATCCCATTGACAAAAATTCATTGATTATGCAATTTGCCATTCTGCAGTTATCCTGCAAGTCAGCGTTGTTTTTACAGGAGTCTGTTGATTTCTAGTGGATAGTATTTTAGGAGCACACTGAGGAGTGAGGAAAAGATTCTAGTTCCTAACAATAGCGAGACCAGTTTTCTCCCCAAATAAAAGCTTGTGTGCAAATATTTTGGACGTTTACATCCTGAATACGGAGTGTGTACATGAATTAATTTCATTTGTCTTCAACTTCTTGGATTCTGGATTCCCATGACCGTTTGGATACAATTTAGAACAAGTGGTACAATTTCTTTAAAATGGAATATATGTGTGTTTTTTTGTTAATGTCCACTATTATTTTGGTTGATATATACATATCTACTTAATACACTTGTTTAGGGTTCATTTTAATCCAATCTAGTAAATCATAAAAGAAGAAAAACATGTTGACATCTAGCTTATGTCAATACATTGTTGAAAGTTAAAAGTTATTTTTAAATATTTTATGTAAAATTTAATTGTTGAGACAATAAAGTGATGAGAATTTCACCAGAAAAAAATTATAATATTAAAATTTTATCTTTATGACTGTGTAATTATTTTAACATAAGTCTGTTTAAGACCTTAAGTTTTTATGTATTTTATAATTAAATTGGTAAGTATTGCAGTGGTTTGGGGGCTTCCTTGATGTTTTCAGACTTTATTTTCAAAGCATATTATATATGTCTAGCACATCTTTAGTGTATTTAACAGAAAATTATTTAAGCATCAGATATCAAGAAGTCATGCACTAATGATGGAAATCAGAAATTCCCTTATTCATTTTATTCAATTAGATAATATAGGAGTATTTCATAATTTATATCATTCTTTAGAATTTTATCACTTTTCAATTTTGGTTTCATAATAAAGATAATTATTTTATCAGCTATTAGGAAAGCAAACTTAAGATAAGTATTTAGTAATGACCCATATTTATTTGAGTATGTGTTATGATTTATAATTCTATATCGCAAAATTTTAAAGTATACAATTAAAATATATAAAATAAAATTACATGAAAACACACAGTTCTCTACTGTGTTATTATTTAATAATACACTGGGTTTTGATAGTTAACAGAGATTATGAAAGCACATAAAGCATATAATTTTACAATTCTTTTGACTATGCTGAGATAAAATTTCATCAAATACAGTTATTTCTACATTCTCTATAGGGAAATTAAAACAAAATCACTGAAAGACAAGGAATAAAATAGGTTTATCTAATTTCTCTCAGAAATGCAAAGGATCTATTAAATATTCATTTTACAGTCATATTTAAAATCATACAATAGTACCATACAGTGCATAAATACCTATTTCTCAGGTCTTGCATTTTTGTGGGATTTTGAGAGGTTGGTTTAGGAGTTTTAAAAATGTCTGTGAGTAGGGTAAATGTTCTTACAGATTGATACACGAATTATGTTTCATTAGGTGGGTCAGGAGGAGATGTGGCCAGATGATAGTTCTCTTAAGAAACCAGATGGAGCCAGTTAATTACTGTCTGCTGTTGGTTTATCTAATCCTTCAGGATTCATGTAGAATCTCTCCTTTTTCCCAGAGAGTACCTCTATTTATGCAGTTTCCTCCAGTCCAGATGTCTGTAAATTACAGCATGCAGGCACAATTCAGCCCATTGCCTGTTTTTGTTTTTTAAAAAAGCTTTATAGGAACACAACCATATTCATTTACTTACATGTTGTCTATGGCTACTTTCATATTATTTATTATGTGGCCTTTTACAAAAAGTTTGTTCACCCTGTTCTAGTTTGTTAAGTCTAATGTCTCATTGCTGTCTACAATATTTTACTACTCAGTCTGGATAATGTTATATCATTTGATCTTTTTTTTCTTTTTTTTTAACTTTTATTTTAGGTTCAGGTGTACGTGTGCAGGTTGGTTATATAGGTAAACTTATATCATGGAGGTCTGTTGCACAGATTATTTTCTCACCCAGGTGCTAAGCCTAGTAACGATTTTTTCTGTTCCTCTCCTTCCTCCCACCTTCCATCCTTAAGTAGGCCCCAGTGTCTGTTGTCCCTTTCTTTCTGTCCATGAGTTCTCATAACTTAGCTCTTATAAGTTAGAACATGCAGTGTTTGGTTTTCTGTTCCTGTGTTATTTTGCTGAGGATAATGGCCCCAACTCCATCCATGTTCCCAAATAAGACATTACCTCATTCTTTTTCATGGCTGCATAGTATTCCATGGTGTATATGTACCATATTTTCTTTATACGATCTGTCAATGATGGGCATTTAAGTTGATTCCATGCCTCTGCTATTATGAATAGTACTGGAATAAGCATTGGTGTGTATGTCTTTAGGGTAGAATGATTTATTTTTCTTTGGGTATATACCTAGTAATGGGGTTGCAGGGTTGAATGGTAGTTCTGCTTTTAGCTGTTGGAGGAATTGCTACAATGCTTTCCACAATTGTTGAACTAATTTATAATCCCACCAACAACATATAAGTGTTCTCTTTTTTCTGCAACTTCACCAACTTCTGTTGTTTTTTTTACTTTTTAGTAATAACCATTCCGACTAGTGAGAGATGGTCTCTCATTGTGGTTTTAATTTGCATTTCTCTAATGATCAGTGATATGGAACTTTCTTTCCCTAAGCAACACATTTGAAAAACATCTCACTTCCCACTTTATCCTCAAATCTAAACTTCCCTCTCACATCTATTTTTGTGTGTGTGTGTGTATATATATATACACATATATATATGGGTGTGTGTATATATGTATGTGTGTATATATATGTATGTGTGTATGTACATATGTGTGTGTGTATATATATACACACACACATATGTACATACACACATATATACATATATATAAAACATTTGATCAGAAGATGCATTTTACACAAGCTTACATTTGACATTTATTGTTCTGTTGTATGTATGTGTCAATCTCAATATACTAGCTAAATATGAGGGGAGTTAATGTCTCTGAAGTTCATTTGTAAAATGTTGATATAATTTAATAGAATAAAGAATATAAAATTGTTCAATAAATGTGTGGTACTAATGTAAATAGTACTTTCTTTTCCTAACATTAATCTATGTGCCACATACATATCTGTTTCATCTCCTCACCAATTCATTTATATAACATTTCTCTATTGAACACTTGTTTTGTATTGGGTTCTGTATTACTAGGCAGTGGGACTTTGACATTGCAGAAAATGTGCCTGTTCTAGAAAGAATTCACAGCCTGACAAGAAAGACAAGAAACTGCATAGACAATTGTTATAAAGGGGTTAACACACCATACAATTGATCCTTATAGGAGAATATGCTTAGCCCAAACTTTGAGGGTCTGAAAAGCAGCATGTACACTAAGACCTTAATCATCCACTAAACTTAGCAAGGGAAAAATAACAGTAGAGGAAATGGCATTTGTAGAGATCTGGAGGCAATAAAGACTGTGAAGTAAATAAGAAAATTGCAAATAGTTTTATAGTTGGATCATACAATGTTAAAGAATGAGTGGTTAGATATTTGCCTGAGAACGTAAAATGGGGTCACAGCAAATATTCCACTACTAAATTTACAGCAGTTATCTAATACATATTTATAGTTTAATTGCTGAGCAACTTTACAATCAGTCTATATTTACTATTATTAATGTCCCTTAGAAACTAGTTATAAATAGGGTAATTGGAGCTCATTGGCAATTGAAATGAAAGATTCTGGATGTCACCTGAACATATCATACATTGGCTATGAAAAGGTACATTTTTAAAGTAAAAGCAAAACATTAAAGTAGGCTTTATGAGTCTTTCTCTCTTCCTCTCTGTTTTTCTCTCTTCTCTCTCTTTGTCACACACACACACACACACACACACACACAGATACATATTTAACAAGAATCATCACCAAGGTTCTGATCCTAGCCATTTCCCTAGCTACTCAGTAAACCCCAGTAAATAATTAGACTTTATGCCCTTTTTGTAAAATTTACAAAAATAGTTTCTATTTTAGAAATTTTGTATCATATAAGCTAGACCTCATTATGTTCCAGATACAAAACTATTTTGCTGTTTATTACTTATTTCAATTATTAAACACATTAATATGTATTTATTAATGAGAATTAGCTACTATGCGCAGCTTATTATGATTAATCACATATCTTTCTTTTCAAGCAATTAATATAATAAGAAACAAATCCTTGGAATGTAAGAAATGAAGCCGAAACTAGATTGTATTGAGGAATGATCGAATTTCATTTTATATTTATTACTTTTTGTATCAACTAATCATTCCTATCAAACCTATGTTGCAATATCATTCATGTTAGCAGAGGTAATTATACAGCTGACTTTGTTCCCAGAATCCATAAAAAAGGTTTCAGTTCTTCATTTCTAGTTGATGACACTTCTTTTCCTTTTTTCTCTTTTATTATTATTATTATTATTATTATTATTATTATTACTATTTTGCTTTTCTTCTTTTACACTCTATTAGGTTTGGCTGGTACATCCATCATGTCCAGCATCTACTTTGCCATATATTTCCCACTTCTTTTTGTGATCTGTGCAAATCGCTTAGGGAAGTCCTTTTGACAAAGACAAACTGCCTACATCTCTTACATAGAAAACTATTGCATTGTTTTACGCCATTGAGTGAAAAACACTATCTATTCCCCTATGCATTAGAAATGTTATTTCTATCACATCATCCCATTCAAGTTTTTTATTGTCACACAGTGAGAGGCAATACAAACTTTCTCACAATTAAGGGACTCTGGAAAACCCATTTTTATGACTCTGGGCATCCCTATGCCTTTCAAGGATGTGACTCTTTAGATTCTTGGTTAAAAACTGTATGTTTGGAGGTAAATCTACACATCCTGATATCAATAATAAAAACAATAGCTCAGGCTGTTGATTATTAAGTTATGATACTGTTTTAGGCATTTTTCCTTTATCATTCTATTGAATTTCTACCAAGCGGACTCCAGGAGACCCACTGATTCTTGATTTATTTATTAATTTCACACCACTTTAGATCAATTTAGTGTACTTTGTAGAATAGTTTAAGACAAAGTTGAGGAGAAAATGAAGTAAAGTAAATCATTGTTTGCCACTTTTTAGGGGAAATTACAAATGCTTGCACTTTTTAATAATATCAAAATTCTACCATTAACAGACTGTAAAATCAACAGTTTTTATATTGTGTCTCTCATATTCTTCTCATAAAAATGTGACAGAGCTACAGTAGAGTTTTTGTAAATACATAAACGCATAGCAAAATACTTTACTTCAAGAAGTCTCATTGAAGTTACATTTTCCCTTTTTTGTTAAGTGATTGAACAGTAACGGGGACATTTTATTTTAACAAAACGTCAACTGATATACATGTAATTTTTAAGTATTCCTGTAGTTTCATCACAAAAGAAGTTATAACCAGAAAAGGATAATAAATCTTCATGAGAATTATTTTAAATTGGTACATGATTATGATGAAAATTAATCTCTGAAATTATTTTAATCACTTAGACTTTTAGTGGAAAATTATTACCTAATAGCTTAGTATTATCCATATGTTTGATATAAAAACACCAAGAATTAGAAGTTTTATTTAATAACATAAAAAACTATTATTCTGGTCCATTATGATAAAAGTAATTAAGTTTTTACTTTCTACACAAGATGATTCCTTGCTTACTTTTGCAAGTTATTGTTTGTTTCTGCTAAAAATTATACTATATCCCATCCAGTTTGAAAAGGGGGATATCTATTGCAACTCTCTGATCATTATAAGTAGTTTACTCTGTTTTTGGTCATGATGAAAATAATTTTTATGCATTGAAACCCCTTAAATAATTTGTAATGAGAAAAGCAATACATTTTAAGTGAATCTTTATTAAAATCTTGAATGTACCATTAGCACAACAGCAGTTTTAACACCAACAGTTCATAGTTCAGAAGCTGTATAGAGTCCTATTATTTCTTCTACATCAAGTAAAACTCTAAGAAAACTCTGCCTGCCTGAATATTTGTGTGTGTGTGTGTGTGTGTGTGTGTGTGTGTGTGTGTGTGTGATTGTGTCATACTCAGGTTAAAGGCCTAAGCAGAGAATTGGTTAGGTGCATTTCATTACAACAAAGTAGGGTAGGAGACAGGACTCAACATCAGAGGCCAGGCTTAGTCATTGGACCTAACTGAGGACTAGTTAAAATAGGGATAGGGCAGAAACATCTTTCCGTTTTGTATAAATCACTACCAAGTCTCAGAGAGAATTGACAGAATATCATGTTTTTTATTTTAGATCTTGGGTCTAACCAAGAATGCAGTCAAATGAGGGAAGCACAAACAATCCTTTAACTTTTTAGATTGGGAAGTTTGCTCAGGAGGAAAAACCATTCTTTCTCTCCATTCAATTTGTTAGGACTTGAAGGTTAAAAAAAAAGAAAAAAGAAAAAAGGAAAGAAAAATGTAGCAATAATGTGGAGAGTTGCCTCATGTCCACTAACCAGTCATTAAAATAAAAAAAAATAAAAGCACTTATGTTTAGAAAATATTTGTAACAATAAAGCAATTTTATAAATATAAGAAACATTAGGATATGTACATATTACAAATATTCTTCATGAGAATAGACATGTGTGCAGATATTATATTTACTACAACTTTAATTATAATTATACCAAAAGAAAAAAAACACACAAAAATCCTGACAAAAGGAAAATAGTCAAATGCTTATTGCACATTCACATACTATGTCTTAAAACCATATTAATAAGGTAAATTTAATAGAATAATAAAATGTTCAAAACAATACATATGATTGAACAATATGTTTCTGAATATTCCTTTGAGTTGCACTGGAACTTATGTAGCTGAAGTCATACCCACCCATTCTTTGAGAATAACAGTTAAATCCATATTAAATACAAACATCCATTTTAAAGAGAGTGTTTTTTCTGGGGTACCTAAAACTTCAGAGGCCACAGTCCCAGAGAGCAGGACATTGCAATGAAGAGAGTCTGTATTTATGGCCACTTTTTTCCACTGGAGCATTTTCTCCTTCAAAATGCAGGAAATAAGGATAAACAGAACACTTTAGTGTAAACATGATGATATTATTTTGGTTATGGAGACTACCATTATAATTATTATAATTCGAAGAATTTCGGCCAAGGGACAGAGAGATTGTCAGGACTAGTTTTCCCAGGGGTCCACAAGGCAGAAAGGGCAGAGGCAGTCATGAGCAATCTCTTTTCTTCTTCCACTGTTTTCATTTTGAAGTAAAATGCTTTCCCAGAAATTTTCCTTTATATAGCATTTCTTAGAATTGTGTCACATGTTCAGCCATAAATTCAGAAGAGTTTGGGTAATTGAACATGATGACAGCTGAGAGTAGCTGGCATTCACAAAGAATAGAGTTCCATTCCACTTCCTACTTCAACACAGAGATTTGTATACAAACACTATTTCCTGATGAGTTTTCTCTGTTTCTGTTATTTTTGCCATAAATAAATTATTTTATAGTATTTTTTACTGGGCATTTATATCTTGGTACTAAAACTTCCTTTTACAGTACATAAAATAATTGACTTATGATGGAAAAAATTCAGACATTGGATGTACATTGGTGAGGGAAATTGGGCTAGGGGGAATAATTCAGGGAAATTCTTGATGCCCTTAAAAACAAGTGTCATAAACAGATGCCTAATTTAGTATATCCATAGTTTAAACTTTACTGGAGAAACTTTTCTGAATATTGATGAATTGGGGATTAGTAAGTAAGGCAGAGCAATATATAATGTTGATTTCCAAAATGTTAATGTTGTTCTAAATAGAACATTTTTTTCTTAAGCCATTACCACCCACTTGATTTCTTGGAATTCCTGACTCACTGTGTATCATGCTGAATAAATGGCTCTTGTTCCCGGAGCTAACCATCTGACTGCTTACTGGCATCAATCAGTTTTAAAAAGGAATACTTGAGAGTGTTTATAAAAAGGTACTTCATCTATCAAACACATTAGTCAGATATTTCAAAAACACTGTTAAAGGAAAGTGTCTTGATAACCAATAGTAATAAAAGTGTCTCTCTTTTTCCAGTCATTTGTAAACATATCTCCAGGAGAAATTGTTCTATGCAGTATTTGTTAACAATTTCATTTGGCATTTGGGTATAGGTGTGTGTCGTTTAAACTTGACCAGAGTGATTAATTTAGAGTAGCACTCACTTGATAAAATAGAACTTAAACTATTGTGAGTGTGTGTGTGTGTGTGTGTGTGAATGATTCAGATTACTGTTTATTGCATTATCTGCCTATCACACAATAAGAGTACAATGACTTTTTATAGTCTTAGAAGAATACACTCCCCACAGTCATGTTCAGAAAATTCAACTTTAATCCCCACACTCGTAAGATTAATAAAGAATAAAAGATGCCAGAATAGGTGAGGCACAGCCTAAGAGAAGGATTATCTGATGATAATTATATAGTTTCATAAATAACAGATCATTTGAAATTTTAGCATTTTGTAAATATCTGTTTAACTTGTAAAATTGTTAGCTTGTAAAGTTGTTTTGTGGGAGTCTAATGATTCATTTCCTTTCCTGAATTCTCTCTTTATAGTTTTTACACATTCAGAATAATAAGATTGGCTGGTTGCTGGGCAAAAAAATGAGTAGAGAATTTTGTAATGAGGGCAGGTAACTGGAATTTATTGATTCTGTTAAAGTTGCAAATCTTAAAAGAGTATCTGTACAATAAACGTATTTAAATATATCTGCTTATGATTACAAAATAGATCCCCATTTCCTACAAAATTACCAGAAAGTCTTATCATGTCTTTAGGTGTCAATCTTGAAATCATCTCAAAGAATGTCCTGGTTTTCTCACATTCGAATATGAATTGTATATTCACTTTATCTCTGTCAGTGGCCACCTCCCAGGAAAGTCAGGTCATCACAAACGCACCCTCTGAAACAAAATTTCATTACGAATTTTTAGATGGCCCGACATCCTGGTCTTTATTTCTTCTACCTCTTCTCTGAATGTTCTGCAAAAGACATGTGAAGATCATGGGATCCCATATAGAAAAGGCTGGGCCATGTCATTGATTTTTCTGAACCAGACTCTTCACTTACTACTTCCTAAAAGTAACCTTTGTGTCGCCCTGGTGGCCAATATATGGACTATCTCCTAGTGATGCTCACCAATCTAAGCTAACATAGTTCTATGATAATTCCCCTCGGTCTGGGGATTCTTTAATAAAAACATTTTTATTGTCACACGTTGCTGAGTAGTCTCATGAACATTAATTTTACTGATGCTCACACATGCAAGTGGGTAAAAGTGATTTTTAGCATCAGCCATTGGCTACGTAGAACCATGAGTCCCTCAAAACACTTTAAGCCCTAGGATTAAGGTCACCTGACTCATTCTTTCTTTTGATAGGTGCATCACTTAATCTCAGAGGGTCCAGTTGTTTCTACTCATCTAACTTCAAGTATGAAAATCCCAGTTTATGATATATGTAGATTATTTTGATTTTTAATTAAATTGCTGATATTTCTTAATCTTTTTGATGAAGAGAAACTCCCAATTTTGCTACCTCAGAATTGCTGTCATTTTCAATGTCCAATTTTAGTCTACTACCATATTAATTAATTATCCCTAATATAAATGCATATTCTTGCAGGTTTCCCTTAAATTATTTTCCTCTTTTCTTTCAGCAATAGCTTTTATCTGAAGTCCCAAATGTCTTATATGCTTCCGAGTATTGCACTAGGTGTGCCTGGCTGTCCCTAGCTGTGACCCACTTTTAGCTTCTTTCATCTATCCATTGGGCTGTTTTACAAATCTACTAAAAGGTTTCTGGTTAAATTGTCTCCTTGGATATTCTGCTTACATAACACACTAAATTCCATTGTTCCTGTAATTGAGGTCTTCTTACTATGTGGCTTTCTCAGCTCCACTGTAATCCCTTCCACTCTATTGGTGCTCTTAGACCTTCTATATCCCACTGTAGGATAGGCAGAAAAATTCTAATCCCACTTGTACCCTGCCTTGACCATAAGATACAAGGGTTTATTTTTCAGTTTATCTGTTTAGATACCTTGTACATAAAGAGCCTTAATAATTCACTCGAATTTCCCCCAAATTATGTCCTGGAAATGAGAAACAAGCACTTTTGTATTGGTATGCACCACCCCCAAAAAATCATTTGGCTGTTTTCCTTTCCCTTCCAACCTTATCTGATCAAGTTTAATATTCTAATGCAGAATAGAAAGTGGCATAGAAACAAGCAGACTTATCTCTAGCACATGAATTCTTAGTCTTTCCTTGCAGTTCTTGGCAAAACAACACAGTCAGAAACCTGGCTCTTGGTATTTTATTTTTATTCTAAATTTCCTGATTAGAAGTTGAATTTATAGTTTGTTTTTATTGATATGTTAAACTATATGCAATATTTAAGATAAAACTTCTACAATAATAGTAATACCCATACAACTTTTAAAAATCATAATTTATGCAAATTCTTTGAATGTATTTTTCACGTTATAAAGTTAAATATCTTAATTACACAAAGTACAAAATACATATCCAGAATTCCATATTTACATCAATAAATTATTAAATAAATAAATTGAGCTTCAGACAAATCTGCAAGCAGAGTAATTCTGTTATATATGTAGCTATTCCACCCTTCAAGAGGATGGGATATAATATTCTACCTCCTAAATATAGGCTGCACATAGTGATTTCTGCTCAAAAAGAACAATGTGGAAAGGGAAAAAGTGCATCTTTTCAGTGGACAAACCTGACAAATATTACCTTCACCAGGTGATCAAGGTTGACATCAATGATAATAAGACATGCTGATATTATTTACCCATAATATGTGATAAAAAATAAATTTCACCGCTGTGGTCTCTATCCGCCAAGAGAGAAAATACCTATATAATGATAAGAAAAAATAAAACATAAACAAACCCTAAATGAAGGACATCATACACATTTTTAATCTTGGAATAGTGTTAACTCTAGTCCACATATGTGGTAAACATATTAAATTTACAAGAATTAGAAAATTAATATTGTCTTCATTAGGTCAAACCAAACTTACACAGATAGAAGAACAGTAAGATAATTTGTTCCAAGTCACTTTTCTCTGGAACTTGGAGAAGTTACTCAGTTTGTCCCATGGAAACAATAAAATCATGGGTTCTGCAATATTTGAAAAAAATATTTGAGAGAGTGAAAATCAAAGAACCACCAAAAGAGAAGAGAGACCAGTAAGAAATAGTATCAAAAAATCTTTGGAGGTGAAATTATTTAAGAGGAAAAAACTCCCAAATAATATTTAAGACTAATAATGTATTCAATTTTGAACATTGCTGAGTGTCAGGATTTTCATTCTTGTCCTCTCATAAATTATCAAATTGTCACAAAGAAAATTAAAGAAAAAATAAAAAATATACTCCAAGGAAACTAAATCCATAATGTGGAATATGTGTTGTGTTCACCAAACAACTCAGATCAGCAGAGTCTGGATAGAAAAACAATAAAGAGAATAAATGTAGGGAGTGGTGAGAGGGTCCAACTCTTATCAGATATCATGAAGTGCCAGAATAAAACAAAATTCATAGAGAATAGAGACTCACCATGAAGAAAAAAAGGATATATCTTGTTTAAAACACTAGATATGGGTCCTAAAGTGAACAGTGAACAAGGCATATGCAATTAGGTTCAAGGAAGGAAATATGGTAAAGTTATATAAACAATTTTACAGGTTAGCTGTACATGTGGAAAGCAATTTGTGTCAGTGGCTGAACAGATGGAGAAAGATTTTTAGTTTCTAGTGTCCTCTCCTCTTTCCACTGTCCCACAGGAAATTCTGGAAGTAGCTGGTGCAAGATAGAATAGCAATATATTCATGTAGTTTATACAAACACACGCCCACATATTTTTGTCACAGAATTAATTCTAAAATTAAAATTGAAAGTTCATGTATACACTTATATATAAGTATTATATATGTGTGTGTATGTATATATGTGTGTATGTGTATGTGTATATATATATATATACATACAGTCATGCCATCAAGACAATATGTGTGTGTATATATATATATACACACACACACAGGCTATATATAGTATATGTATATATTAATATATACATATATACACACATATACTGTATATATAAAATATTTATGTATATATATTTATGTATATATAAAATATTTAAGTATATATATAATATTTATGTTTCTGTATACACACACACACATACAGTCTTGATGGCATATGATGGCTCGAGTGTTTGAGGGATAAACAGAGTTAGAAGCTGTAGGAAAAGGAAAGATCAGCATTAACCTAGAGGTAAAATGAGAATCAGTGTTTCAAGTAGCATAATGAATTTTCAATTTTGGACCTGCAACATCTAGCAAACGTAGAAGAGTGCTAAATTAGACTAAGGGTGTTAGCACATGTGATACTCTGGCAGAAAAAAAAAGATTAATCTTTTTTTAGAAGACATCATCTTGATTTAGCGTACCTCATTTTTCATAGATCAACCTAATCTGAACTTCTCATCAAAGAGCATAAAAAAAGACTCTCAAAATAAGTTTGAGTCAGCTTATTACACAGAATTAGGGAAACCGCCAGGTGGCCAAGCTAAAAATGCAACAGTAGAGGCCATACTAACAGAATTTAGATATAAGTTGTTGCACACTATAAAGGAAATGAAGATTACATTTGAGTCCAAGGAAGTATAATTTCAACTATTGATAGAATTAAAATTTAAAACATCCTCAGATGAATATATCAGAGTCACTACATTTTATTATATAAACTACCCAGTTTTCAACCGAAAATTATTGGACATTCAAAGAAAGAAAAAGTCAGAAACCTGTGACCTACACTACAAAAAACAATTAGGTAAACAATAGAAACTATCTATCTTTAGAGTTTCTGGGTTTTGGATTTAACTGACCAAAACTTTAACGAAGTTATTAAATGCATGTTCAAAAACTAAGAAAAAAACATGCTGTTTTTTAAATAAACACAAAATACCTACAAAAAAAGAAAATTATTAATAATGTAAATTCTAGAGCTTAAACTTCCAATAACTAAAATAAAAACATCACTAGATGGGTTCCTCAGAATACCAATGATGCCCAAGTAAATAATTAATAAATATTAAGTTACATTGATAGAAGCTATTCAATATGAAGAATAGATGAAAAGAATATTGAGAAAAATAGAGCCTCAGATGTTGTAGGAAAAATTTCAAGCAATGAAACATATTCCATTGAAATAATAGAGGAGAGGAGAAAAGAAAGAGACAGAAAGAGTGTTAAATACTGGAGTTTCAATAACGAAGATAAGTAAATTCTGGATATCTAAGGTAGAGCGATGTGAATGTAATCAACAATACTGTATTATCTAATTCAGATTTTCTTAGAAGGTAGATATTAAGTGTTCTGAACACACACTACGTTAGGTGTTAGATATGTTAGCCTAATTATGGTGATTATTTCACAATGTATAAGTCTGTTAAAACATTAAGTAGTACACTTAAAATACATCAATTTTTTTGTCAATTGTACTTCCATAAAAATGAAAAAAAATGCTTTGTCAAATAAAATCCTCAACAAACAAGCAGACAAAATCAGCTCAAAAATTCCCAAAGAGGGGAGTGAAATTTCTTTTGATTCAGCTGCATCCAGTCTTCCTGTAAAAATAATAAAAAATAAATAAAGCAAGGGAACACAACATAGTCAAGAAGGGTTAGAGTTTCAAGGAAATGAACTGGAAATGCTGAAAAGAAAGTAGAGAGCAAAATAAACAATGCTGTAACCTTGAAGAAACACTTGAGAAGGTCACATTCCAGAAACACAGACCCATTGAAACACCAGGTTTCAATCATGAGATAACAGAATATTCCTTTCCTCCACAGCTTACCACCACATCAAGTCTCTAGTATGTTAACAACAAATTACTGATTAAAGAACTGCATGTCAGATTCTCCAAGGAGAAATAAGGAAGTCTAAAGCATAAGAGGAGGAAAAAAACAAAACAAAACAGGGACACGAGGACAAAGTGAAGCCTTTGGCAACTGTAGCTACAACAAACATTAAGCACAGCTAACTTCTAGCCATATTAACATATACTAAACACACACACATACTAAAGGATGTTTGACCTCATTTCTTATTGCCTGATCCAACATATTCAGCTTTAAGCAAAAATGACAAGACCTGCCAAAAGGCAAGAAAATACATAACATAAAGACACAATCCAATTATCAGACACAGAAGAATCATACCAAGAGTTGAAAATGACTCTGATTAATATGTTAAGGGAACTAATGGGATAAGGAGACCACACACAAGAACAGATGGGCAGTGTAAACAGAAAGAAACTCTAAAAAAGAACCAAAAGAAAATACCAGAAACTAAAATCATTTTGACAGAAATAAAGAATGCCTTCAGTGGGCATATCAGTAGCAAAATATTTATTATGGTAGTTTAGAATCATAGAAGCATTGCAAAGAGGATACAGAGACCTTGTGTGACCCCTAATTTCTCCTTTGTAAATTTCTTGTGGTAGTATGATACACACTTTTGAACAAATGTTACTACAATGAACAAATGTTAATACATTACTATTAACTAAAATACATAACTTATTCAGATTTCCTCAGTTTTCTCTACTGTCCTTTCTATGTTCCAGGATCCCCCTCAGGATACTCCATTACATTGGTGTGGCAGGTTCTCAAACTTCCCTTGTTCTAATAGCCTTAACCATTTTAAGGAGTCGTGATCATTTATTTTGTGGAATGTTCCTCAAGAGGGATGTGGCTGATGTTTTTCTCATTATTAGACTGGGGAATTTACTTTTGAAAGGAAAGCCATGGAGGTAAAGTGCCATATTTATTATATAATATCAAGGGTATATATAATCAGTATTACTTAATACTGTTAATATTAAATTTAGTGACCTGGCTAAGATAGTGTTTGTCAAATTTTTATACTGTGGTTATTCATGTTTTTTTCTCTTTTTTCATACTTTACTGATATGGAAAATACTAACAACTGACAGCCCATAAGGATGGAGTAGCCAACTAAATTATTTGGAATTCCTCTGTATGGGGAGTTCATTCATTCTTCCATCCTTCACTATTTATTAAATAATTTATTTATATCAGTATGAACTCATGAATATTTATTTTATAAATAGTTATGATCCAATAAAATTTGATTATTTTTTGTTTCAGTTGACTAAGTTTGACTATGGTGTGTTCTTTTTGTTAGCCCCTTTGTCCCTTTAGCAGACTCTCATCATTTTGTGAAGAATTTTTTTTTTTTTTTTTAGCATTTTCTTAACTTCTGGTTCTATAAGATGCTTTAGGCTCATCTGGTATATTTCCTGCCTCAGTAGTAGAAACAGCCCTTTCTCCAAGGAGCTTTGGTTTCTATTACTGGAGAATAATGTTCAAAACCAATATTCTGGAACTAAATCTGCTTGTTGCTCTTAGATATCATGATTTCTAGGCCCCCTCATCTGAAACATGGCTATGATCTTAATGTTTGTATCCCTCCAAAATGTATATGTTGAAACCTCATCACCAAGGTAATAGTATTAGAAGGTGGGGACTTGGGGTTGTGATTAGGTCATGAGGACAGAGCCATCATGAATGGGATTAGTCCCGTATAAAAAGAACTCCAGAGAGCTTTCTTGCCCATCACACCATATGAAGACACAGCAAGAAGGTGCCAGTTATGAGCCAGAAAGCCCTCACCACACACCAAATCTGTCAGCCCCTTGACTTTGCATTTCCCAGCACCCAGAAAAGTAAGAAATAAATTTCTGTTATTTAAAAGTGACTCAGTTTATGATATTTAGTTGTACCAGCCAGAACAAAGTCAGATACTAAAATAAAAGTGTGTACGTTAACCTATGTAGATACATATACATCTTTATACTTATCGCGATATGTAAGCATCTGTACCTATATTAAGTATTAGTTCATATTGAGGTCTCCAACTCTGATGTGTTACCACATGAATCATTTCAGCCATCTCCCATTGCATAGTTGTTAATGCACACTGTAACAGTGAGAAACCTGGTTCCAAATATTTGACATCATTTAATAGTTTTTCAGTTCTACTATACATGTGTAGCAATATTAGAATTTTTAAACTATAACCCCATGGGAAACAACTTTGTCCACTATATTGCTTATGTTTAGTTCATTTTACATTTAGAATTACAGACTCCACTAATTTCCAAAGCCACTTAGGCTATCATCTTTTCTTCCCAGTTAATTTAATTTTATTAATCTTTTCAAATAACCAGCTTTGAATTTTCTTTTTCTTTCTGTTGTTTTTCCTATTCTATTTCCAAAAAGAGAATAAAATTGTTTAGCTGTAAGCACAAGATCAGTTTGCAATAACATTAACAGTTATAAGCATCAGATTAGTTTTCAGATATCAGAGACTGCTTTTTTTGTTTCTTCTCAAGGGTATCACAGACACTATGATAGAAACATACATTGATACACTAAAGACACACAGAAGGGACCTATCTTATTAACATGCAGAGAGTAGAATAAGTAGAGTTCTTGGAAATTGTAATTGCAGAAGTGATAAAGTGAAGGAAGGGTATATAAGAAAAGGTTAGAGATGGAGTAAAAAATATGGAATGGTTGAAGCAGGAGCATTCCTTGGAGGCTGTAAATAATTTGGCACATTCAAAAACTTCAAGTCATTCAGTATACCAGTCACATACAATGTGGAAAAGGGTATAGTTTATTGCAGTTTAGCAAAGGCCAAACAGTGATCCTTTATATGCTATGTCAAGAAATTTGACCTTCCTTCTATATGGAGCTTTTGCTTGTGGTTTTGAAGTTGCGATACACTGTATTATGATATGTGGATTAGAAAATACAGCTGAAGGAGGAGGCTGGAAAAAAATGATTAAGATATGATAAGCAAATGTTATAAAACTGAATTTTTTAATTTTCCTACCTTTCTCAAATTTATGAGAAGTCTTATGATACTGCAGTTTGAATTACTGTGTTTATTCCTTCATTATACACTGCTCTGTAATTTTCTGAAATCGTATCTTAATGGAAGTCTTTTCTCTCTGATCCACCTTTATAGAGCTTTCTGGACAGGGACTATAATATTTTTCTCTGTAATTGCCCATGCAGTGTTAACTCTATAGATATGAACCACAATTACTATGTTTGTATTGATCAGTGAGTCACGGGACAGGCGAGATTGTGGACAATAAATTTGTATGCATGTGTGCGGTTTTTGTTGTTATTTATACTGACATGAACAGTTTGTGTTAAGCTATTCTGAAATTGAAAGTAGACTTAACATTGAATTGTTAGAGTCAAAGCAAAGAAAATAGTACTTATCATTTCATTGCAATTATAATAAAATGAAAAATACTAAATAACAAATGGCGGGACTTATACAGTAAACATAACCCTAAAGGATAATATTATCCTGATCCTTTTATTCAACTCATTCAACATGTATCTCTTTATCCTCTTAGTGTTATAAAGTTTAGATATTATTGTATATTGATCCAGTATTAAAAATAATAACAATTTAACAAAAGACACTATAGTTGATTGGCTTAGGGCATTACATGTCCATAAATCATGAAATACTTGGTAGACCACTGGTCTATGACGCTGAGGTCTTTGTTTTATTTTCATGTTAGGTTGTAGCTGTCACCATCGGGCAAGACATTTAATCTCTATGCACCTTAAATGACACATTTATAAGAGAAAAGGGTTTAAACTAGATGACTTTTCAGTTTTCCTCTTATTTGAATATTCAATGGTATGTTCAACACATAAGACAAGAAGGATTTTCATCACTATAGTAAGAGATTTGTGTTCTTTTACAAAATTCTTGGCCAATTTTTAATACATGTAATTCTACAACCCCATTTAATTGATAGATTTGCATCATTGTCTAGTTTCATAAGGTTTGATGAAATATAAATATTGAGTTTTTTTTCTGTAATTGAATTTATTGATAGTCTAATTTCCCAAGTATTATAACTACACTTGATCAAGACGATGAAAGTTTCCATGATAACAAATCTAAGCATTTTTTTTTTTGGTACAAAATGTTCTCCAAAGGTTATTGGTTGACTGCTATGGAAGATTCAATGTTAACAGAAATGCAACATTGGTAAGAAAGTAGCAAAAGAGTATTGTAAATAATAAGAAAATAATGCAGTAAAATGGTTTTTGTAATTATACACAGATGAGTTTACATTAGTGATTTTGTTTATTAAAAACAAATTAAGCCTAATTTTCTTTCCTGAGTGGGCAAAAAAAAATTTAAGGCAGTCATGCTAGCTCTGGAAGTGTTAGAATTTTTTCTTCTGACCAGGTCTTGCTCTGTAGCCCAGACTGGAGAGCAATGATGAGTGAGGTCGTAGCTCACTACAACCTTTACTCCTGAACTCAAGTGATCCTCCCACCTCAGCCACCTGAAGAGCTGAGACTACATGTGGACCACCACACCTGGGTAATTTAATATGATTTTTTTTTTTGAAAGACAGGGTCTCCCTATGTTGGCCAGTCTAGTTTCAAACTAATGGCCTCAATTGGTCCTCCCACCTTGGCCACCCAAAGGGTTTGGATTGCAGACATGAGCCACTGCTTTGGGCTGGAAATAGCTTTGGAAATATTACTGTAGCACTGCTATGGGTTAATAATGATGCTTTGAAAAAATATTTTTAAAATCGCTATAATTAAGACAAGATAAGAATGTAAACAGAATAATAAGGGAGGGTATCTCTCTCACCCTTTCTCTCACCTCTTTCTTACAGAATGCCCTACATTAATGTACAAAGCTAGCTGCCATTCAGATGTTCCAAATAGCAAGCAACAGATTGTGGGAAGGAGTCAAAGTCATATGATTTGTAAACTGATTAAAAACAAAGAGTAAATTAATCATGTATTCTTTAAGCTTAGACGAATGCTAGAACAATTTTCATAGTACTGGATGTCTGTTTTTCTCTTCCTACTCAGTTTCCATTTCACCTTTGACAAAAAAACCTATCATAGTTCAGAGGAACCATCCTCCTCACTCAGAGTCCAATGTTGCTTGTAGAAATGACATTGACTCCAACTTCACCTCCAAGTTTGGGATAAAGAGCCAGATCTGGGCCAATGGCTTATCCTTGTTGCCCTGATTCATGAATAGGTGCATGATATAATTTGGCTTTGTCCCCACCAAAATCTCAATTTGAATTCTCACATGTTGTTGGAGGGACCCAGTAAGAGGTAATTCAATCATAGTGGCATGTCTTCCCCGTGCTGTTCTTGTGATAATGAATAAGTCTCATGAGATCTGATGGCTTTATAAGGGTGAGTTTCCCTGCACAAGTTCTCTCTTTGCCTGCTGCCATCCGTGTCAGACATGACTTGCTCCTCCTTGCCTTCTGCTGTGATTGTGATACCTCACAAGCCACGTGGAACTGTAAGTCCAATAAACCTCTTTCTTTCATAAATTGCCCAGTCTCGGGTATGTCTTTACTAGCAGCATGAAAACAAAATAATACAGTGCATGATCTAGTTTGGGCCACCTGTTATCAGACTCACTATTGCACTGAAACTTTTGGTAAAGCAAAATATATTTTCCACATGGATTGCTGGAAAATAGGATATAAATAAGATAAAAATAGGACATAAAAAGCGGGCTACAGCCAACTTCCTGTAGTAGGTGATAATAACTTGCCTAAAGATGAAGTACAGCCCAGCTAGGCTTGGATTTCTTAATTAAACAGAGAAATAAGCTTTCTTTTCATACACTCATTTAAGTAGAGTTGTGCTATTGGTTTACAAATAAAAGTCTTCACTAATCGCTTTAAATTACTGATATTTACGACTTCATATCTTTGTCCTTGTTTTGTGTTGTTTTGATCTTATTGATCTTGCTTTGATTGTGTTAATTATTGTCAAGTAAGTAAACATTCCAATGGCTCTTATGATTACATTGTTACTGAAGTCATATGAAAAAAAAGTTCAGTTGGGCATGGTGGCTAACACTTTGAGAGGCCAAGGCAGGAGAATTGCTTGAGGCCAGGAGTTCAAGATCAGTCTGGGCAACATAGCAAGATCCTGCCTCTATTCAGAGAAAACAAAACAAAACAAAAATTAACAAAAATACACATGGTATATTGTTACTAAGAGATTTTTATATTTTTCAAGTCATTTGGTATAGAATAGTTTAATAAAACATCAAATGAAGTATGCAAATTTTAAAAAACATAAATATTAAATATTGATCAGCAAATAAATTGGTTTACTGGTGGATTTAAGTTGTATTGTACTTAAACTAATAAAAAATAAAAATTCCATCCTATGGAATATTCTGAGGTCAGTTATTTATTTCTAAAATATATGAGCTTGTTTGGTAAGGTTTTACTTTTATATGGAAGAATACTAAAAAAAAGAGAGATGTATACAACATAGCTGGTGAAATATTAACATTTCGTATGTGGTCTCCAGAGGAATGACTCTGATTGATTTTTTCTGTCTTGAAAAATAACATTCTTATTATAATATAACATAAGTTGAGCTACAGCTAATTATATTAAAACTTCCAGCTACAGAGAACCTTTATTTAACATTGAACTTGAAATAGTACTTTAGTCCTGCCAAGACAATATTTTTCCCATATTTTAACTGCTGTAGGTGTTTCAGCTTCAAAGAAAACACATCCTCTGCAGCCCTCATCTGGGTCTTTTCCATGAGATGGAAAGAAACCGACACACTAATGGAAGGAATAGTTAGAAGTTGGTACCGGGTAGCCTAAGGTTAAAAAAGTCAGTGCTAGACAAATTCCTATTATCTACACCCTCCAAAAATAAGTATAAAGGCAAAAGATTATTCATGCTCCTCATTTCAGAAGATTAAGGAGGTAAAGCTGAGGAAGTGGATATCTTTGAATGTAGTTTCTGCTCAATGATGAAGCAAAAGTAAATCTTTGAATTATGTCAATAAGCTTGAAGCACCAATGAAAATGGAATATAAATAATGCACTAAGACAATCAGAAACCCAAAATATATGCTTTATCATATTTTTTTTTCTCATACATGTTGTGTTTCTTAAAGTATCAGGCATCATATAGCAGGAGCATGTACGTTTTTTACTAAAAACTCTAAATTTTGGTCTATTGTGAATACAGTGACTCAGTATCTAGGGGTAGAGGAACATCAATTATTGTTATGTACTCTTAACGACATTCTTATTTTATTGACTTAGATCTTAGAGGTACCTCAGTCAGCTGTATTGCCCCAGTTTTATACGAACGTTACCTTCAACTTGTATACAGCCCACATTCTCACACCCTGGTAGTAAAGTTCTGTCCTTTAGAAACCAAATTTGGTCTTTTCTGCATCTACTGATGAAAATTAAAAGTGATTACATGATGAGATTGCTCATGAGGAAGAATTCTGCTCCAGTAGCATCAACATCTTTGTCTTTGTGTGAATGCATTGAAATGTATTCAATATGTACTTGAATTTTTCTTTTCTTTTCTCTCTTATTTAGTAAAATAATAGAAAAGAAAATAAAAGCTGATATTTGAAAAAAGTGCTGTACTTGAAAATATTAAAATAGAACAGTATCCATGAAAAGTAGTGGCATTTTAACCTTGTTCTGAATATTGTATTTGTTGAAAAATAAAAATCAGTGATATAAATGCATACCTAAAATATAACTTTCATGCCAATGTCTAAAAAGCGATATATTTGATGAATTCCAAAAGCATTTAAGTTCTTGGTATTGAAAAATGCTTTGCTTTTATTTTACTTTTGGATAAATTAATTTCATATATCTTTTTCTTCAAAAAGTGTATCATGCAAGAAACTAGGGGATCATCCATATATTTAATATTGAGAAAATTAGTTCAATTATTTACCCATTAGAAAACACTTGTTAAGCACATGTCTCGGTTCTAGAATTGAGATATATATATAGTAACAACTCTCCAAAAAGACCCTATACCAATAGAGTTTGCATTCTAGTTAGAAAAATGTAGGCATTAAACAATTAATTGGCTGCATATTTGTAGGAGGAGACTCATATTATATACTAAAACAAAAACAAAATACCAAATGGGGTTTAGGCTACTCCTGATGAGGCTACTTTGTGTAGTGACCTTAAAGAATTGAGGGATGGGATCATGTGACTACAGGAGAAAGCACATTTCAAACACAAGAGTAAAAGCTATAAAACAGGACCTTTCAAGCATGATTGCAGAACAACAAGGGGGTCAGTGTGGCTAGAGCTAGGTGAGTAGGAGGGTAGAGAAGGTCACAAAGTTAGGGAGGTTACAGGAGACCAGTTTACACAGTAATTAACTTTTATTTTTCTGCATGAGATGGAAAGCCAACGGAAAATGTGGGGCAAGTGTCAATATTATAAATTAGATACCTTTTTGAAAGTATTTCTTTGATACATGAGTAGAGAATAGCCTACAGAAGTCCAAGGAAGGAAGTAGGGAGACCTGTTATAAGAATATTGAAATACCTCACGCTAGAGATAATGCTGGCTCACATGAGAATGGTTAAAGTGGAAACTCGTAGAAAATGATTGGGTTCTTATTTCTGTAGTTTTTAGGGTACAGGTGTTTTTTGGTTAAACATGGATGAGTTCTTCAGTGATGAATTCTGAGGTTTAACTGTACGTGTCAAATGAGCAGTGTACACTGTATCCAATATGTACACTGCCAATCCCCACAGCAAGTTCCGGAAGTCCATTACATCACTCTGTATCCTTTTGTATCCTCATAGCATAGCTTCCACTTGTAATGAGAACACAGTATTTGTTTTCCATTCCTGAGTTACTTCGCTTAGTATAATAGACTCTAGCTCCATCCAAGTTTCTGCAAAATATGTTAGTTTTTTTTATTCTTTTTATAACTGAGTAGTATTCCATACCACATTTTCTTCATTCATTCATTTGTTGATGAGCACTGGGTTGAATCCATATCCTTGTAACTGCAAAGTATGTTGCTATAAACATGCATGTCCATGTGTCTTTTTCATATAATGACTTATTTTCCTTTGGGTAGATACCCAGTAGTGGGATTGCTGGAATGAATGGTAGATCTAGTTTTAGTTCTTTGAGGAATTTCCATACTGTTTTCCATAGAGGTTGTACTAACTTACATTCTTACCAGCAGATTACATTTTTACAGTGTGCCGTTTTCACCACATCCATACCAACATCTCTTGTTTCTTGACTTTTTAATTATGGCCATTCTTGGGAAAGTAAGATGGTATCTAATTGTCGTTTAAATTTGCATTCCCTATTGATTAGCGATTTTGAGCATTTTTTATTTGTTTGTTGGCTGTTTGTATGTCTTTTGAGAAATGTCTTCCATGTCCTTTGCCCACTTTGTGATGGTATTATTTGCTTTTTGCTTACTGAATTTGTTTGAGTTCTTTGTATATTCTGTATACTAGTCCTTTGTCCAATGAATAGTTTGTGAATATTTTCTCCAACTCTGTCAGTTGTCTGTTGCTCTGGTGATTATTTATTTTCCTGTGCAGAAGCTTTTTGGTTTAATTGGGTCTCATTTATTTATTTTGTTTTTTGTTGCATTTGCTTTTGGAATCTTAGTCTTGAATTCTTTGCCTATACCTATGTGCACAAGAGATTTTCAAATGTTATTTTCCAGACTTTTTATGGTTTCAGGTCTTAGATTTAAGTCTTTTATCCATCTTGAGTTGATTTTTGTATAAGCTGAGAGATAGGGATCCAGTTTCATTCTTTTACATGTGGCTTGCCAGTTTTCCCAGCACCATTTATTGCATAGGATATCCTTTCCCAATTTACGTTTTTGTTTGCTTTGTTGAAGACCAGTTGGCTATAAGTATTTGGCTTTATTTGTGTGTTCTCGAAGTGTCTATTCTATACCAGTACTGTGCTGTTTTGGTAACCATAGGCTTGTAGTACAATTTAAAATCTGGTAATGTGATGCCTCCAGATATGTTCTTTATGCTTAATATTGCTTCGGCTATGCAGACACTCTTTTGGTTCCATATGAATTTTAGGATTTTTTTTTCTAGTTCTGTGAAAAATGATGGTATTTTGATGGGAATTGCATTGAATCTGTAGATTGCTTTGGGAAGTTTGATTGTTTTCACAATATTTATTCTTTTCATCCATGGACATGGGATGAGTTTTCATTTGTTTGTGTCATCTATGATTTCTTTCAGCTGTGTTTTGTAGTTTTCCTGGTAGAGTTCTTTTGCCTCTTTGGTTAAATATACTCCTGGACATTTTTTCCAGCTGTTGTAAAAGAGATTGAGTTCTTGATTTGATTCTCAACTTGGTTGATGTTGGTGTATAGCAGTGTGACTGATTTGCGTATATTGATTTTTCAACCTGAGAGTTTACTGAATTTGTTTATCAAATCTAGGATCCTTTTGGATGAATCTTTAGGGTTTTCTAGGTATTCAATTCCATCATCAGTGAAAACTGACCATTTGATTTCCTCTTTTCCAATTTGGGTGTCCTTTATTTATTTCTCTTGCCTGATTGCTCTGGCTAAGACTTCCAGTACTATGTTGAATAGAAGTGGTGAAAGTGGGCATTCTTCTCTTATTCCAGTTCTCAGAGGGAATGCTTTTAACTTTTCTCCATTCAGTATGATGTTGGCTGTGGGATGGTCATATTGGCTTTTTTGTTTTTACTTTGAGGTAAGTCCCTTCTATGCCTGTTTTGTTGAGGGGTTTTTTTTTTATCATAAAGGGATGCTGTATTTTATCAAATGCTTTTTCTGTGTCTAGTGAGATGATCATATAGGTTTTGTTTTAATGTTGTTTATGTAATGTATCATGATATATTATCTTTTTGCTCTGCTGTTGGATTCAGTTAGCTAGTATTTTGTTGGGGATTTGTGCATTTGTGTTCATCAGGGATACTGTTCTGTAGTTTTCTTTTTTTTTATTATGCCCTTTCCTGCTTTCGGTATTAGGGTGATACTAACTTCATAGAATGATTTAGGGAGAATTCCTTCTCTGTGTTTTTGGAATAGTTTTAGTAGGATTGGAACCAATTCTTCTGAATCCTTCTGGTCCTGGACTTTGTTTGTTGGCAATTTTGTTTTATTATTATTACTGGTTCAGTCTCACTGCTTGTTATTGGTCTGGTCAGGGTTTCTGTTTCTTCCTGATTTAATCTATCAGGGTAGTATATTTCCAGGAATTTATCCATTTCTTCTAGATTTTCTAGTTTGTGCATGTAAAGGTGTTCATAGTATCCTTGAGTGACCTTTTGTATTTCTGTGGTATTGGATATAACATTTCCAGTTTCATTTATAATCGAACTTGTTTGGATCGTCTCTCTTCCTTTCCTGGTTAATTTCACTGATAGTCTATCAATTTTGTTTGTCTTTTCAAATAAAATCTATTTGTTTCATTTATCTTTTGTATCTTCTTTGTTTCAATTTAATTTAATTCTGCTCTGATCTTTGTTATTTCTTTTATTCTTCTGGCTTTGGGTTTAGTTTGTTCCAGTTTCTCTAGTTCCTTGAGGTATGACATTAAATTGCCAATTTGTGCTTTTCAAACTTTTTGATGTAGACATTTAATGCTATGAACTTTCCTCTTAGCACTGCTTTTGATATATTTGAGCAGTTTTGATACCTATTATTTTTCATTTTAAAGAATTTTAAATTTCCATCTTGATTTCATCGTTAATGCAAAAGTTAATTCAAGAACAGATTATTTAATTTCCATGTATTTGTATATTTTTGAGGGTTCCTTTTGGAGTGATTTCCAGTTTTATTCCACTGTGATCTGAGAAGATACTTGATACAATGTTCATTTTCTTAAATTTGTTGAGACTTGTTTCATGGCCTATCATATGGTTCATATGGTCTATCTTGGAGAAAGTTCCATGTGCTGATGAGAAGAATGTATATTCAGAAGCTTTTGAGAAGAAGGATCTGTAAATATGTGTTAAGTCCATTAGTTATAGGGTATAGTTTAAGTCCATTTTTTTCTTTGTTGACTTTCTGTCTTGATTATCTGACTAGAGCTATCAGTGGAGTATTGAAGTCCCCCACTATTATTGTGTTGCTGTCTCATCTCTTAAGTCTAGTAGTAATTGTTTTATAAATTGGGGATCTTCAGTGTTAGGTGCATATAAGTTTCAGATTGTAATATCTTATTGTTGGACTGGTCCTTTTATCATTATGTAATGTCTTCTCTGTCTTTTTTCCTTTAAAGCTTTAAGGTCTGTTTTGTCTGATCTAAGAATAGTGACTCCTGCTTGCTTTGGTTTATATTTGCATGGAATATATTTTTTTACCCTTTAACCTGGTATTTATATGAATCCTTATGTGTTAGGTGAGTCTCTTACAGACAGCAGACAGTTACTTGATGTTTTTTAAAGTCCATTCTGCCATTCTCTATTTTTAAGTGGAGCATTTAGGCCAATGACATTCCACAGTAATATTGAGATTTAACACTATTATTTTAAAAAATATTGCTGAGGAATTAGATGTGGAGACAAAGGAAAAATGTGTCCAATAATTTTGCCTGGAACATCTCACAGAAGGGAGTTACCAGTTTTTGAGATGAGCAACAACATCAGCATATAATGAGAATTTGGAGGATGGGGAGTGTGGCATAAAATATTTCATTGAAAACTTGTGATGTGAGTTTTCTATGCAACACTCAATGGAGATGCCAGGTAAGCTAGCAGGTTCATGAGTGGTTTTTCAATGTAGAGAATAAAATGAAAACATAATTTTATAATCAGCAGCAAATGAATTACGTTTGAAACCAAGAAACCGGATATGATAACCCAAGCAGTGAATGAAGACAAAGTCTATCCAAGAACAGATTCTTGGAAGAAATTAGCACGGCAAACAGAAAATTTTGGAAGAAACTTTGGAAGAAATTAGCACAGGAAAAAGAAAGAAAAACTAAATACTGAGTTGAGAAAGACAGAAAAAAGTAATGTTTCTTAGCAGTCAAAAACATGGGGGGTGAGAGGAGAGTGAAAATTGTTGTTGAATTTTCTATTTCTAAGTAACAGGATGGCTGGCGATAATTTTATCAATGACATTGGACAAACAAGAGGAGCAATCTGCAGAATTTGATGCAGAACAAAAACACAATATCTTCCTTAAAACTCACAACATATTTCCTTTGATGTGCCAATACAACCTAGCATGCAGAACAGTTATTGATTATCAAAAACAGTTAATTAAGAAGTATCAAGAAAGTAACTGTTCCCTTGATAACTGTAGGCCATAATTTATACAGCAGATGATGGGCAGTGGTAGTTTAGTTAACATATAAATTGAATTTTTACACACTCTAGTATTCTTGTTTCTTTCTCATCCTATTATTTTCTCTTCCTTAGATCTGTTTTATAAATAGGATTATTATTGATTATTCTGCTTTGAATTAGAATGCTATTTGTACTACTCAAGATATATAATACCAATACTATAATAAATATTGATATTTTAAAAGGTAAACTTTTAAAGTGTACAACAGTTAAATATTTTGTCTTTAATTGCTAAAATTTTAACAATATTTAATTGTAAAAGGAGAGGAACATGTCACAGTATTTAGTTAATAAAGAAATTATAAGCTACCTGTGATATGTAAGACTTTCATTTTTCCCTAGTTGTAGTGAATTGGTTCACTTTTGTACTAAAAATATAGTACATTTTGATTATAAAACCTCTGAGATTAGAAGACATCACTTTCACTTTAGTTTACTGATTATAATACTTAAAGCAGCAGAGACTTTCAAGTATTATTTTAGATTTTTTAAATCAAATCTCCAAGAATTGTATTTAGGATGATCACATTTCAGTGCTTTCCACAAAAGAAATAAAGATTTTTAAATGAGAGTAACAGATTGAGTTTACTAAAACAAGCTTTGGCATAACTCAGTCTGTGCACCCATGCATCTGCAAGCTGTCTATTACTCAAGCATTTTCCAGCAAAACTCATTCTGTATTAAGCTCTGAAGCAGCATCTTTAGTTCATTACTGACATTTCCATATAATATTTCTACCTAGAACCCAATTAATTAACCAAACCAAAATAATTATTTTCTTCAAAATGTTCTCATTTTTTGTCAGTCCCAGATAATGACATCACCAACATGCCTACATCTTATACTTCAAATTTTAACATCATCTTTGAGACCTCAATTTCCTATTGTTACTATAGACATCTTCTTAATAATTCATATCAATTATTTCGTTCAGCTTCTGAGAAACTCTCTTTAACAAATAATTTCAATAGGTTTTTTCTTACAAAAGTATTATATATTCATTATATAAGATTTAGGAAATGTAGACAAATCTAAAAATTAAGTTAATACTTGCTCATAATCCTATATACTGGAGAGAATTACCATTACTATTTTATTGTGCATATATATTATATATAATATGCAATATAATATTTAATATTCACATTAATGCATATAATTTACAAAATAGAAATCATTGTATATATTTTGTTTAACCTAGATTTCAATGTCCTGTAAATATGTTTCATTGCATTAATTACTCTTCCAAAACAGTCTCTCCCCATTTTTTGTTGTTACCTAGTTAAGAGGAACCACAATCTCTTCATTTGAAAATTATGTTTATTTAACTTAAAATTTGTTTTTATACTAGTAACATAATATTCCATTAACTGGATAGACCATAATTTATTGAAGTCTTTCCTATTGATAAGCTTATAAACTATTTATAATTTCTCATCACTGCAAACAGTATGCCTAAGATTATCAATTTCACTAAATCTTTCTGCTAGTATTTCCTTATCTATTCCTAAAAGTGGATTGGTAAGGGTGAGCATCTATTGTGGCATTTGATATGCACTGTGCAAAGACCTGTTCTACTTTTCATTTCCTGCAGAGAGATCTCACACTCATTAGCATGATGTTTGAAGCTTTCAACCATTTGGTTTTAAATAGTCATTATCTATTCTAGTTTTTTGGCCTGCTAAAATTGCACCCACTCACACAGCTACACTCTAACTATAGTAAACCCATTTGGTTGTTTTGATTCAAGTGCATATTTCTGCCCTTTGTTTAAACATGTCAGAGTTGTTTTTGTTTTTGTTTTCTACATTTCCTCTTTGTTTATTTATTGGGTAATTTCTCAGAAGCAAGGTTTTCAAAAAGAGGAGAGAGATGAGAGATTCTGTAAAGAGAAATATGAAGCCCCTCTTTTTGAGGAAAGGGGAACACGTAAAAACCAGCTGAGGGAAAGGACCAAGTTTTTGGAGGTGAGAGATTAGAGAACATGGAAAAAAATAACAATTTCTCTGAGAACTGGATTTATCCACAGTCAAATTTCAACTCCTTTTGTCCTGTTCCAATTGTTTGAACACAGACTTAAAATAACTTTATCTTTTCTCTAATTTTGGTATATGGAGTTGTATCCCTTTTTCTGTGCACACATTCTCATGTACAACATGCAATTATAAAAACAGGATTGGTTCCAATGCTGTTATGCTGTCTGTAGCCTTCCTCCTTAACAGTCTGTCATGGGCCAATCTTCTCATGTCAGTCAGTTCACATATTCATCAACGTTTTAATAGCTGTATGGTAACTTCTTTAACTGTTCTTCTAATGGACAATGAATTTGTCTCTATTTTTGTATTTTTAACAACATGTATTCATGCTTCTTTTCGGCCTTGAATGTCAGGATTTCTGACATCCTATATAAAGACACCTGTAGTGTGAAACATCTGTGTCTCCTTGGATAACAGTTTTTCTCCCCTTTGTGCATTTCATGGTATTATGTGTCTCTAATATATAGTATGGATGAACCTTCATGTAATAAAAGTGTGTGTGACTGTATCTTGATTTTGACCATTATGCCTAGCAAGTGGCTTAAGGTAGAGTGTATTTCAGTTACGTGGCTTAAGGTAGAGTATATTTCAGTTATGTTTGTATATACTAAAATACCTTGCTCAAAAGAACAACAATACGTGATTTGTATTACGTTAGATATCCTATATAATAAGTGTAGCTTCTACATTGTTCAGCACAGCTTAGATGTTTGTGGTATACACTAGGTATTATATCATAAAGTGTTTTAAATATCTACAGTAAAGATGAATTCTGATAGTGAAAAGCAAAGTGGGAATATTAAATCTTTCTGGCATGTATGATGGCCATGTGCACCCATGTATCAGAGAGCTGTCTATTGCTCAAACATTCCCGAGAAAATCTGACTCACTATTGAATTCTGAACAACATTTTAATTGAGTTTAGGGCCAATATTTAAATTAGTGAAATCTTTAATTATCAACCTTTATTTCATACTCTTTCATTTGTCCTTAATACTAATACATTTTAAATGTTCCATAAATATAAGTAATTGCATAGAATTTTTATAGAGATACATGAGGAATTTAATAGTTCAAAATTCATTAAAATGCTCAGAACTTAGAAAATCTGTAGTAATGTTACTGTTGTATGCAACAAAAGGTTTTATATGATACTTTACTCCAGATTACATAGAATGAGACCTAATGTTAAAAACATTATATTCTCACACAGTACACTGGATACATCTTTTTATGAGAAGCAAGTGTCTTTTAAAAAATATTTGATTAAATATCTATAAGATTTGCATTCAGGTCTAACAGTGATTTCAGCAATATAAATATAAATTTGTGACAAATCTTCACAGCAATTACTTAAACAGAGCTGTTTTAAACTTTTTGGTGGTTTCAAGTGTAGTTTTCCCATTGTGCTTTGTTTTGAAAATGGAATTTTACCAAATGCAATCTTTTCTAAAATTTTATTAAAAAATGTTTGTGGGTACATAGTAGGTGTATATATTTATGGGGTACATGAGATGTTTTGATATAGGCATGCAGTGTGAAATAAGCACATCATGGAGAGTAGGGTATCCATCCCCTTGAGCATTTATTCTTTGAGTTACAAATAATCCAATTACATACTTTATTTTGGAGGTTCCTCAAAAACCTAAAAATTGAGCTACCAAATACACTCTTCTCATTTGATAAGGCAGGCATCCAAAGTAGTCAGAAAGTAAATGCACAATAGACACATCCACCTTTGATTTTTTAATAAATTGTGTGATATGAATGGTCCATACAAACATTCAGAAGCAAATGGAGTCATTTTAGTAATAACTTAATATATTTATTCTTATAATTTTCTTTTCAAAATATTTTCCACGAACATTAAAATAAAATAATTTAAAAAAATTAGCCAGGGCAGTGGTATATGCCTGTAGTTGTAGCTACTTGTGAGGCTGAGGTGGGAGGCTCGCTTAAGCCCTGGAATTCAAGGCCAGCCTAGGCAACATAGTGAGACCACATCTCTAAAACACAAACAAACAAAACCAAATGTATCATTTGTACATACGTTTTATCTTTTATGCCAAGGGAGAATATATTATGATTGCAAAGAACAAGAAAGTATAATTTCTGCTTGAAGTGGAGGAAAAGTGTCAAGAGTTAGGTCTTTTTTTATTCTTTTAGCCCATCTATTCTCTACCAGCAGCAGTTTTGCATCCTAGATGACAACTGGCAATATCTGTGGATATAATTTGTTGTCACAAGTGGATATTGCTACTGGCATTTAATGGGCAGAGGTGAGAATTGCTGCCAAATATTCTATAATGCAGCACATAAACATGCACAACAAAGAATTATCTGGCCCCAAATGTCAATAGTGCCAAGGTTGAGAAACACTGGTTTAATGTCTATCAGCCCTTTGCCTCCTTTTGTGGATGTCTCTGTCTTGTACCTATAACCAAGCTTTAGTCCTCAGTCCTTGTGGTCAAGAAACAAAAAAAAATCTGTATTATATACAATGAGCTGTGATATATATATACACACACACACACACACACACACACACACACACATATATACACACACATATATATATATTTGTTCCAAAGGTACTCAAACCCCAGTCATAAATGTAAAAAAAAAAGTAATCTTAAGCCATTTCCCACCTACTCATGTATCTCTCATATATTCATACACTCATACTTATTTTATTTTATTTTGTTTTGTCTTCAATACTGCATTTTTAAGAATGAGATAAACTGATCACATATGAAGGATTATTAAAACATTTCAATTTAATTAGACATTCATTTTATTGCTGAATGTTCTTTATTGCTCTTGCTATATTAAATAAGAGTGAGAACCTATGAGATTAATGAGTGTTGCTTAAAGGCCAATATTTTCATGCAATTTTCTAGTCACTCTGCATTACATCAACTTCATGATTGAAGCAGCCAGGTTGGCCAAGATTTAGATAAAAACGAAATTCTTGTCTTAGAGCAGTGGTTGGCAAACTACAACCCACAGACCAAGTTCAGCCAGCCAATCTGATTTTGTACTGAAGACTTAAATCTAAGTCCTGAAATTATGAAAATACTACAACATAACATTGGGAAAATGTTTTAGGACATTAGTCTTGGCAAATAGTTTTTGTGTAGACCTCAAAAGCACAGGCAATAAGCAAAAATAGGCAAATGAGATCACGTCAAGCTAAAAAAACTTCTGCACAGCAAATGAAACAATCAACAATGTGAAAAGACAACCCACAGATTGGGAGAATTTTTTTCAAACTATCCATCTGATAAGGGATTAATAACCATAATATATAACGAGCTAAGACAGATCAATAGTGAAAAACAGATAATTTAATTTAAAAAATGGACTAAAGATCTGAAGACATTTCACCAAAGAAGATACATAAATGGCCAACAGTTATACGAAAGAATGCTCAAAATTACTATCATCAGAGAAATGAAAATCAAAACAACAATGAGATATCACCTCACTCCAGTTTAAATGGTCATTATGAAAAAAAAATACAAGGAATAACGAATGCTGGTGAAAATGTGGAGAATGGGAAACCCTTGAGCACTGTAAGTGGGTATGTCAATTAGTACAGCCACTATGGAAAACAGTACGATGGTTCCTCAAAAGAATAAAAGTAGAACTACCATGTTATCCAGCCAATTCACTACTTACTATATAAAAAAGAAAGGAAATCAATATATCAAAGGGATATCTGCATTCCCATGTTTATTAAAACACTATTCACAATAGCCAGAATATGGAATCAACCTAAGTGCCCACCAATGCATGAATGGATTAAGAAAATTTCTATGTATACAAAATAGAATATTTTTCAGCCATAAAAAAGAATAAAATCCTGTCCTTTGCAGCAACATGGTCATTATGCCAAATGAAATAAGTCAAGCATAGAAATACAAATATTGCATGTTTTCACTCATATGAAGGAGCTTAAAAATGTATCTCATAAAGATAAAGGGTAGATTGGTGGTTTGTAAGTAGTTTGTAAAACAGCTAAGTTCTATTTTTTATATACTTCCCATGGCTACTTTTGTGCTACAATGCATTTGAGTAGTTGCAGCAGAAACTATATAGCTCACAAAGTTTAAAATCTTACCTCTGGCCTTTTCCAGAAAAAAAACAATGTCAACTCCTGTTGTAGAGCAATGATTTCTAAACACTAAAGTGAGTTCTTGTGGCCACAGGGAGTGCAAAGCAATAGGTTTGAAGCTAGAATAGAACCTTCTTCTCTTGAAATGTCTCCAAGTCTATCTGCATAATCTAATGAAACTTTTACAGAGTTTAAAATCAGTAACTTAAATCTTTAAGTACTCGGTAAATATTTGTTTCGATGATGCTGATAATGACAGTAATGATGTTAATAAAGGATATAGTTAAGATCAACACAAATCGAGCACATATTATGCACCATATATGTACAGGAGGAAAGATATGATTCTTTCTCTTGGGGTGGCAATATAATTTTTTTCTCTAGGATTTGTATTATCTTTTTTTAATTTAAGGGCACACATTGTAATATGTAGTAGTTACATACATACAATGTATATATTACATCGTAATATATATTAGTTAAATGTATAGTATTGACAAGGGTTTATCAAGAAGAGGTGAATTAAGTTTTTTCTTTCTCTTTAGTTTTACCATATATTTTTAAAATATCTTTTAGATGTTTTCAGGTTAAGGATCTTTAAAGTAGGCATTCAGGTTTATCCTGTGGGGATTTCTAGATATTCATTTTATCCTTTTTCTTGTAATTTATTTTGCCTTCCTTTTATTGAGATAAAAGTGTTAAATTGTAAAATAAATTATGTATTTTGAATAATTTCTGTCACTGGTTATTTCTGTATTTAAGTGGAAATAAGAGAAAAGGGGGAAAAGGAAATATAAATTGAGAGCAAGGGTATATCTAAGTTACAGAAAAACCAAAACAAAATGCTATCCATAAAGAGGATTTTCTTCTGACCTAAAGTGGTATGATTTCCTACATAAGAGGATAAGTGCTCAGGTCTAAGGTCTTAACTGTACCCCCTTCCCTTAAAGCCTATTCCCACTCCTTGTGTTCTCAGCTGAGCAATTAGCAACTGTATCTACCCTGTCACTCAGGACAAAAAGTTCGGCAGCATCTTTAATTTATCTTGCTTTCCACATGCAGTCTATCGTAAGTCCTATTAATTTACCTCCTAAACAATTAACCACTACTACTACTTTGATCCAACACTTTTATCACATCTTTCTTAGTCTACTATGATTGTCTCCCAATGGCTCTCCATGTTTACACCTTTGCTTTCACACAATCTGCTGTCTCTAATGCAATGATTTTTTTGAAACACAAATTATACAACTCAGTTGAGTTTATAACCCCTCTCTCCACCTTCACAATTAATATAAAAAATGAAGATTTTGTTCTGAATTATGAAGCTTTGGTGATCTGAACTGTGTCTGCTCTCCTGATTTCATCTGATGCACCTTCTCCCTTGGCCCACACCAGAGATTCTGGCCTTCCCTTTCCTCCTGCAAGGTGACTCACTCATTTCTACTTTTTATTATTTTCTCTGAGGATTTTCTTTCTTGTGCTCTTTGCTGTATGTGTTCTTTCTAAAGAGTTTAAATGAGGCTGGAGAAATACTACTATTATTTTTGATGTGGAGATAACAATAGGTTTAGCATTTGCACCACCTTGCTGGATTTATGCACAAACATTTTAGTATATTGTTAGTATAAATATTATTTTCTCAGACCTGTCTTCCCCTTCAGTCCCCTAGTTACTCATTAAATAATGGCATGTTTTATTTTTTTAACCTGCTTCATTGAGGTATAATTTACTTAAATAATGTTATCAATTTAATTACTTTTGACAAATATATAAAGGCATGTAAACACCACCATAGTCAAGATAGAGAACATTTCCATCACCCCCAGAATATTCCTTTAGGACACTTGCTACCAATAAGCTGCCCACCCTCTGCTTTCCTGAACAGACATTTCTCAAAAGAAGACATTCAAATGACAAACAAATATATGAAAAAAAATGCTCAGCATCACTAATCATCATGGAAGTGCATATTGAAACCACTGTGAGATATCACTTAACACAGGTTAGAATGACCATTACCAAAAGGGGAAAAAATGTTAGCAAGGATGTGTCAAAAGAAAAACTTCAGCCAAATTAAATTTTTAAAAGTTTATTTTAACAATGAATGGATTGTGAATTGGACAGTCCCCAGAATCACAGCAGATTCAGAGAGACTCCAGGGATGCCTCGGGGTCAGAACAAATTTATAGACACACACACCTTCCTCACACACCTTGCACGTAAAATTATGTTTTCAGTAGTTTCAATTACATGTTACAATGGTAACTCTGAGCAACATTTACTTTCAGTGCATACATTTCCTTTCATGAATTCTCTCATGACTTCCACAGACATGACATGCTTGGACTTTCTGACTTGTCCTAAACATCCCTCTTTTTAAACAACCAGTTATTTTACTTTAGGACATGAATTTGCCATACAAGATTCCCTCTTATATAAAATCTCTTTTATTTATAACCTTCTTTGCATAGCTAGGGCACATGACTAATTCCACATGTCCCCAGACTTTCTTTAGAATCTAACGCTCCAGAATAAATTGAACAATTTTTAAAAGTCAAAGAAGCAGTTTATGACCTTAAAGCAATTAGCAAACCTAATATCTGGCCTGCATAATTTAGACCAAATGTTTTTATTTTGCTAATAATCTTTAAAACTATTTTATTTTATTATATTTTTTTGCAAATATGTACTCTTTAAATTTTTACTGATGTATAACATGCATACAGCAATATAGGCAGAAAACATTTATGGAATGTTTGATGAATTATTACTAAATAAGTACACTTGTGTATCTAAGAATCAGATTTGTTCCAAAGATTACTAAAGTTATGTGAGCTATAGAACATTACAGTATTAATTTTTCTTTCAATATATTTGATTTAAGCAGTTATTTTTCTTTAAGCCAATTAATTAGAGCTCTTTTATATAAACATCACACACCAAAACACATACAAATATACAGACAGAAGAAGGTCCAGTAGTTGTAAGATATTTCATTTACCAGTTTCTAAGTTTCTTAATTGGATTACTGACCTTAGGGTGCAGTCTGGAGAAGAAATGGCTAGGAAAACATTCAGTTTCTAGGGCCTAACAAGCAGGCACAGCTGGAAGGCAAAACAGATCTCCAAAAATCAAAGGTCCCATTTTTGTACCAGATCCTGGATCCCAGAAAGAGGGAATCAGCCCATCCCCATGGGAGTCTTCTCCCTCATTGTGGAGTGGGGACATTTCCATAATGTCCAGGTGTCCAAGAGCATGCTTCTCTAATCCAAACATGCAAAGAACTAGTATTTCCCCATAACTGCCACCAGCCATCACTAAAAGTACATTTCCTACCTAGTTATTACACATCAAAGCTCTCTCATAATGTGAAGTAATTTTGATTACTTCACAAAACCATCAGATAACACAATGCAAAACAGAACAAAGCCTTAGATTTTTAAAGGGATCTATCTGCTTTTAATTCCTGGGGTTTCATGAAGAAAACAGACTGGTTTTTGTTTGTTTGTTTGTTTGTAGACAGGTTCTGCGGTGCCTCCTCTGTTTTTCCCAAGGAGTCCTAGGCTATCAGAAGTTATCTTAGGTCCTCTCATGTGTGCATGAAGACTGGCAAGACAAAATGGATAGAAATAATTCAGTGGACTGATAAGAAAAAAAACATTTTTTCCTAACAAGATTCAAGAAGGGGAAAAAAGACATAAAGGCCTTTTAAATATTTGTATAGCTTGGATATCCACTTTTAATTAAGCTGACTTTTAACCATAGTTCTCTTTAAAAAATCCTTTTAAATCTCCTATTACCTGACTTTCGCCATGCCAAGCAGCCAATATTACTGGCTTTTGAACTTTACCAAAGGTAACCTCCCAGGTGCTCAGAGAAAGGAAAATTCAAGAGAGTTCGAGGAGGGGAAGAGAATCAACCAATTGTAAAGGTCACACAGATATCAAACCAGAAAAGACTCATTCCTTAAGCCAGTAGTTGAATTGTACCTGGATGGCCACTGTGAAAAGGCAAAAGTTTAGCTACTGAGCTACAGCACTGGGCAGTCTTCATTTCCCTTCCCAGAAGGAGTCTAGAGTAGTTAATTTTGAGCTTGAAAAGGCTTTTACCTATTCAAGATAATTTTTAGAGCTAACTCTGGCATGAATCCTAAAATTCCTGTTCCCTGGAAGGCGGAGACCACAAGAAAGTGCCACCACATGGTTACAAGGTCAAGCTCCCAAGGACATAAAGCAAGATGGACATCTCATCCAGTTTGTTTGTTTATTTGTTTGTTTCAGGGACCTATATCAAAGTTTGTTACTGACCAGATTGCTGGGACTTCTTGAGCCCCAAGCTTATGGGGTCCTAAATCCATGTTCTATTCCTAAGGTACCCCTCAACACAGAAAAACAAATTCATAGCACAAAATACACCAGATTTGCTAGAGCTTAAGACTGGCCTCAGAATTCTTTTTCTTATTAATCAAAACTTTACAGAGGAGATAAACAGTGATTTTTACCATTTGTTCAACAGGTTTGCACAGAGAGGGAGAGGCCAGAAGTCTGACTGGTAAGAAATTCTTACCCTTTTGTCAGCATACCAGGCTTTCCCGGTTCCCTTTCCCTGAGCAGCCCTAGTGACCCAGTTCACCATACCATAGCCATGAAGGCAAAGCCGCAATACAAAAGACAAGTTTTTCTTTCCTTCTTTCTTTTTTTTTTTTTTATGCACTTCAGTGTGTTGTTGTTCATTTGGAATGTTCCACTGTAAGTTACCTTGTTTAGTAACATTTCACTATTTCTGTTAGACTTTGCTACTTCCCTGGCCTAATGTATATAAGCTGGAAGGAACTCAGTTTTCCAGAAATTAAGGATCCCATTTTTACCTAAAATATTGGCTTTGCTTTCACGTTTCCTTGATGAACTTAACCAGTGATTTTTTTTCTAGGTAAGCGGGCAAGAGAAATGAAACAAAGGGGTAGAATACAAAAATCCCCGTAAATTTCTAAAAGCCAAATTTATATCCCCTGCAATATTACCGTTTACTATCAGTTTATTTCAAACCCAGTCAGATGAAGGAGGCCTCTAACTGGATCTAAGACAGTTAATTACAGGATCAAATCTCATCTTGGACACAGTCCACTTTCTGTCACAACTTCCAAATCCAGTTTGGAACAGAAATTTGCTCAAAAAAACTTGGAGAGCTCAAAACACAAATTCTTGGAGCTCTGAAATTCGAGAACAACTTCCCATGATCCCTAGCTGCTCTGAGACATCAAACAACACAAGTGGGTCTAGCAGTTTCCTTGCTTGTTCACTCGGTGCTCCTGGAGGTCTTTAGAAGGTCTACTTCAGACCCCGTTTCTGACATCATCTGTTAAAAGAAAACTTCAGCCAAATTAAATGTAAAATAGTTTAATTGAGCAATGAATGATTCATGAATTGGGCAGCTCCCAGAATCACAGCAGATTCAGAGAGACTCCAGGGATGCCTCATGGTCAGAACAAATGTATAGACAAGGAAAGGAAAGTGATGTACAGAAATCAGAAGTGAGGTACAGAAATGACTGGATTGGTTACAGGTTGGCATTTGCCTTATTTGAAAACAGTTTAAACACTTGGCAGTCTATGAGTGGTTGAAGTATGGCCGCTGGGATTGACCAAGACTCAGCTATTGTTACAGGCGCATACTCCTAAGTTAAATTGTCAATCTTGTCTGCCTATTAAACTAGGTTACAGTTCATCCACAAGGACTCTAATACGGCGGTATAGAGTCTTTCTCAGGCTGTATTTAGTTTGCTTCAACAATTGTAAAGAAAAGGGAACCCTTGCGTGCTGTTGGTGGAAATGTAAATTAGTACAGCCATTATGGCAAACAGCATAAAGGTTCTTCAATAAATTCAAAACAGAATTACCATGTAATCCAGCAATCCCATTTCTGGATATATATCTAAGGTAAATAAAATCATTATCTCAAAGAGATATTTGCACTCGCATGTTCATTGAAGCATTAGTCACAATAGTCAATATGTGGAGTCAACCTAAGTGTCCATAAAGGGATTAGTGGATTAAAAATATATATATATATACACACATAAGAATATCATTAAGCCATTAAAAAAAGAATTCTGCCATTTTTGAAAACATGCATAAACTTGGAGGACATTATCCTAAGTGAAATAAGCCAGGAGCAGAAAGACTACTGTATAACCTCACTTATATGAAGTATCCAGAATAGTCAAATTCATAGAAAAAGAATACAGAATGTTGGTTAAAGGGTAAAAAATTTCAGTTAAACAAGAGGAATAACTTTTTAGAGCTCTACTGTATAGTATGACTGTAATTAATAATAATGTATTATAAATTTCAAAATTGCTAAAGAATAGATTTTAAGTATTCTCACAACAAAGAAATGATATGTATGTGAGGTCATAGATATGTTAATTAGCTTCATTTAATTATTGCGCAAAGCATGCCCATATTAAAACATCACATTGTACTTCATAAATATATTTATTTTCCATTTAAAATCTAAATAATAAAAAAATAAATAATATAGTTTTTAAAACTTCCCCTACCTTGAGCTCGTGGCAATCACTGATCTGCCTTCAAATATATGAACTCATACCGTATGTTGTCATTTGTGTCTAGCTTCTTTTATACATTATTATTTTTTAGATATTCATCTATCATGTGGAAATAAAGCTGGGGTACATTTTATTTTGTTGCTTTTCATTTATTGTTTGAATATACCACGAATTTGTTTGTTCATTCACGAAGTGGTGGTCATTTTACTTGTTTTCTGTTTTGGGCTATTATGATTAAAATTGCTATGAACATTTTAGTCATTCTCACGTGACACAAGTTTGATTAAATATATATGTAGCTTTGAAAGAATCTGCCAATATGTCATATATTCCATTTCATGTTAAAATTTGTGCATGGTATGTGAAAATTGCCCAGATACATTATTTCCCATAAGGATATGTGAACTCATATCTTGGATATATATATATATATATATATATATATATATATATATATATATATATATTTAACCACTGAATTACCTTGCTACCATTGTGAAGAAACAATTATCCACATATGTGCACGTCTATTTCTAGATTCTGTGTTCTGTTCATTGCTCTATATGTTTATCTTTTCTTTAGTAATATACTTTAATAGTGAGTTTCAAAAGCACATATTGTGTGTCTTCATTTTAGTACTTATTTTCTAAATTTATTTTCGCTATTCTAGACCCTTTAGACTTCCCTATATATATTTCATTCAGCTTGTAAATTTTTATGAAAACCATTTTGGGGTTTTTGATTGGAATTTTATTAAATAGATAAATCAAGTTGGGTGGAATTGACATCTTAGCAATACTGAGTATTCTGATCCAGGAGGATGGTATATATCTTCATTTATTTAGGTCTTATAATTTAAAGTTCAGTGCTGTCATGGTTCTGAATGTACAGGTCTTACACATACTTTATTAAATTATTTCTAAGAGTTTCATATTTTAATGCTGTGCTTAATGATATGTTAAAATTTCAATTAGCATGTTTTAATTCTTCATACAGATCTTATCACCATTTGTTATTTCTGTGTTGGTGTATTTCAAAGCCTATAGTATATTTCCTTTTTTTATCTCCACTGAAATCATTAAGTAAGCTTCATCAGTACAAGCACCTTTTGTATCTTGATCACTACTATATTCTCAGTTCTGTAAAAATACTGGTGCACAGTAATTTCCCAATAATAATTTATTCCTGAATGAATGTATCATACATGTGACCTTGTAAAAGTTTTTTGATCTTTCTGGGACTTACATTTCCATATATATATATATATATATATATATATATACACACACACACACACACACCCCTATATATAGAATATAGATATAGATATATGTAACATACATATTAATAATGTAATATTGTACTCTAATATATGTGGAATACGATATAACAATAGTACTTACCCTCCCTGGGTTTTATCACTGTTAAATCGTATGATTTTTAAATAAAATTCTTAGCATGGCCTGAAAGACGGCATTTTACAATTTCTAATTTTTAAAATAATATTATCAAAGACATCAGGATTGCTATGGCTGATTGACTAATAGATATAACATATTTATTGTAGTTCAGCTCTTTCTAGAATGACATGGTGTCATTATTATTTTTTATGTTCTCTGTTGAACTAGATTGAAATAGATTGTAGAACTAAATTAATTACAGCTTTAAAAAGTGCTAAGCAAGTCGATTTTTTAAATTAGATTTCATAGCATATTAATTCACTCTATCACTAATAACTACCCCCAAATTTATTTGTTAAATATATGAAAATAATTAAGCTCATATTTTAAGTAAACATTTCAATTATAAATTTGGGACTAGTTCTCTGGGACTCTTCATCCTGAGTCCAACGTTGTTAGTATTTTTTCATTTTGTAAAAATACCTCATTTTTATTTTAAAAATCATTTGAGTTAGTGATCTTAGAAATATAGGTATTAGACCAATCTACCTTCTCACCTCAGCAAAGATACACAGAATACATGTTTTTTAAATGAAGAAACAAGCAGTATTTCACTAAACAAATTACAAAGATTTGTAATCTTTGAACTACACATTTTGAAAAGCAAACTCTGATTCTATTTCACAACTGCAACGGTGTACCCTAAATATGTATATAGCACACATATATATGTGTGTGTGGATAGATAGATAGTAAGATAGATAGATAGATAGATAGATAGATAGATAGATAGATAGATGATAGATAGATGATAGATAGATAGAGTTGTTGCTTGTTTGTTCAGAGCTAACTTCAGCTTGGAAAGAAGTGGAACATTTGGAATGTGAATGCAACCACTAGATGGTGCCATGTATCCTGAACACGAGAAATGTCAGAAACTAGGAGAATGACAATTTGGAATCTTGCGTTACCATGGTGACCTGCTTGGCTTGTTGTGGTTGTTTTTCCCCAGGTCATTTTTCCCCTCTCTGTCCTTTCTAAATACGTGAATTAACTGTTTTATGCACATGGTTATACATTGTGCCAATGGAAAAATAAATGAGAAATGCACTGACTACCTTCAGCATCTCTATGTGTAATGTCCTATGCATGTAGCTTCTAAGGGGGATTAAAAAGGAAGTTTAAGCCATGCTATTTGTCATGACAGAATCTACAATCTAGGTTAAGACATAATATAGGACAAGTAAAAAAAAAACAAAATAAACTAGCAATATCAGGAAACATTTGCTTGTATATTGAATTGGAGCTGTTCTTGGTAAATGTGATTGGATATGTAGAACTCTATATGATGAATTAGAGATACAGCTCTTTAATGTAGTGTGTCATTAATTTGCTGTGTTTCTTGAAACATTTTTTAAATTTTTCCTGTTTTCAAATGTGTGTGTGTTGGATGGAGTAATCTATGGTGTCACTCAAATCGAATATAATATGATTTTTCCAATGCTATAGGAATAGCTTAAAATATAATTTTAGGCCATAATAGAAAAATTATCATCACTGTTTCTTAAAATGTACTTCATATTTGAAAATGTAAAGTTCTGAAGAATAGGCAGTATTTGGATCGGGGAAGAGAAAAGAAAAAAATGCTCGTCAAACCTAAGTTCTGACATGGACCTTTGGCAATTTACGTTAAATGTGAGGTGTATTTCTTCAGGTAAAAATATTTTAAGTGTTTGTTTGGAAAATAGAATGAGAACAAGGGAGAGACAGTGATCATATATCCAATATTTTAAATAAGGTTATGATCCTGAGAGTTGTACTGATAAAATAAAAACAAAGTTGAATTCTGTAAAGAAATACCTTACAAACTTAGGTGTCTCATAAACCAAAATGAATGAGAAGTGTTTGGAAATCTTGCTATAGCATTATTACGTAAAAAAAACATATAGCTCACTTTTTCTCAGAGTGTGTGAAAGCCCTCTGCTGTGGGCTAAATGTGGATGCACCACCCCCCACCCCCAAATTCATATGTCAAAAACCGAATCCTCAGTGTGATGGCATTTGGAGGTGGGACCTTTGGTAGGTAATTAGTATTAGATTAGGCCACGAGGGTGAGGCCCTCCTGGCAGAATTAACGAATGTCTTTATGAAAAGAGGAGGACTTAACCAGGAAGAGGGCCCTTACCAGAACTTGACCATGCCTGCACCCTGATATCATAGACTTCCAGCCTCCAGAACTGTGAGAAATAAATGTTTCTTGTTTAAGCCACCCAGTCTGTGATATTCTCTTATAGCAGTCCAAAGTGACTGACATATTTCCTGTGTCAGAATCAACTGAGTTAGAATTGGAGCTTCATTGGCTTCACCTGATGCCTGTGGTAGACATTCCATATCTAAATTTCTAATGAAAGACCAAATAAGTGAGTAAATGAAGAAGGGAAGGGAGTAATAGAAGAGGACATAGGGACAATTTAAGCCTTCTAGTATTAAGAAGGTTGATTTCATGGCAAGCCAGTGGAGTAAGTATATTACATAAGGTAGAGTCCTCATGTTCCTTTCACAAACCATTATACAATTCAGCATATAACTTCTTTTTCAATTTTTTTCCAGTCTCATATTTTAAACTCGCAGAGAGCCATTCATTAACAACCCCATCTTAAGTAGTTCACTCTTTCTCTCATACCACCCTACTCATTTCTCTTACTACCTATGACAGAGTGATTTTCTCACTTATTTTTGTAGTTTCTTTTTTTTCCCTCCCCCCACTAGATATTAGACCTCTAGAGGACACCATTCAGTAACTGTGTTTTTCAGTTAGTCACTTATGAAGCTTGGAGCTGGAATGTAAAGATTCTCCTTCCCAGGTAAAGATGAAGCTCCTCTACAAATTATTCCTGCAAAATGACCTTAGAAAATGGAATATTGCTGGAAAACAAATATCCATTAAACTGTGAATATACTAAATGATATTGAATTTACTTCTTTACCCACAGAGACTTTTTAATAATATGCATTTTAAAAACAAAAGTATAATACACTTAAGTCACATACTTCAAATAAAAATCTAAATGTTTACATCCCCTTAGATATTTTCCTAGTGCCCTTTCCCGGTCAGTACTCCTCAGAAGTAACTATTGTTCTAACTTCCATAAACAGAGATTAGTTTATACTGATTTTGAACTTTTTGTAAACCAAATTATAAAATATCAAGTTTTTGAGTCTAACTACTTTTGTTGAAGATAATGTTTTTGAGATTAAACAATATTGTTTTGAGTATCAGTGGTCTATTCTTTGCTACAGCTTAATAGTATTCCTACTTATGAATTTTCCATATTTTGTGTATCCATTGTATGTAGATAAACTTATATGTTTCACAGTTTAGGGATATTTTGAGTAAAGCTGCTATGAATGTCCTTGTACATACCATTTTAATCTGCATGCGTTTCATAATTTCTTTACATTTTTCAGTTTTAGACATACATATTAGATATTTTAACTATGTTACCTATCTTTCCTCAAATCTTTTACTCTTTTACTCAAATCTTTTACTCAAATCTTTTCCTCAAATTTTTACCTCAAATTTTTACTCTTTTTCTGCTTTTTGGCAGAAATTTGATTGAATATTTTCTATTAGCCTGTCTTAGAAATTACTAATCCTACTTCCTACTCTGTGTAGGCTGCAGTTAAATTCATCTATTGAGGTCTTAAATTTACATATTGCATATTACATTTCTAAATGTTTGATTGTGTGTGGGGGGGTGTTGGTGGTTGAGTGGGTTATGCTCTCCTTTGCATTCCTCCATTTTTAATGTACCATTTACTCTTTCATAGTTATCTTAAGGCCCTTGTTGACTTACTCCAAACCTGGATCATTTCTGATTATTAGTACTTTATTCTGCTTCTGTCATAGGCTTGGTGTTAGGTTTCATTAGGGTGGTTCCATATGAGCTTTGTTCTTATTGGAGGGTACAGACGTTATCTCAAGGTGTTAACCTTATGCTCAGGGCATGGTCTTTCTGGAGTCTCATCTTAAAGCCAGTAGTGTTCACAGAGATTTCTCTACTTTGATTGGGTTGGAACTTCAGTGTCTCCCCAACACTCTGAGGCATTTTTCTGCTTTTAGCCTCTCAGCACTATTCTCTGCTAAGACTTCCAGAGATATGCTTTGCGTGTTAACAATTTAGAAGTTGGTCCAGGATTCAAAGTGAGCTTTCATTCAGATTGTCGATGTTCCTTCCCTATATATTTATTCTCAGCACTCTACCTCCAAATCCCAATAACTTCTGTAACCCCTGCACACATATTTTTCCACATGCTAATCTCTGATTGGGCTCTGTTTCCATGAATTATGGTTTTGAAAATGTCCTTAAGGAAACAGCAAAGGAGAATGAATGCTTCCCTGTGTTGTGTGCTGATACCTGCAAGGAATTGTTAACAATATTTTGTCTAGCTGTTGTAGTTAGTTACAGCGGGAGGCTATGTCTAATATTTGTTAGTCTATCATGACTGGTACTAAACATTTTCTGAGAGATTCTAATTTGTAAAGTACAAGCCATAGAAAATGTATTATATCTTTTTTATTATCTGTTCATTATTTTTTAACAAATATAATAGCACCTTTATTTGCAAGTAACTTTTAAGCACAGAGGATACATATGTAGAAACATAAGTATAGACCATACCCTCATGTACCTTGGCTAGAAAAATATCCATTAAATAAAAATGTGCCAAAAAATATTTAATCCAGATATTATAAATGGAACAGTTAAAATTAGAGCTTACTTAAAATGTATAATACACAGACTCCCCAAATCAGTATATAAATTCAAGTAAATTAGTCAAGTTAGCCTCTTGACTTTTCCTAAATTTACTATAGAACTGCATGCATCTACAATACTTTGGGGAGCAGTCATATAAGTGAAAGTGGGCAGTGTGTTTCTTTCAACTATCAAGAATACTTTTTAAAAGTGTCTTGAAAACATTTTCATATTTGTAATGTGAAATGCCAACATATAAGCTGAAAGAGAATTATACACTTAAATTATGCAGTTTTCTTCAGACTATGAGTTCAGCTTTATCCAACTGAAGGAGGCAAGTAAATGTATTTAGGTGAAGTGCAGCTATAGGGACCAAGTATGACGTAAGAGTTTCTAGTTGAACATTGCTTCTCTTGGGGGATAAAACAGTTTCATGAAAACATTTTTTTTGGAAGTTGTTTTTCAAGTCTGTGTTCATTGGAAAAGTGCATTTTATTATATGAAAATAATAAACCTTTCTCACAGCAACTAACCACAAACCCATTTTCCCACAGCCTCTTCTGCACTATTCACAAAAGTAGAAATTTAATACGAGGTTCACATGATAGTCAGAAGGTAATATATATAACTTAATTACTCAAATTAAATGTTTTAAATAATATTTGGAACATGATCCAAAAACTGAGTCACTATTTCTTTAATCACTATTCTACCATCAAATGGTCAGACCTTATATTAAGTTTTTTTTTCTTTTTTTTTTAGATACTAGCACTATGCTAGAGTTCTAAGGGTACCATACAAACCAAAGTCATGGCTCCTGTTCCCAAAAGAAGCAGTGTTTTCAAGATACTAAGAAGCAATCCAGAAAACAAAGAGTATCAAGTTTGCCAAATTGTGTGTCATAAGAATATGTGCAATATAAATTTAAACAAGAATAGAGAGAAGCTTGTAAGGCTTAGAATTGTCAGAAAGTTTTGGTAAGCAGGTAAGAGCAGACATAGCTGTAACTCAAATTATGATTTAGTGGAGGTTGAAATGAAATAAATGACTTTAGGAAAGGTTAGATATTTGGTCTATGATCTGGGAGGACCTAAGCATTCTTTGTTATTGAGCAGATAGTAGCCCTATATATTTGCGCTGCATTCAAGCCTACAAAATACTCAAGAACTACTCAAGAGAAACTCATTTCAGGACTCATATATCTTCAATGACAATTCTTTTGATCTGAAGCATAACAGATGAGCTTAATTAAAAACTTTTCAGAAATATACATCAGGCTGGTAGATGAAATTTACTTGTAATAGCTTAAGTTGACTTGACCAGGTAAAATTGAGATTCCAATGAGTGAGGTTTGTGGCCCTGGAAAAAAGAATCTCAATTTCATCCTTAATTATCATTAACAGACTTGGAACTCTTTTTACAATTCTTCAAAAGCAATATTAAATCTAGACCTTTGATGTTATTATGCATTATTTTATGTGTTAAAATCAGGAACAAAGGAAGTATTTTCAAAAAACTGTGGAGAAATTTTTGTAAATAATTTGTAAAATGTTTAGTCTTTCCTAGGCTTCTGGAGTCAATTTCTTTGGTTTAATAAAATTTGTAAACTCTGAGAAGCTGTATTTAGTTTTCATCCATAGTTCAATAGAAATTCCTTATCCATAGACAATAGAACACAATATAAAATAGCAAATTTAACTACACATATACAATATAGGAAATTGACTAATAGCACAAACATCAAATCAGAGTCTCAAATTGATTTCCTTTCCTGTTTTTGATTTAAAAGTCTCCAAATACAGAGTGAAACAGTAAGAGAGGGAAGGGGAGAAGACCAATTTGACAATAAAAAAAAAAAAAGACAGGTGCTTCACGAAAGACAGAAGATTGAAACTCCAGCTTTCTTACTGGTGACAAGGGGTGAAGATTGCTGTATCACCCACTGCTCAGTGTTGTTTGGGGCTGTTAACAAAGCAGAATAAAGCCAACATGGAGGCTTTTCTCTGTGTGGTTCATGGAGCCAAGCGTTACTAAATAGCACCATGTGCTGGCAATGGAGGTGGGCGACTTGGAACTTGTTTCTTTTTGTCAATTTTCTTTAAATCTGGATTGTCAACTGAGTAAATATTTGACCTGTGAGGCAAATCATTGAACATGCAGGAATGAGAGTGGATAAGTGGGTTTGGTTTATGTTCCTCATTTTCAGCAATTTGCTTATCTGCATCAGAAGAGACAGAAAAATATTCCAAACTCTTCTAGAGTTCTTTATACCCATTAGCAGAATCACCACAAGTCACTTACTAAAACTTGTCAGTGTTATAACGTACCCCTCAGCAAATATCATAAAACTTTGATGTGCATACCCATACGTAACCCTATCCTGAAAACTGCCTACAAATAGTTATTACAGGTTAGTTTTCAGATTATTTTCAACGTGAAATACACACACACACACCACCACCACCACCAAAAACTAATTCTATGATAAGTGGAATCTGGTAAAAAGTCTCCCCTTCATTCTGTTTCCTGTTCCTCAGTTCCCTTCCACCATAACCACTTGTATCATTTTAATGCATCCTCCAAAAGATCTTCAGTGCATATGCAAATATAATCTTGTTATATAAATAATAGCACCCATTTTGATTCTTTTATTGCATTATCATACTTTTATTCTTCATTTAACAATGTAATTTGAAATTAATCCCATAACAGTACAAATAGAGCAGTTTCACATTTTAATGATGGCATATTCTCTGTTATATCATATATGGATATATCATAACTTTTTCAACCAGTACCATATGGGTGAGTAGATGGATAGCTTTGATAATTTCTTGTTTATTTGCTTTTACAACTAATCATAAAATGAATACACTTTGTATATATATTTGTGCCAGCATGTGAATATATATGTCAGGTTTTTCAGGTTTATTCTCCAAAGATAGCATGGCTAATTTATATTCTTACTAGTGAGCATGCAAAAACACAAAACTACTCATAACTGCTTTATATTGGCTCTCTAATTGTACATTCCTTTATCCCACAAAATTATCTGTTTTACTGGTATGACTTCTACACTTTTTCTCTGGCTACTAACTCCATCTCAGCATCAGCTCTCTGGATCTTGATCATATAGGTTATCTTAACATGTTTTGCCCCACTCTCAGTGGGAATAATCGCTAATAACTCAGAAAGCCCTAGTGTAGAACTTTGACAACAACTCCCTTTCTGTTCTGTTGCTTTAAATATTGCTATATCATGAAAAACGGGGATAAATTCATCTCTTCAGATTTAGTTTAGTTCACTCTTCAATGCCATTTTGATATTTATATTATAATCATCCTTTGGGTTTTAGGAAAAAAATAATTTAATAATAAGTTCGTCACTTGTACTGTGATATGTAAATTGAACAATTACTCCCTTTTTAACGCAGCACATTGACATTTGTTTCAACCACCTGTTCCTCCTTGAGGTTGTATTAATTTTAGCATTACATTCTCTAGGTGGGAAGAGGAATAGGTTTTTCTAGCCTGGAAAGATGACATGTGACAGTTTACACCTTTTGTATCAATTCACATAAGTAAGTAAAGCACATAATTAATCTTTTTTGTTGTTGTTGCTACCATTAATGTAAAATGGTAACCACAGATGAGGAACTACATCCTCTCCTGTAAAAATTGTAATTTTTATAAAAATTATAATATTTCCAAATGTCAAAGGAACCAAATGCTTTGTTCCTCAAAATCCACATGCAAATTTTATTGACTTAATTGTGTGAAAGAAAGGGGAAAGATACTTCAAAACTTGATATAATTGCATGTAGGTATCAATAACAGTAGATTGATTTAGCTCTGCCATTTTAAATTTGATATAGTTTGGCTGTGTCCCCACCTAAATCTCATCTTGAATTGTAGCTCCCATAATTCCCTCATATTGTGGGAGGGACCCAGTGAGAGATAATTGAATCATAGGGACAGTTTCCCCCATATTGTTCTCGTGGTAGTGAATCATGAGATCAGATGGTTTCATAAGGAGAAATCCCTTTTGCTTGGTTCTCATTCTCTTCTCTTATCTGCCGCCATGTGAGATGTGCCTTTCGCCTTTCAACATGATTATGAGGCCTCCCCAGCCAAGTGGAACTGTGAGTCCATTAAATCTCTTTCTTTTGTAAATTGCTCAGTCTTGGGTATGTCTTTATCAGCAGTGTGAAAACAGACTAATATATTAAATTGGTACCAGGAGAGGGGGGCACTGCTGAAAAGATACCCAAAAATGCAGAAGCAGCTTTGGAACTGGGTAACAGATGGAGGCTGGAACAGTTTGAAGGGCTCAGAAGAAAACAGGAAAATGTGGGAAAGTTTGGAACTTCCTCAAGACTTGTTGATTGGGTTTGCCGAAAATGCTGATAGTGATATGGACAATAAAATCCAGGTTAAGGTGGTCTCAGATGGAAATGAGGAACTTGTTGGGAACTGGAGCAAAGGTGACTTATTATGTTTCAGCAAAGAGACTGGTGGCATTTTGCCCCTGCCCTAGAGATCTGTGGAATGTTGACCTTGAGGGAGATGGTTTAGTGTGCCTGGTGGAATAAATTTCTAAGCAGCAAAGCATTCAAGAGGTGATTTGGGTACTGTTAAAGGCATTCAGTTTTATGAGAGAAGCAGAGCATAAAAGTTTGGAAAGTTTGCAGCCTGACAATCCCATCTATCTATCTATCTATCTATCTATCTATCTATCTATCTATCTATCTATCTATTTATCTATCTATCTATCTATCTATTTATCTGTCATCTGTCTATCTCTATCATCTATCTACCTATCTATCTGTCTATCTATCTGATTTATTGTAATGGATTGGCTTACACGATTAAGTCAGGTACCTGGCTCAACAAGTTTGAAGTCCATGGGGCAGGCAATGATCAACAGATGATGGCTAGAGCCCCAAAAGCACAAGTGAGCTGATGCTTAGAATTCACAGGCAAGCAGTCAGGAAGAGAAGATCAGGAGCAGGTTAGGACCACATGAGCATGAACAGACAGTCAAGAAGGAAGATTCAGCGGAGATGAAGAACGATTGCAAACCGAACTGCAAGTTGCCAATCTCTGAGCTCAGGGAAGAGTTAAACTCTTTTTAAAAGTGCTTGTGACAGATTTTCACACCACCATGAAAATCTACCTTTTGATTAACTTAAGGCCCATTGATCAGAGGCTTTCATTACTTCTGCAAAATCCTTTCACAGCAGCATCTTGATTTGTATTTGATTAAATAATTGGGGAAAGGTATGTGTATGTTACCAAATGGCTGCTGCTTCCTTATATCCTCCAAATTTTAATAAAGAATATATCTTCTAGCTCACTCTAACTGAAATAACACAAGGAAGGGAATTCTGGGCATTGTAGTTGAACTTAGCCAAGGTGACACATCAAGAAGCCATCACAAGTGCAGTTAGTATATATTCATTATACCAGTTAGTATGATGGTATAATGTATATGGTATACATTATGCCAGTTAAAATGGTATAATTATACTAACTGGTATAATGAGTATATTCATTATACTAATTGGTTCCAGAAAATACCTCTAGACCCGTGCTTTACTGTAGGGCATTAAGGCTTTTCTTTATCAGAATAACTCTTATTCCCTTTATCTTAAACTGACTGCCATGTACTTCCTTTATATTTTTATCTTTGTTTAAGAATGCCAAAAGAATGTGCAAGATTATTTTATCAGTTGATTTTAATCATTATTGATACTTTTTCCTTCTTTGAAAAACATATTTTTATTAAAAACGGAATTTCTTTCAGCACTGAAAGCAAAAACAAAAACCTGCCAACCAAGAAAAAGCTTTGGGTAAGATAAATTCACAGCCAAATTTCACAAGACATACAGAGAAAGTCTAGTACCAATTCTATGAGAAGTATTAGAAAAAATTAAGGAGGAGGGATTCCTCTGTAATTCATTCTCCAAAGCCAGCATCACAGTGATACCAAAAATGGCAAAGACACACACGCAAAAGGAAACTACAGGCCAATATCCATAATGAACACAGATGCAAAAATCCTCATCAAAATACTAGCAAAACAATTCCAGTAATTCATCATAATCAAGTAGGCTTTATTCCTGGGATGCAAGGTTGGTTCAACATATGTAAATCAATAAATGTGATTCATCACATAAACAGAATTAAAAACAAAAACCACCTGATAATCTCAATAGCTGTAGAGAAAGAGTTCTTAAAATCCAACATCTCTTCATGATAAAAACCTTCAACAAACTAGGCATTGAAGGAACATACTTCAAAATAATAAGATCTACTTCGACAAACCCACAGCTAACACCATACTGAATGGGCAAAAGCTGGAAGCATTCACCTAAGGACAGGAACAAGACTGATTATGCCCACTCTCACTGCTTGTCTTCAGCATGGTACTAGAAGTTCTAGCCAGAGCAATTGAGCAAGATTAAAGGCATCCAAATAAGAAAAGAAGTCATACTATTTTTCTTCAATAGTGATATGATCCTACACTAAGAAAATCCTCAAGACTTTGACAAAGGTCTCCAAGACCTGATAAATGGCTTCAGTAAATTTTCAGGTTACAAAATACATATACAAACATCAGTAGCATTTCTATATACCAATAAAGTTCAAACTGAGAGACAAATCAAGAATGCAATCCCATTTACATAGCCACACACAAAAAATAGAATACCTAAGAATATATCTAACCAAGGAGGTGAAAGATCTCTACAGAATGAACTACAAAATACTGCTGTAAGAAATCGTAAATGACACAAACAAATGGAGAAACATCCCATGCTCATGAATGGGAGAATCAGTATGAATGGCCATACTGCTTAGAAAAACCTATAGATTCAATCCCACTCCTATAAAACTACCAAAGTAATTTTGCACAAAATTGGAAAAACTATTCTAAAATTTATATGGAACTAAAAAAGAGCCCAAATATCCAAAGCAATCCTCAGCAAAAGAGAACAAAGCCAGGGGCATCAAATTACCTGCCTTCAAACTATGCTTTAAAGCTACAGTAACCAAAACAGCCTGGTACTGCCACAAAAACAGACACATAGACCATTGGAACAGAAAACCTTGAAATAAAGTTGCACACCTACAACCATCTAATCTTCAACAAAGTTGACAAAAATAAGCAATGGAAAAAGTACTTTCTATTCAATACCTGGTGCTGTGAGAACTGGCTAACCATATGCCAGTGAATGAAACTGGACCCCTACATTTCACTATATACAAAAATTAACTTAAGATGGATTAAGAATTTATATGTAAAACCTCAAACTATAAAAATTGTAGAAGAATCCTGGTAAATACTATTCTGGACATCAGCCTTGGCAATTAATTCATGACTAAGACTTCAAAAGCAATTGCAATGAAAAAAAATTGACAAGTGGGACCTAATTAAACTAAAGATGTTTTGCACAATAAAATAAACTATCAACAGATTAAACAGACAACCCCTGAAGGGGAAAAATATTTGCAACGTGTGCATGCAACAAAGGTTTAATATTCAGAATATATAAGGAATTTAACAAGTAAAAAACAACCCCACTAAAAAGTTGGCAAAGGACATGAAACAACACCTGTTAAAAGAAAACATATAAGAGTACAACAAACATATGAAGAAATGCTTAATACCCCTGATCATCAGAGCAAGGCAAATCACAACCACAATGAAATACCACCTCACTCTAGTCAAAATGGCTTTTATTAAAAGGCAACAACAAATAAGCAAACAAATGCTACCAAAGCTGTGGAGAAAGGGGAATACTTATATATGGTTGGTGAGAATGTAAATTATTTCAACCACTGTGCAAAACAGTCTGGAAATTTCTCAGATATTTAAAACAGAAATGTCATTTGACCCAGCAATCTGTTTCCTGAGTACATACCCAAAGAAAAATAAATTGTTCTACCGTAAAGACACATGCACACATATGTTTATTGCAGCACTATTCACAATAGCAAATACATGGAATCAACATAGGTGCCCATCAACAGTGGATTGGATAAAGCAAATGTGGTACATATACACCAGAGAATATTACACAGCCATAAAAAATAAAATTATGTCCTTTGCAGCAACATGGATGCAGCTGGAGACCATTATCCTAAGTGAATTAACACAGGAACAGAAAGTCAAATACCACATGTTCTCACTGATAAATGGAAGCTAAACAGTGGGTACACATGGACCCAAAGAAGGGAACAGTAGTCACTGGGACACTAGAAGGGAGAGAGGGGGATGGGAACAAGGGCTGAAAAATTACCTATTGGGTCCTATGCTCACTACCTAGGTAACAGGATTATTGGTACCCCAAACCTCAGTGTCATACAATTTACCCATATAATAATCCTGCACATATACCCCTGAATCAAAAATAAAAGCTGAAGCTATTGACAAAAATAGAAATTATTTATTTTAATTATTAAAAGTGAGTGGAATATAAGAAAAAAAAAAGAAAAGAAAGAAAATCTCTATGCCATGCCAATGAAGACCCAGTAGTAAAATGTTGTCTTTTCCTCTCAACTGGTTGACCTGCACTATGGTTGGCTTTATTGGCTACAGCTGTGAATAAAAGAGAGCGATTTCTGCTCTCGTGGAATTTGCATTTAACAAGACAGAGCAAACAAGAACTATATACATGATAAGTAAATACATTGTATTTTTTTGTTAGAAGACATGTAGTAGTGTAATAAACAGAGTAAATCCACTTCAGATAATTGAAAGTATGCAGCGCTGACATTTGGAAAAGAGTATTCATAGTCAGCTTATTTTCTGTGTGTTTATCCAAATTATTTGTGTGTGTATGAACAGCAGTAGCAATAGCGAAAATAAATTCTTTAGAATATATTTTAACAAAATTTGATGATATTTTATTAAAACTTTTATCATGACTATATTTTGGCATTAAATATTTAGCCTGCATGATTTATTTGGTATTTAGTTTATGGACTTTATAATATTATGATGATTTCTTTCAGTACTTTATACCCACAATTATTTTTATCGTTACTGATTTTTCTGTACATACATTCCAAAAAAAATAGAAATTTGAATTGAAATGGGATGAACATTTTTAATTCTACCGAGATCAATATATAAAGTGTCATCTAAGAAAAGTTATGGTAATTTTCCCCTTCACCCGAATATCAAAATTGATGCCTTTTTTACAAAATGTGTCTTCATGAATAGACAGCAGTTACATCTTTGGTGTTTTAATTTGCAAATGTTAATTGTAAAATTAGACATCCATTAAGCTATTATTCAACTTTATTCATGTATGACTTCTTTGTAGATTTGGGCTAATATGTTTTTTTTCTTTGTAACTTATTTTTTGTTTTTTGATGTTGTTTTTGGATTCATATTAGGATTAGTTTTAAACTTCTGTTGATTTTTCCATTGGAATTTGTTTCATTGATACACTGAAATTCTATTAACAGATATGGCAGATTTTCATCAATATGTACCTGCTTTTTTACAATTTCTTCTTTTTTTATGTTTATTTATTATTATTACTGTTATTATTATTATTATTTTAGATGGATTCTCACTCTGTTGCCAATGCTGGAGTGCAGTGGAGTGATCTGGACTCACTGCAGCCTCTGCCTCCTGGATTCAAGTGATTATCCTGCTTCAGCTTCTGGAGTAACTGGCTTAGGCCACCACACCTAATTTTTGTATTTTTAGTAGAGAGGGGGTTTCATTATGTTGGCCAGGCTGGTCTCGAACTCCTAACCTCAAGTCATCTTGTTGGCCTCCCATGTTGGCCTCCCAAAGTGCTGGGAGGAGTAAGCCACTGCTCCTGGCTTCACTTTCTTTTATTCATTTAATTTGTAATTTACCTATAATTTATATAGAAAGTAAGAAAGTTACTTCATTTTTTTTCCTAAATAATTAACTGTGCCCCATCAACTTTTGTATAATTCTAAATTCTCCCCAGCAAAAATTTTGATGACACATTCATTGTATTCCATGTTATTACATATACTTTAATTTATTTTTATGATGTTGAACCTGTTATCGCCTTAGTATTTTTCAATTTAAATTTGTAGCTCCGCATAGGAATATCCAGTATCCTACAGGATAATCATTCCTTAAACTTCTTCAAAACGTTTATAGAAATTTTTTTCTTAAGTTACTGGGGTACAGGTGGTATTTGGTTACATAAGTAAGTTCTTACGTGGAGATTTGTGAGAACTTGGTGCACACATCACCCGAGCAGTATCCACTGCACCATGTTTGTTGCCTTTTATACTTCGCCCCCCTCCCACTCTTCCCCTCAAGTCCCCAAAGCACATTGTATCATTCTTAGGCCTTTGCATCCTCATTGTTTAGCTCCCACATATCAAATTTTTACAATCAACCCATCTGACAAAGGGCTAATGTCCAGAATCTACAAACAACTTAAGCAAATTTAGAAGAAAAATCAAACAACCTCATCAAAAAGTGGGCGAAGGACATGAACAGACACTTCTCAAAAGAAGACATTTATGCAGCCAACAGACACATGAAAAAATGCTCATCATCACTGGCCATCAGAGAAATGCAAATCAAAACCACAATGAGATACCATCTCACACCAGTTAGAATGGCGATCATTAAAAAGTCAGGAAACAACAGGTGCTGGAGAGGATGTGGAGAAATAGGAACACTTTTACACTGTAAACTAGTTCAACCATTGTGGAAGACAGTGTGGTGACTCCTTAAGAATATAGAAGTAGAAATACCATTTGACCCAGCCATCGCATTACTGGGTATATACCCAAAGGCTTATAAATCATGCTGCTATAAAGACACATGCACATGTATGTTTATTGCGGCACTATTCACAATAGCAAAGACTTGGAACCAACCCAAATGTCCATCAGTGATAGACTGGATTAAGAAAATGTGGCACATATACACCATGGAATACTATGCAGCCATACAAAAATGAGTTCATGTCCTTTGTAGGGACATGGATGATGCTGGAAACCATCACTCTGAGCAAACTATCACAAGGACAGAAAACCAAACACCGCATGTTCTCACTTATAGGTGGGAATTGAACAAGGAGAACACTTGGACACAGGGTGGGGAACACCACACACTGGGGCCTGTCGTGGGGTGGGGGGAGGGGGGAGGGATAGCATTAGGAGATATACCTAAGGTAAATGACGAGTTAATGGGTGCAGCGCACCAACATGGCACATCTATACATATGTAACAAACCTGCATGTTGTGCACATGTACCCTAGAACTTAAAGTATAATAATAATAAAAAAAGAACTTGTTGTTTGTTTTAGTTTGATGTACTTGGTAACTTGGAAAACTAAAATATAAATTTAAATGATTCTGTCAATTAATTTAAAGTAACCTATCTTTCTAAATTTTATTTTTAAAATGCAGGAGCATAATGTGACTTTCAATTATGTTTATATATTCTTCTAATCACCTTTCTAAAATTTTAAAGTATATTCCATAGAGCTCTTATGAATTATTATGAATATATATATATACACACATACATATATAGGTTTCTTCAAGAGCACCAAATAAGTAGTTAAAACAATGTAATCTGAAAATATTCCATTCTCAAAAAATATGTATGAAGTATTTAGGAAATGTGTGACATATTTAAGTATTCCTTTGTTTTAAATAAATAGGTTTTTTGGTTGCTACAGTTTGATTTTGTGTCTTTGTGTATATTGAACTATTTTGTTATTTGTAGTTGAATAGTTCTCTCCTTTTTATTTCTAATATGTTGCATCATTTGTCAACCATAACTTTTCATAATTTTTATCATTTTTCAATAAGTATAACTCTTTTATGACATGGCTATTTGCTAAGTTTCACTAGGAAATGTTAATCAACAGTCATAATAATATTTAAGAGTTTTTCATTTGTTCTTCACTTTGCCTTCTTTGTTATTGTTTCTCTGTTTCTTTTTGATTCCTTGTTAATTTTATTTACTAAAGTTTTCTCATATGATTATTATTAGGTTCAAATCTTAATTCAGGTTTAATTTTCTTAGAGTTCCAAGATTCATTATTTTCTAGAGTCTATAATTGTAACTTTTATTTCCTCTTTGACTAGTTATTTAGAACTGTTTAAAATAAAGTGTTTTGTTTTTTCTTTGCTTTTTCTATTCCTTATTAATAAGCAACATTATCATTTCACTGCAGTCAAAGAAGGAGGCTTACAGAAATTATACCTTCTGTATAATTTAAAAAGTCTATTTTATGCTGTGGTCATAACATAAATAAAATTTTAATGGTAACACATACAACATTGAATCTTTATATAAAATACATACAAACCTATACAAATAAGTTATAAGTATAAACGTCTATGTTTATGCATTTTACTACTCAAATATTATCAGTATGTATTTTTTTATTTTCTATTTGATTGAGACAAGGAATTGTTTTGATTGAGACTTATCAGCCTGAAAGATAAGTCTCAATGAGAATCATTTTTTATTTCCAACTAAAACAAACTGCTTAGTATCTTTTAAATTTATTTTTTTAATTTATACAATTATTTATTTAAAATTCAGTGAAGTTTTGTTTTTCTTTGAATGTTTGTGGTAATTTATATTTAAAGATAATATGACTGCTTATCTCATAATCATACAATGGAATTGTTTAATCTTGTCTTTGAATATGGGAGTTTAAATATTTTCTGCTTGTTATATGTCCTTGAACAAATTATTACTCTCTCTAAGCTTAATTTCTTCATCTATAAACTAGAAGACCTAATACTAAGCAGTTATTTTGAAGTCGTATTCAATTTTAAATTTACCTAGTGCTCTCATTGAAGTTTTCTAATATAACTTAATCTTATATTGTGAGCATAGTGACTTTAGGCACTGTTTTACTATTTTATCTATAATATATAAAGCTGGAGAAATATCATACTTCAAATGTCCTTTAACTTCCTCACACTTTGCCACTCTCAAGTTCCATAACTAGCATAAATTTTATTCAATTATTTAATATATACTATCACAAATGGATGCTAAATAAGATTATTTCTATTTCAATTTTATCTATAATACTAAAGTAAAAAATTTCAAGTAACAACCCCATTTCTAATTAAAGAGTTAGATCTCCTAAGCTGATTTGAAAATTGGAAGTCAACTACAGCACCTCAGGAGACTACTGGGAATATCCATTCTCTGGAATTTAAGGAGCATAAGACCTGGTTGGAAGGTTGCTGCTACGCTGGCCAAGGCCAGCCAAATAGAGAAGAAGGATGCGCTGCCTTTACTGTAATCAAAGAAAGCATTCATGTATGTTCTCTGGATCTAATGTGGACTTAAATGGATGGCTCTACCTGGAGCCTTTATGAGGGTCTCTGTCCAGGATGGGCCCTTAAAGGTACTGGATAACCTGGCAGATGGATGGACTGTCAGGATCTCAATGGCTGTACTTGGGAGTCATAGACTCCCACTATCAAGACAAAGTACAATCAAGCATTGCACAAGTCATAATACTTTAATTTTGCTAATCCTCAGAGGTTTCATGATGAGTACGATGTGAATGAAAGTGGTAAGTGCCATTTCTGGATTTTGCTCAAAAATTGTTTCAGTTTTGGCTCTTTTCCTCTTCCTCATTGACTGGGAGTTTACCTATTACAGTAGCTACCTGGGATCCATAAATGGAAGCTACATATTTAGAATAGCAGAGCTGCTCACTCATTCATGGCTGTTTATCTATGGTCTATTTTGTGAAAGAGGAATAAAGTTCTCTTTTATTTAAACCACTATATTTGTGTCTCTATATTGTATCACTTTAGCCTATAACCTTAATAATAAACAGTAAACAATCTCAAACCCTACCCTGTGTTTGTGCATATTCAATATGGTTTTCCATTGATTTTTTTTGTCCCAGAGCAACACATTTGTTCAAATTTTCTCATTGTAAATTAAATGCTTCCTCTTTGCACAACCATCTTGTTATCTCTCTGCCAACCCTACCAATATTGAAGAAGATATAATCAACATTTACATAATACATCTCCTCCTTTGACTCCACAAAAACATCTTTCCTCACAATATCTTAATTTCCAATTTGTCATCCCTGATTCTCCCCATTTTCCTAATACAGCCTTGAGTATGCCTCCTCATTCTCTTTGCTTTGCCTCTACTTGCCTTTTATTTCCTTTGACTATTCTTCTACTTAAATGGTGGATCTCCTTGATTGTTTTCCTTCCTCTTTTAACTCGATAATAATTTCATATACTCGTGTGGCTTAAACAACTAGTTTTACATGGAAAAAGAAGGCCTTAACTTTCCCCTTAGATCTGCTATACTCTAAACAAGCAGATTCCTGACTTTAAGCCTTGCTCTCTCTTTTTTAGAGCATTTACTTTAGGAAACATCACTCTCTGCACTCTGAGGTATAAATCTTCTTGAAATATTTTTTCTTTTTTCTTTTCTTTTTTTTTTTATTTCTTTTTTGCAAATTTTACAACCCAGGAACATCATTCTAAAGGACCTGGGGGCCATCCCTTTGAAATGTAAACATTAAGCGAGATAGTGCCCCTGTATCTTATTCGTGAGAGAGTAGGAGCCTAACTTCCATGGGCACCTTGCTCCAAGTTATAAAATTATCTTCTGTCAAGAAGATATGTGGAAGTTTACTTTTGCATTGGGTAAAACTAATTAGCAAACACAGATGGCTCAACATTTCTCTCTTATTCCAGCTCTTATACAAATCCTACTGATATTTGTTTCATCAAAGGTGAATTCAGACTGAGTTCTAGCCTCTCCCCTTTTCCGATAGTCTTGAATAAAGTCTCCCTAGTATATTTAACTTTGCCCAGTGCAATTTATGCTTTGACAAAATCAATGATATTCAAATCTGTATTCCAGTTTTTGTTTCTCTTGTGAGTTCCGTTTCAAATTTCCAAATGGCTGGATGTCTTCGTGACAACTCAAATTCAACATGTCCAATAATGAATTATCCTTTTCCGGCTCCTATTTCTATTTTTCCCTATGATAACTTCGTATATCTCCCTTCTCTCATTTATAGCAGACTCATCACTCTTCCAACATAGTGCTAATATCAAACTTCTATTGATTCATTCAAGTTGACCTAGCAGCAGATCCAAGTATGTCTTTTTATTCTCTTCTCTTTAACTCTAAACTTCATCTCTTTTTGGACTATTTACCATTTAAGAGATATATCAGGTACAATCTTCCTTCTTTCCTATTTATGTAACTCTTAGGCCCAAGAATGCTATTTCCACTTATCAAACAATTAATAGCATACATATGGCCATCTGTTAATTCCTAGACAACGAGCTATGTCTTCTCTGAAGTTTTTTCTGTTTCTTAATGAATAAAATCTCTTTTTCCATGGTACTCACAGTCACATTTGCTTTATAATGTGGGTTTTTAAAAATTATCTTGTATTTTAATTCATAATATGTATCTACCTCACAAGATTGTAAATCCCCAAAGGAAAATAATCATATTTTATTCATTTTCCTTTTTGACATTCTAACCTTCTTTTTACATTATTTATATAGTTCTATAATATGCAGTAGCATTATGAAAATTGCTAAATATTCACTTATGAACAAACTAAAAATAATCTTTGCCCTGGAATGTACAGTATAGTTAGGGATAAAAATCATTATAAATAATTATGAAAATAAAAATCATGCCTTGAAAGAAAATAACAAATTAACCACATATATTTGATATAATAGTCAAGAATAGCATCTCTAAAAATATGATTTTTAGCCTGACATGTGAATAAAGGAGAAAGACCAGCAATGGGAATAGAGGTATGTACATAAGACTAAAAGAAGGTATAGGGTTATGGGTCGACGTGCAGTATGCAAAAGACTACATAGATGGGAAGAGCTTGGTATAATCAATAAGAAGAAAAAAAACTTAGTGGCTGCAGCTTTGTACTGTGTGCAGTATATTTTTATGAAATGTTAGTTAAAATGTAATTTAGAATGCATATTGAAGAATGTGGATATTCCTGTATAGTTAAGAACCAATTTGGAATACAGAACCTGGTAGCTTAATTGAGAGAATCTAACATAGGGAACTAGTTGGTAAAATGTTTGGAAGAACTAAAAGTGCAAACAGTGTACTCTGAGTCAACAACAACAAAAAAATTAGAACAGCAGGTTAGATACCATCCCTAGCGCTAAAGAGAGAAAGCGAGAAAGGAGTGTAAGAAAGAGAAACCCTCAACCTGGAGGTCGCTGCGAGCAAAAGCTCCCAAGGGAGCTGGAACTTTAGAGAACACTGAATTACGGTGCTGCTGCAGCTCTATTGGAAAGAAAGAAGGAGATAAATGCTCTGACATTTCCCCTCTGCCCTTCAAAATTCTTGCAGTGTTTCATTAGCTAAACCTAGCCGAAAGTCATTTAGGAGGGACTGTGGAGTGTGTCGTATGTCAGTCGTTTATAATCCAAAGCAGAACAAGGGTTGATCTGGCAAGGGATATGAAAGTAAAGAAGTAAATGACCAGCATGAAGCCTAATGAGAGTATTAGAGATTAAAAATTTCAAATTCGTGAATGCTTTCTTGACTCTTTCAGTTTTGTTCAAAAGCCTAGTCTTCAGGATTTATCTATTAACCTTTTCATTTACTTGCAAGAATATTTTATAGCAACATAAAAAGTGATGCATACACACTAAGACCACAATTTCAATAGGTGTAATAAAAATAATGATAAATATCCATTTTGAAAATGGTATGATGTGTATTAAACAAAAAGTTAAATTATGCAGATTGGAAATCCTTGGGCATGAGGATGTTTTAAAAACTTAGAAATAACAATGCAAACAAGGAACGACAGACCACCAAAAGATGTGTTAGAAGGTTTATGTGTTTATGTGCATATTTGAATACACACAAATAGAGTCATTCATAAGTAAATATCCAAATTTTATATTTTTCTTTAAGCATAAAATTTATGTGGAAAAGTGTATATTAAAATAGTAGGTGTTTTCTTTCTTATTAAATTTAATATGAATTTAAGATAGATGTATTCATTTTTATAGATTCAAAGTTCTAAATTACTGAATAAGAATAAAAAAGATTGAGAACTTTTGACAAGTATAAATAATTACAAAACAGCTAGGAAAGTATTTCTTCAAAGATTTTATGCACTTCTAGGAACCCTTCCTTAACAAAGCAGTGACTTTGAATTGTCCATATTAACTGACAACAGTAAGCTGTATACATGTACTAACAATTTAAACTGTTTTATGATAATTAAAACTGTTTTATAAGATTTATACAAATAATAATATTAAATCGGTGTCCAGTGACCAAAAAATATTGCTATCATATAACTAAAAACAGAAAACACAGTAAATAGAAAAAAATTGAGATATTAATACTTTAGTTCACAATTTAAAAATGACCCCATTAACAAAGAATGACCATTAAAAAGAATGGCCAAGGAAACCAACAAGTTGTTAAGCAATAATTATGATTTTCTTAAGATATGAATTAAATTTTAATTAAAGGAACATTCCTGATAATTTTGAACTTCATATATTCATACGTACATACATACACACACACGCATATTTATCTTGTGTATAGGCAGACTGTTCATATAGACACTACATAATGTGTCAAGTATTATTCAAAATATTTATTTGAAATAATAAATGAGCATAATGGGTGTTGAATAATCAGATACATTTTTCTCAAGGCAAAATTTCATAAAATGGCATTTGCCTCTACTTATGATTAATAATCCATAGGTTTTAATAGAAGTCTGAAACATGAGAAAATTGTAGCATGAATCATAGGATATTTTTAACCTCATAAAACATAGCCTGAAAATATCATCACATATACAGTAAGCATAGAACAATTACTGCTCAAAATTGAAGACTGTGTCCCTAAAGAGAAAAAATAACTAAAGCAGTATGTGTTTCTTTGTAAATTTAGATACTAATGGGAAGTTAACCATATTTTTAGATACAGTACAGATTTTAAATCATTTATCTAATACCAAAACTATATGAGACTTAAGTATCATGATTTCTATACTCTCCTGAAAATTAAGTTTTCAAAACCATCTAGATTAGTGACTGACTCAAATACTACTTTAATCTACATTAAGCATTACTATATGGGTTTCATAGTGGTTAGAAACATTATAGATTAAGAATATATCAACAGAGTGTAGGCTTCAGTTTATTTCACTTTTAATCTGGCGTTATTTCCTCATAAATCATATTATAGGTTTTTGATTTCCTTCAGAGGGAAAATTTATGCCTTGTTTTCAGACAGATGGGGGAGGGCAGAAACTTGCCCTATGCCTCCTTTTTCTTAATTGCCTTCAGCTCAAAATAATCCTTATGCCAGACTGGCATATTTTTTGGAGGCATATTTTAATCTCCTACAACAATAAGATCTTTCAAAGAGTAGATAAATATCTACTCTTTATTAAAATAAAATGAACATTATTCGTAAAGTACTTTAGGCTAAAAGCAACATACTCTATACTAAAAATCAAACTAAATCATACAAATTAACCATTGGAATACTTTTAAAGAGCAAGGAGGTTCTAAATATGTCACATATTCATTAAATATAATAGACAAACTGTATTATTTAATATAAAAGTTAAATAATTCTGACATTGGATAAAATCAATGCAAACAAACCATGCTTATCTTACCACAGAATGTTACATAATGGCTTGTGAGACAATTTTAAAGACATCAGCTGATACTACATTCATTAAAGACATTAATAGGATGACTTTAGTGAGAATACTCCTAAATTGAGAGCCAGAGGCAGTATGGTGTCTGTGTACAGTATTTTCATAAAGTTCTCTTGTAAAGGGCTTGGAACCTTTGAGAAAGATACATATTAATAACTATAACTGTGAAATAGATATATTTTTCTCATTGGTAGCAAATTGTACTTTACACATGAAAACTATGTGTAGAAAATAATTCAATAATTTTGGAGAAGTGTGCCAGAAGTTTTGTGACAAGAAACGTACAACCCAGATTTCTGACTCCATACTTCATTGATTATCTTGTAGTACTTCATACAAGGCTCAGTGAAGCTTGAAAGATGGTTCTGTTATTTTCCTTCTGAGGAGTACCCACCCTTGTTGATGAGTCCCTTCAGCATGAGATTGCTTTGCTGGCCTGTGACCATCTTTTCCGCCCTCTGGAAACTGGGCCTCGGGGAAAATTATTTTCTATGCTCTTGGTTACACTATATATAAGGAGGGGAAAAATTGAAAAAAAAATTCAGTGTCTGGTCTTCAAAATTAACTGACAAAAGCAGATTAACCAGAGAAAAGCTTACAAATTGTATTTGATGCTGTAAATTTTCCATGGCATTGTGGGAGGGTCACTCATGAAGAAAAAAATTCAAAGCAGCAGCTAGTCTTTGAGGCTTTTATGCCATCTGGACAAGGGGTGATAAATTTATAGAGAAGTAAGGAAAAGAAGGAGGTTTCTGGACTTCTTAGGGCAGCAAATTATGGGAAGGTAGATATCTGGGAGACGCTAGTGTTATTTAAGGTCTAGGCTGTAAGGTTTGTTTTTAAGCCACCTTCATCTCTGGTGATACGGATTGTTCTCTTCCTCCTTGATGGGAAGAGAGGGAGGCACCTTCAGAGGGAAAATTTACGCCTTGTTTTCAGGCAGATGGGGGAGGGCAGAAACTTGCCCTATGCCTGCTTTTTCTTAATTGCCTTCAGCTCAGAATAATCCTTAAGCCAGTCTGGCATATTTTTGGGAGGCACATTTTAATTCCCTACAACAATAAAATCTTTCATTACTTACTTTTTATTAATTACTCTTATTTTCATGTTAAATAAGGCTCATAAGGTGATTTTTTTCCACCTGGGAAAACTTTTTTTTCTTACCCTGAATATCTAATTCCAGCTGATTTCTGTGCTGATAAATAGTGAGAAAGTCAAATTTTCAAAATTCAGGAGATTCACAGGCATCAATGTATGTAATTGAAACTAAGCTAGAGATCTGAAATTGGAAATGCTTTCCTAACTTTGTGATGATTTGGAAATCTGGAGCAGCCATATATCTAAACTTGAATGTTTAGCTGTAAAACCAATATGCATGGGGGTGTGTTGTTATACAAAAAAGCTAAGGGTATAATTTGGTTGCTCCATCACCATACATTTTAATCACTATTGTTTGGTAAGGAGTGGGGGTTCCCACAACTAATTTGGTTACTGGTTGGATTAATACACTTCAACATAATGTTATTATCAGGTAAATATTTATTATAGCAAAATATGCAGTGCAATAACAGCAGGAAACAGACATGGACAAAAGCTAGAGAAGTCACACCTAGGCTTTCAAGTTCTCCCTCTCTTTCTGTGAGCTTAACATAAAATGTAATTTTCTCATGTGAGATATTGCCACCCAAGTAGATTCACCCAAGTAGACCCCTGAGTATTGGGGTCCAGAATTCTTAAAGATGCAAACTTCAAGCCAACAACCAAATTTATCACTAATCTTTATGTTTTCCTTAAATATGCTGACAGCTTGTTTCATCTTGACCTATCACATTACATGGTCACAATGAGAGCCTGAAGGTTTAGTATTAAATGTTTGGCTAAGGGCTATTGCTATGGCTACAGAACTAAGCGAAACCTGAGTAAAATTGCCCTGCTAACTATTTGTCCCATCTACCTACAAGTAGACTTACAACACCAACAAAAATTGATATAGTAGAAGATTTTTGTCTTAAAGAAAGTTTTCAGTAATGAGACAATGCGGTGTAACAGTGAGCAGTAGTTGTTTTAGAACACATAGGGCCATGCTTCGCTTAATGACCATGATACGTTCTGAGAAACGTGTCATTAGGCGATGTCTGCATTGTGAGAACAGCAGTGTGTACTTACACAAACCCAGGTGACACAGTCTTCTACACACTTAGGCCATATGATATAGCCTATTGCTCCTAGGCTGCAAACCTTTACAGCATGTAATATCTAAACATATCTATAATATGTTTGTGTATAATGGTTGTATAATATAGAAATGTTTAGATACACACATAGTTACCAATGTGTTACAATATTGAGCAACACCTATTACTGCTCTCAATATTGCAGGTAATTGGAAAACAATGTTAAGTACGTGTGTACCTAAACATATCTTTATTAGAAAAGGTACAATAAGTAGGCCGGGCACTGTGGCTTATGCCTGTGATCCCAGCACTTTGGGAGGCCAAGGTGAGCAGATCACGAGATCAGGAGATCGAGACCATCCTGGCTAACATGGTGAAACCCCATCTCTACTAAAAAAAAATACAAAAAATTAGCCAGGCAGGGTGGCAGCCGCCTGTAGTCCCAGCTACTAGGGAGGCTGAGGCAGGAGAATGGCGTGAACCCTGGAGGCGGAACTTGCAGTGAGCCAAGATCGCACCACTGCACTCCCACTCCAGCCTGGGCGACAGAGCGAGACTCTGTCTCAAAAAAAAAAAAAAAGAAAAGAAAAGAAAAAGAAAGAAAGAAAAGGTACAATAAATATATGGTGTTATCTTATGGGACCATTCTTGTGTATGTGGTTCTTTGTTAACCAAAATATCATTATGTGGTACATGACTGTAATTCCTGTCTTTATCATCTAACCCCAATACCTAAGTGATTTGTGATGATCCTAGATAAAGAATGTATCTCTTCAAAAATCTCAGTTTCCTCCATAATATCTACCTCATAAGAGTTTAAATCAATTTGTAGGTTTCTTTGGCACTTTGTAAATTTTTAAACAACTCAAACAATTTATTTTTCTTTTTTATTCAGACCAAGTTCCTTTCATTCTGATTGCAACATTCCTGCTGAAGCTCTTGTTCCTCTACAAACTAATAGAATGAGATGGGAGATGTCAGGAGGATTGAATATTTATCCTGGACTCATCTGACCTTTGCTCACATATTGTGTCACATGTTAACCAAAATGACCTCAGAATCTCCTTGGCAGCCGCTTCAGAAAAGAGGACTCGCTTGTCTGGCCTTGAATTTCAAATGTGTTTTCTATAAGCACAAGGTGTCTTTCCAGTTCTGTTGTGCAGCCGTGCAGGCGATCATGTGCTTCCTCTTCTGGAAGTCAGGGCTGGCTGTTTAAAACAAGCCCTACCCTTCCATTAGTATTTCTTTACTAAATAATTGGTTTGTTGAAATAAGCCACTTTTCCCTTCAACTTTTTGTTGTTGCTGCTGTTCTTAATTTTTACCATGCTTTGACAAATGTCACAAACATTTTTTACACAGAGCATATCAGGTTATCATAACATTTATAGTCTTATGTAGAAAGTAGAATCTAGGAGGTCACATTTAATTTGAGCATATGTATTTAGATTGTTAGGGAAGAAAGTCATATGCACTTTCCTTTTAGGATAATTATCTTTAGCTATACATTTTATTTTGTAATTTTTAAGGGCTACCTAGCTCAAGGATATGTCTACAAGTAGTTAATTATGAGTTAATGTTCTTCCCCATGCAGATTGAATAAATAACTATACTTTTCCATAACTTACAATAACTGTATGTGCTAGATAATTTTTTAAATGTGATGGTTATTCAATTCATTTTGAACTCAGGAATCAAATTTTTAGGACTTAATCTTGCAGCTCTGAGTAGCACTAGAGAGTGTAGCTGAAATAGAGGGTAGATTCTAGTCATTTTGTAAGAGTATGCTATTTGGAAGAGAAATTTAAAATTTTAAATACACACATAAAATATTTATTTTATCTACTTAAAGAGAAATGCAATAGAAAAATATTAGAAATAATTATTACGTATACATCACTATTAAAATTCATAAATATTACTTTACATGTTTTCTTCTAAATCTTATTTTTGTTCCAAAGAGAGTACTGCAATTTACTTAACCATGTTATCAATATATGGTATTTAGGTTCTTCCTGATACTATTCCTATTTTAAATAATCTTAGGCAAATATCGTCATTCATAAATTATTTTCCTTCTTTGGACTTTTATAAGATAAATCATCAAAAAAAGGATTAACAGATTAATTGTATAAACATTTAAAAAAGTTTTATAACATTGTTTCTCCTTAACATTGCATTAACCTCTAATAATATCTTTAATAAGTGTTCATTACAGAAAAATTGGAAAAAAATATAAACAATAGAAAGAATATGAAAGTGATTACCACCTAGTGGTAAGTACTCATAATGTTTTAAGGTAAGTTTATAAATACATTTAATGCTTTTGAAACATATTGTCAAAACTCTTGCATAAATACTTCTAAAATTTGCATCATTACTAATTGAAAACTAAGCTAAATGTTTATTTGCATTGGGGACTGTCATTATTTTTGACTTTTGTTAATTTAAAGTTGAAGCGTGGTGTCCATTAAGATACCTTTAAAAACACATTTTTTTCTTAATTACTTTTAACTCTTTGATTGTTTCCTCCTTAACTGTGTGACTAATTTTTAGTTCCCAGAATAAAATGGTCTTGGCCTAAATTCTAAAGTTTTCAAATTAAGAAAATTTGCTTTTGTACTTATTTAAAGTTGTTTAGATTGAATGTGCCTTAGTTATTTTGACGTTATTCCTAATGATCTGTAAAGAATTGCCCAGGGAAATATAATAGTGCTTATTTTCAGAAATAAGGAACTGTAGTGAGTAAAAGAAAAATGTCAGTGAAGTGTTACTCTCCTATGAAGATGTAAATCATAACTATCTAATAATGAGGAATCTTCTAGTAAGGGGTTATGAGGTCAGCTTTCGTAGCTTCATTAGGATGAGTTAAAATGGAAACAACTTAAATGTTTAAAAAAATGTTTGTCTATAACTATATCTAAAACAAATGTGCATACTATATACATTTTTCTTATTTTAAACTCAGGAGAACTCTGAATTATTTAGATGAGCAATACATTTTTTCTTTTGTTTTTAGCTAAAACTTTTATGCTTGTAAACCCATTTATCCTATCTTTGATGATTCTGATAGAACATAAGCATAATGGAAATGTGTCTGAAAGCTGCATAGGAACAACTAGCCCCTGCCCTCAAAAAAAAATTAATGTTGAGGCAAATATGAAAAGATAAAGATGACAGAAAAAAAGGGCTATTCTTTGTTTAATTTATTTCAAGTTATCAGGAAGATACATTTATCCAACCATTTTCATAACAATTTTCTAGACACTATGAAGGATAGGAAAGATGTGTGTTTGTGTGTGTGTGTGTGTGTGTGTGTATGTCTATGTTTGTATACTTAATCATTTCCAAGTCATTAGGAAGTAATTACCTAATCATTTCTTCCTAGCTCCTACCTCCCAACACTGTTGCATTAAGTTTCCAACACAGGAAATTTTGGGGACACATCCAAAGCATAGCAAGTGTCAACTTGAAGTATTTAGGGGTAGCCAGCAGAGGGGACTGCAGATGCTGGCAGCAGTGTTAGTATTTGCTGTGGAAGAAAGAAAGTCAGATGCAAGGAGAAATATGGCCCACACTTATTAACATGACACTTCTAGCTATCTTTAGTCATTCAAAGGGGGATGTATGTCTTGATGTTTAAAAGAAGAAAGCTTGTAAATTAGATAAGCCATGAGCCAAGAAAAGATTATAGCATTTTAAGTGTTTCCCTGATTTTGCAAAAGACTACATTGACTGTCTTTCAAAAGTAACTTTAGCAATTAAAACTTGAGCATTTCCTAGGACTAATTCATTTAAGAAAGCATGTGTTAAACTGAGTGAAGAACTAAATAAATGAACATAAGTAGATAGCCATGAGGAAGGGAGCTTGCAACACTGGCTTTAGGAGTTACTATCAGTAGAATTGTGTTCCGCAAAAGATGCTGAAGTCCTAATCTCTAGTACCTGTTACCCTGACCTTATTTGAAAATAGAGTCTGTGCAGATGATCAGGATAGTGTGAGATCATTAAGGTGGGCCCAAATTTGATATGACTGCCTATATATAAAAAGAGGTAATTTGGTCACAGAGACAGATGTACACAGAAGAAAAATTATGTAAATCATCATAAAAGAATGCCATGTGAAGATTGGAGTTTTGTTGCCATAAGCCAAGTAACATTTAAGACTACCTGAAACTGAAAGAGAGAGAAAATAATCCTTCCCTACTGCCTTCAAATGGAGCATGGTCATGCTGAAACCTCAATTTTGAAACTCTATTCTCCAGAACTATGAGGAAATAAATTTCTGTTGTTCTTAGTTATTCATTTTGTGGTACTTTGTTACAGTAGTCCCAGGACGTTAATACAGGAATCCCTCTAAAGATAACATAATAAAACACTTTTAATAAAAACCACTACATTTATTTTGAGCAACATAGTTAAAACTCTGTTGTAAGTTTTTTGTTTCAGTTTTTCTATTTATATTTTGACATATTAAGAGAATGTTAGCTTTATAAAGGATAATCTATAAAATACTCTAAGGATCTATGGAATTCAGGCAACACATATGATATATACTCAAAGTAAATAGCAAAACAGAGTGAAGAAATGAATTTGCCTAAGTCTTATCTCTAAAAATGGCACCTAGGCTATATAAGAAATAAAGATGGGTTCTCTCAGTATTTGTGACCTAAAAATATCACATACCATGATATTTGTGCTCATTCATATAACATCCTTCTTGCTCTTATGATAGTGACACTGGTGTTTCCATAATATTTTTACTCCGTTGCAGATAAATGACCTCACAAAAATATAAATACTTTTTCTCTATCTAATCTACTCTTCTGCACTATCTGATCTCTTCTCCCCAACCTGCCTATACACACAATTTTACCATGGTATTTTTAGTCTGAATCATGCTCTGAAAATACATGGATTAGATGATAGATAGATAGATCATACAATGGACTAAGAATACTAATATAAAATAAGATATTTGAAATTCAACCTGATATCACCATGCATAATGTTAGAATATACTGGCTTTTAAACTTGTATATTCACCAGTTCATAGAAGTTTCTGTTTATTTATTGTCTATGTGTCTGGTTTTTGTCATACCCGTTGGCTAATTTGAGTCTATAATAATTATCATGTGATGAATCAATGTAAATATTTAATATTGACACCTGAAAGATCATAGAATTTTTTAAAAATTAAAATTCCTATTTTGCATAGAAATATGGGGAGATATGAGGTAAGAGAAAGTTAAAGTTGAAAGGAACTGCCAAGATGAAAACCTGATGGGTAACTTTTTTAAAAGCAGCATGAATGTATACTATCTTCCTGATTTCCTAAAAGTCCTTGAGGAAATGTTATGGCATAAATCACTTTGTTCTAGATCCAGAATAATAAAAGGCCTTTTATCTAGAGTAAAAATTAACTGCTTTCTGTTGTAAATTCCATTATTGTAAGCATCCAGTGTCCCTTCCCGCTAATGAAAATAAAATTAACATTTTCCAGGTAAACAGCATTTCTCTTACATGTGTTGAAAAAGTCAAATAATCTTGTCACAATTTTTTTTTCATCAAGCATTTTACTTAAAGGTTTCTAATCTTTCTTAATAACCCTTAGAGTTTAATTTTGATCTTCTCCAGTTCTAGCATTTTGTATTAGCAGGAAATCACATTGTGCCAAATATTTTGAATTGACATCTGTAAAGTGTCCTGAAATTCTTCCCTCATCTGTCAAGTAATTCAGCTTTTGTAGTCCTGTTTTTAAATTGATGAATAAAAAGAATGTTTTTTTCCTCTATTGTGAAACTGAAAAGACAAACTTAAACATGGATAACACAGGGGCACAAGCAAATGCTCCTTGTCACCCTCTTCTTGGAAAATTCTATAGATGTCCAAAGAGAGGCATGCAATTATCAAAAATATTAAAGTGCAAATGTATGATTTTGCTCAAAAACAAAG